>NC_000005.10:93746170-94049200 GCF_000001405.40 Homo sapiens | reverse complement strand
TGAGTAGTTTGGTAAAGTGAAAAGTTTTAGTCATTCTGTGTCATATTATCTTTATTTTTAGTAAAAATGCATGTGGACACATAAGTTTTAGTGTGATAACTAGATAGCTACATTACTTTTCTAAGGAAAAGCTGAAATTTCTGTATTCCTTTTTTGTTTTTAAATAGAGTAGTAAAAATGAACTACTTGGTTAAATTATCACATAAAGAATATATGGTAACATAAGTATAATAGCATGAAGAATATATCATTTCCTGGGAGACAATTCTTTGATCTCCTGCATTTCTGTATATCTCTGAGCAAAGACTTTGACAGCTTTTGCTCTGGATCATCTTTTCAAGGACAACTGTATAGGAAACAGGCTTCGAAGACAGAGGTTGTATCTCCCTCCAAGGCAATGGGCAGATTAGTTTGTTGTCCAGGATAAAAAGATAATGCTCCTCCCTTCCCCCACTGATGGCAAAGGATTGCTAATAGCCCCTTTAGAAGATTGGGTTTCCTAAGTTTGAGGTTCGTCAGCTGTGATACAATCCTGTTGCATGCTCAGCCTCCACCTGGGCCTGTTGACACTGCCTCTTTGGGATTTGAGGAGCAAGAGATTGGACTTCATGAGAACATGAAGCTCATGCTGCCTGCTATACCCTGATTAATTTTTGTTTCTGATCCAGAAGACTAATGTCATCTGACAGCATCCATGACTGTGCAGGCTAACTTGCTAGCTTCTATGCAATGTAAAATCTGACAGTTAAAGAATCTTCACAGTTCTTGTTAGTGTTCTACAGCATTTATAACCTAAATATATTCAATGCCCTGAGTAATTTCTGCTGCACATTAAAAAAAGCTTACCTGGCCAGGCATGGTGGCTCACGCCTGTAATACCAGCACTTTGGGAGGCCAAGGAGGGTGGATCACGAGGTCAGGAGTTCAAGACCAGCCTGACCAACATGGTGAAACCCTGTCTGTACTAAAAATACAAAAATTAGCCAGGTGTGGTGTTGCGCCCCTGTAATCCCAGCTACTCAGGAGGCTGAGGCAGGAGAATCGTTTGAACCCGGGAGATGGAGGTTGCAGTGAACAGAGATCGTGCCACTGCACTCCAACCTGGGTGACACAGTAAGACTCTGTCTCAAAAAAAAAAAAAAAAAAAAAGCTTACCGATTTCCACTTGAATTATATGTTGCAAACTGGTGGTATTTTGATTATAGAATAACCATACTATAATGGCCTTAGAAAAGAGCTTGTGGTTTTTGTGTTTGTTTTTAAATGGGACTGTTTATTTACTATTTTCCATAAGCCATGTACACCACCAGCTCACTTGGACAGGTTGCTAGTCTTCAAATATACCTTGTCCTTTTTGGCATCTGCATCATTTATGCCATCAATATGTATCCTCCAACATCATCTATGTTAAACTCCAGCTATGTGTCTTTTTAGGTAATTCCATGTGTAAATGATTCCTTTTTCCTAGGATCTTATACATAATTCTTTGGATATATGGAGGCACACAGATTTATTTTTGGTGTACCTTAGTCGATAAGAATCAAAATATTTGAGTTTTTACTTTGATGGTTATTTACAGAGAGAGAGCATATTCTGTATTATCTACATTACTGCCTCCTATGCCTGCTTTCACATTTGTGTTCACATTCAATTTGGACCCAAGTGATTACCCAAAATTATAACATTTAATTTTTTTTTTTTTTTTTTTGAGATGGAGTCTCACTCTGTCACCCAGGCGCCAGGCGCCTCAGCTCACCCTCGGCTCACTGCAACCTCCACTTCCTGGGTTCAAGTGATTCTCCTGCCTCAGCCTCCCGAGTAGCTGGGATTACAGGCATGCACCACCACACCTGGCTAATTTTTGTATTTTTAGTAGAGATGGGGTTTCACCATGTTAGCCAGGCTGGTCTCGAACTCCTGACCTCAGGTGATCTGCCCACCTTGGCCTCCCAAAGAGCTGGGATTACAGGCATGAGCCACTGTGCCTGGCCATAGCATTTAACTTTTAATGCAGTGTTTCTATTTAGATCAGTGGACTCCTCAGCTTTAAGTACCAACATTTTTTCTTCCTGAATATTTTGATCAAAAGTAAACATATTTTCCTAACATAAAACTCAGTACAACAAAAAGACCCAGGAATTGGAGAGAGAAAGTCTGGTTATTACAGTATTTGTATCATACCATCATGCTTCTTATGTCATGTTTGGAATACTTGTTTTGATTGCTAATTTCACTGTTGAAGGTTAATTATTAATTGAATTTTATTTCCTACATCTTAGAAGTTAGTTGTATGAGTTCTGGTTATATACCAATAATGACAGAGTTTTCACTATAGTTAATTAGTTATTTGGAATTCATGATAGTGGGACTTAATGCATCTGTGGACCTGTCTTTTCATTGATTCTGTAACCAAAAAGCAGGTTAGTTGTTTGCTGTGTGCAGAATCCGATAAGCATGAGTGAGGTCTGGTACAAAAAAAAAGTGAATTTATCCCGAAGCTAGCTTGAGGAAAGAGGCACAAACAGTCTGCCTTTAAATGTACTACTTTACTCTTGGAGCAGAAAGCAGGCACTTTAAGATAGGGGAGGGAGCAAGCAAGGGCAGGGAGTCCCCTTGCTAGCTGGTGCCTTATCTACTGGGCAGTTAAGTTGGCGCCTTCCTGGGTAGAAGTAAGTTGTAAAAGTGGCCAAGTGGGCATGCTTTCCACATGCCCTCCTGGTGGGTATGAGTTCCAAGGTTATCCCCCCACCCCACTGTTCCCCCTCCTCCCTGTCCCAGAGTGAGAGTTCCATGGGGTATACTTTGGTCTGCAAATCTACTGTCAACTCTTGAGGAGAGATCCCTCTTGGAGCACAGTTAGATGAACTTGCCCTGTAGGGAATGTCTGGTGAGGGGGAGGTAAAGCGTTGTATTTGCATTTCTAAAGGGCTAAATAGGAAGCTGAGGAACAGGGGAAAAGGAGAAAATAAGAGAAAATAATAAAAAAAAATTAAACTCTCTCTCAGAAAAATGGTGATACTTTGCTATAATATTCCATAATTTCCATTTCTGAGTCATGCGTTCAAGTGAAATTTAACCAACTACTATTCTTCATTCACAGTTTATACTTCCATCTTACACTGTTTTCTCCCTTTGAAATGTCCTTCTCTCCTTGTCACTGTATCCCACCTCCATCTGTCTTCCTGTTTTGGCTCAAATGTCTCCTCCTTTAGGAAGCCTTCCCTCATCTCTTCTGTTACAATCTTTCTCTCTCCTGATTTCTTTTCTTCCCATTTTGTTTTTCTACCTATTTTATCTTATATGAAAAATGATTTAAGACAACGTTAAAGATGAATGCCATTTAGGAAGACTCAAATAAGTAGAGTTTAAAAAAGAAAGCAATGTTAGTAAATAAAGGGATGAGTTTACTGTATATCTCTTATGCTACTTATCACTCTGCATTGCATTTTTAAAAAATACATGTTTTTAAGCAATTTTGGGGGAAACTTTCTGTGTCCTGACAATATTTGTTGAATAATAAATAGTGTGATACAAATAGATAAAGTGTTTAGTATAAATTCTGGACCTATGCATTTTAGAGATTTTTTAATGTTCCTAATTTTGTGTATTTTCTTATTGAAGAAAAGAAAATGATAATTTTCCTGTTTCTAAGCTAAACAATTTTAATTATTTCAACTTCCATTTAAGAGCTAGAAGTTTCATACTATTAAAGTGTTTGTGATTTAAAAGTATTTGATAAAAATAGACTATATGTGGCATAATTTATTGGAAGATTTTAACACTTATGTTGTAGGAAAGGGGTCCTGATCGAGACCCCAAGAGAGCGTTCTTGGATGTCACATAAGAAAGAATTCAGGGTGAGTTCATAAAGTAAAGTAAAAGCAAGTTTATTAAGAAAGTAAAAGAAGAAAAGAATGGCTACTCCATAAACACAGCAGCCCTGAGGGCTGCTGGTTGCCCATTTTTATGGTTATTTCTTGATGATATGCTAAACAAGGGGTGGATTATTCACACCTCCCCTTTTAAAACCATATAGGGTAACTTCCTTTTTATTTTGGTTGTTGTTTTTTTTTTTTTTTTTTTGAGATGGAGTCTTGCTCTGTTGCCCAGGCTGGAGTGCAGTGGCATGATCTCAGCTCACTGCACTCCAGCCTCCCAGGTTCAAGCAATTCTCTTACCTCAGTCTCCCAAGTAGCTGGGATTACAGGCAAGCGCCACCATGCCTGGCTAATTTTTGTATTTTTTAGTAGAGATGGGGTTTCCTCATGTTGGCCAATCTGGTCTCCAACTCGTGACCTCAGGTGATCCACCCGCCTTGGTAGGGTAACTTCCTGATGTTGCCATGGCATTGGTAAACTGTCATGGTGCCAGTGGGAGTATAGCTGTGAAGACAACCAGAGGTCACTCTCATGGCCATCTGGTTTTGGTGGGTTTTGGCCAACTTCTTTACTGCAACCTGTTTTATCAGCAAGGTCTTTATGACCTGTATCTTGTGCCGACCTCCTGTTTCATCCTGTGACTTAGAATGTCTTAACCATCTAGGAATGCAGCCCAGTAGGTCTCAGCCTCATTTTACCCAGCTCCTTTTCAAGACGGAGTTGCTCTGGTTCAAACGCCTGTGACATTTCCACCCTCCCTTTTATAGGATAACCCTTAATCCTAAGGGTTGCAGAGGGATGAAGATCTATCTTCTATAACTTCTTCAGGCTGAATAGGGGCGATGATATTCCTGCCTGACTATGAGGATCTCTTTCTGTATGTGCGGTAGAGAGGAGCTCAGTCCGAAAGTGTTGATATGGGTCATTCATCACTTTTGAGTTCCAACAAGAGGTGATATCTGGAATATTAGTAAGTGTTCAATTTAGGAAAACATTGAGTAAGCTTATTCTGCATTCCTACACAAAGAGTACAACAGCAATATATTCCACAACAGTAAAGCAAAATAAGTAAAATTATTCCAAGTAAACTAAGTTAGAATGTGTTCCATGAATTGGGCAACTGTTAGAACCAAGCTGATGTGGGGTGCTAGCCAATTCCAATACATGCCCAGAATTAGGCTACTGATCCAGATTTTTACGTTACCCAACCCTCTTGTTTTTTCTGAGTAGCAGTCAGAGACCACTGGTTCATTCACAGGAATAAGCAGGGTTAGCCAAAATTGCAGAAGCAAACCTAAAAACAACTAATGAGACTAGAAATTAGTAACAAGTGTACCATAATTCTTGAAACATAATTTCTCTCTCAAGTTTTCCATTTTTACTAAAGACAAATCATGGTAAGACCAATTTGCTTTATTATACTTTGCCTGATTATTTGTATAAAGTGCAGCAAGAACAATTATTTTTCACTTAGGCTTTAAAAATTGGCTTTGATGGAACTCTTTTCCATAGGGAATCTCAGATAAGACTTTTTAAAAGCTGAGCCCAGCCATGGATTTGTACCCTCAAATACCTATGAGTTGGGTAAATTATTCTCCTTTTGAGGTCCCAAGATAACTTGGGTCTCCTGGACCTGTTAGAAAGTGACATTTTTTATTTGCCACAGGTCAGAAACCCTGTACAGGGACTGTGTAGGTAAAGTATGAGGCCAGGTCTGCTAGGGGCTTTTATTGGCTCTACAAGTCAAATTTGATTCCTTAAAGGAAAGCATGCTGTTTCAGTCAAAGACTTGGTAAAATAACCAGTTTTTCCAGTTGTGTCCTGTTACAAGAGAAAACAGATTCTTACTGCACTTATGCAAATAACTATATTGCTGTAAGTTAAGAATACTCAGAACTAGTTTCCAAATTTTGGAGAAATCAGGTAGAGAGAAGCAACTATCCTTCAAATTTTGTTCACAGGAGTATACTTTACTCAATTGCTAAAATCTGTAAATAGCTCAAAAGAAAAGTTTTCTTGACTGTAAAACGAAAAGATCAGCAGTGTTTCAAGCAAAGTTAAAAAGATTACTTTAGTTTTCTATTGGTTCAGTCTATTCAGTTAAATCCTTAGTTCTGCTTGATATTCAGGAACACTTCAGGTCTCCATGAGAGTCCTGAAAGTTTTTTTTCCTCTATTCTGATGTCTCAATTTTCAAAGTTATCAGAAACCTGCATTTAAGAACACCTGTTAGAGTTCTATAGTTGATTATAAACCACCTTCTAAAGAGGATTAAAACAAGACAACAATTGCCTGTGGATGACAAAATATTTTAGGGCAGCCACAGTCAAAAACACGATTGACAAAGAAATTTGGTTATCTCTGTGGCATACAGTGATTTTATGTAACAATTATAATTATTACTGATGATATATACTGAAGCATATCAGAATTATAGGCATCTTACACAATTTTGTAATATGTACTAATAACAAGTTTATATAAATATAACCCAAAGAAAGTTAAACACCATTTGACATTTGATTATACTTCCTGTATGACTTTTATACCATATAAGCCAAATTTTACCTTGGAATTAGTGTACTATTTATGTGACACCCAATTCTTAAGAAAGCCTTATAGACATATCTACCCAATTTTAATGCTTGACCATAAGGTAAGATTCACATAAACTTTTTATAACCCATTACAAATTTTTGTTAAAAGCAGATCTTTTGTGGCTGGGCGCAGTGGCTCACGCCTTTAATCCTAGCACTTTGAGAGGCCGAGGTGGGTGGATCATGAGGTCAGGAGATTGAGACCATCCTGGCTAACACGGTGAAAACCCATCTCTACTAAAAATACAAAAAATTAGCCAGGCGTGGTGGCGGGCGCCTGTAATCCCAGCTACTCGGGAGGCTGATGCAGGAGAATGGCATGAGCCCGGGAGGCAGAGCTTGCAGTGAGCTGAGGTCGCGCCTGGGCTACAGAGCGAGACCCCATCTCAAAAAAAAAAAAAAAAAAAAAAAGCTGATCTTTTGTTAAACAGCAGATCAGTGCTCTAAGAAAAACCTGTTGTACTTTTATTCTAATGTTCAGTTTACAGAAAAACTGAATAATACCCCTTTTACTTTAGCCAATATATTCACACACAGAATTTTTTTTACGAGATTAATTTTTTACAAACCTTCCACAACTTGCTTAAACCTTCAGCTTTATTCCATCTAACTTTAAACAGTCCTTTAAACCTTTAATCTAGGCAGGAAATTCACATTCCTATGCCTTCTTGTAATCTTTTATCAGAAACACATTTCACTTTCTTTACATACCTTGCGTGTAGAACTGTTTCTTCTGTAGTCTCAGTTACATGTTACACTGTTAACTCTTAGTAATTTTCATTTTTTTTTTGTGAAAAATCTTGGTAAGTTCAGGATTTTAATTATGTGCTAGATGTGGAGACTAGCCTAAGACACACCAGGCAAAGTGCAGATAGGGGCTGACTCTTTCCGTCATAGCTAGGGGACGTGGCTAACTCCACATTTCCCAGGCCTTATCTAGGATCTAATGCTCCAAGGTAGGTAAATTGAGCAGTTTTTAATAGTCAAAGAAGTAGTTTATGATCTGAAAGCATTTAGGAAACTTAATATCTGTCCTACATAATTTAGACCAAATGTTTACATTTTGAAGATATTTTTATTTTACCAATATCTTTAAAACTGTCTTTATTTGCCAAAGATGACTTAAGTCACATGAACTAAATAAAAGGCATTACACTTTTTACTTTTCTGACAATGTATTTAATTTAAGCTCTTATTATTATTAAATCAATTAATTTAAGCTCTTTCATATATAAACATCACACACACAACACATATAAATACACAGAGAGACAGAAGATAAAGGACCCATTCCCTAAGCCAGGAATTGGACCCTAAACCTGGGCTGCCATTGTGAAAAGAGAAAGCACGGCCACGTGGTTACAAGGTCAAGCTCCCAAGGACATGACTGACCAGTTTGCTGGGCCGTCTTGAAAAGTGGGCTTACAGGTGTCCTAAGCTCATGTTCTATCCTAATGTGTCCCTCATTATGACAGACAATACAGAAGGACACACAAAGCACACTAGATTCACTGCAGCTTAAGACTAGCCTCATGAATCCTTTTTCCCATTAATCAAAACTTTACAGGAGATAACTAGTGATTTTTACCGTTTATTCAACCGGTTTGCACAGAGAGAGAGAGAGAGAGAGACCGAGAGAGACAGAGAGGCCAGAAGTCTGACTAGTAAGAAATTCTTACACTTTTGCTGACATGCCAGGCTTCTGGGTTCCCTTTTCCTCAGCGGCCCTAGTAACCTGGCTGGCTGCACCACAGCCCTGGGGGCCAAGTCGCAACACAGAGGAAAGTTATCTTTTTCCTTTCTGGCCAGAGCAAAATACGTGTGACGAAACATAGACATTAGCTCCTCTGCTTAGCACCCAATATCAAACTGGCAAGGTTCAAACTTGCCCCCTGTTGGGCCCTGTCATCATTAATCTAACCTCCCACCAGGAGTTTCAACTTGTGATCTCTGGGCAAGATAGTTGCCCTGAGTAATAGAAAAGATAAGAAAGGGAATGGAGAGAGATAAAAGCATTGCCTGTGGCATGCTGAGGAAGGTGAAGAGCTCAGGGAGGCCAGAGAAAGACCCACCCATTGCAGTGACACATTCTCAGCAAACTATTGCAAGGACAAAACCAAACACTCACATGTTCTCACTCATAGGTGGGAATTGAACAATGAGAACACGTGGACACAGGAAGGGGAATATCACATACTGGGGCCTGTTGTGGGGTTGGGGGAGGGGGGAGGGATAGCATTAGGAGATATACCTAATGCAAATGACGAGTTAGTGGGTGCAGCACACCAACATGGCACATGTATACATATGTAACAAACCTGCACGTTGTGTACATGTACCCTAAAACTTAAAATATAATTAAAAAAAAAAAAGTTCAGGCGGCTGCTTGTCAGTCAAGAAGGGATCTTTTCCAGCAGTCCCATTAGCTCTCAAGTTTCCCCTTTTAGGGAGGAAAAAGCTCCCCATGTCCCACGATCCTGTACATGCCTAATCCTGTCACCCATAGCCATTAGCAAAGAGTACAAGGCAGATTAATTCAGAGAAAAGCAGTTAACATCCTGTGATGCCAAACTCATTCTTAGCCTAAAGGGACTTTACCAAGAGGGGCCTCTAACCCCTAAGTCTTAGAAGAGACTCTAACCCTCCTCAGTTTTGGGCCTCTAACCCAAAGTTGGTCCTTGCCTTTTATTAAGAGGTGCCTCCAGCCCACTCTGTCTTAGGAGAGATGCTAACTCCCCTAAGTTGGGCCTCTAACCCAATCCCATCCTTTACTCGGGTACCCAACCACTTACCCAAAGTCAGTTGATCAGTGCTGCAGTCTTTTTCCTTTTGATCAGTGATCGGGGTTGGGGGGTGATGGTTCTTCAGTATCATCTCTTCAGGGTTTGCCAGAAAGATGTTACCAGACCCCACCACTTACCCAAAGTTAGCCTTTGGTTTGGGAGTTTCTGCACTATAGTCCCTTCTATGGTTGCCAGAAAGATGTTACAGGAAAGAGGTCCTG
Organism: Homo sapiens; assembly: GCF_000001405.40. Lineage (NCBI taxonomy): Eukaryota > Metazoa > Chordata > Mammalia > Primates > Hominidae > Homo > Homo sapiens. The sequence goes on along the minus strand of NC_000005.10, from coordinate 94,039,721 downwards.
ATCCAGACCCCAGGAGAGGGTTCTGGTATCTTGCACAAGAAAGAATTCGGGGCGAGTCCATAGAGTAAAGTGAAAACAAGTTTATTAAGAATGATGAGGAATAAAAGAATGGCTACTCCACAGACAGAACAGCCCTGAGGGCTGCTGGTTGCCCATTTTTATGGTTATTTCTTGATGATATGCTGAACAAGGGGTACATCATTCCTGCCTCCCCTTTTTAGACCATATAGGGTAACTTCCTGATGTTGCCATGGCATTTGGTAAACTGTCATGGTGCTGGTGGCAGTGTAGCAGTGAGGACCAGAGGTTACTCTCATGGGCATCTTGGTTTTACTGGGTTTTGGCTAGCTTCCTTACTTCAGCCTGTTTTATCAGCAAGGTCTTTATGACCTGCATCTTGTGCTAACCTCCTATCTCATCCTGTGACTTAGAGTGTCTTAATGGTCTAGGAATGCAGCCCAGTAGGTCTAAGCCTCATTTTACCCACCTCCTATTCAAGATGGAGTTGCTTTGGTTCAAACACCTCTGACACTTACATTCAAACTTCAGATGTTTATCATTATGATTTAGAAAATGTGAGTTCTTATGTAACTTTCCACAGTTCCTAGAAAACAGATAAACCTTTGTATTTAAATTCTGGAAATAATTTAGTACTTTATGTTAGTTTCATTAACTGAGAACCTGTGGAAAGGATTTCATCAGGTCTTGGACATAGAAGCACTAAAAACCATCTTCTCTTCTGATTGATCATCATAGGAGAGTATACAGAGGATAGTGGAAATTTGAGTTTACTGCCTGAAAGTCTGCCTTAATAAATAGCTTTTGATATGCTCAAGATTGAAGACTTAAGGAAACAGATTTTGATTTCAACCAGAAATCTAAACAAAAACCCCTTCTGTTTTTTTTTTTTTTAGTATTTTCCTACTGAATATCGAGTTTTGTCTTTAGCTGAGCGCTACTATATATGTTTCACAACTGTTGTTTTAGTTTATGTTTATTTCTTTCTTAAGGAGATTATTATAGCAGTCATTCAGTAGGAATTGTTTTTAAGTCTTGCTCCTGAAATGCACTATCATTTAAATGTAAATTAAACTTATTGTGTAAGTAAAATAAACTGAGATGTCAGTTTGTTTTTTAGAATGCAGTGCCATAATACACAAAAGAATATTCTTTACATTCACACAGTTATGTTTTTATAGTCAAACAAATGCTTTTGCTAATATGTATATATTTTTATACTATCCACATAGAGCTTTAAAAAATACATAGCCCTTAATAAGTTTGGATAATTTCTCCAAATTTAGAAAAATACTGTTAGCTTAAGGAGGTGGGAGAGTGGTGTGAAGTGGTAACTCTCAAAGTACCATTTTAGTACTTTAGTGTATATATAATATATATTGGAGTTGAATGCCAAGAAATAATGTTTCTGTTAAACTCAGAGAAAGACTGGAAAGGCTACCATATTAAGTAGTAAATAGGTTGGTAGAAACAGCATGTAACTTGTGAAATTTTATCAGTTTTCTCTTTCATGCCAGTACTGAATTATTATAATGTTAAATGGAGAATTTATAATTCAGCAGACATTATAATGAAAGATTCTGTTTTCTTGCCTAATTTTGGTCTTTGTGTTTTCTTTGATATATATCTTGAAAACCTCTTTAAGAATTAATAAATTGTCAATGTGTTTAAAAAGAGAATAGCAACAATTAGGTAATCTTATAAGCTTGTTTTCTTATTGATGGATAGGATCACACTTATAAAAACAACTAAGAGTACAATTTTATTCTCTGGACCTAAATTAGTAATATGTTTTCTAAAATAATGGAAAATTACTGAAAAATATTACATTTAAAAAATGAGATTAAACAATGTAGGCTAGTGCCATCTTATAGGAGTTTTTCAATGGCTGTATTTACATATTTGAAACTAGGAACAACTTCATTATTTTAGCACCCAAATATTTGAACATAATGTGATTTTCTGTGTATAATTGATACCTTTATGTAATGTGAAATTCACACATCTTGTATTGGCCATCAGGAGATCTGGGTCTTAGTTCTGGCTCAGTCACGTCTGTATGACTTTAGAAAAGTGGTATTTGCAAGCCTCTGTTATAAAATGAGAATAAAATTATTTATTCTGTTGTGAAGAATAATGTGGGTAGATGCGATATTATTTTATATTCTTTAATGTGCTATGCAAATGTTAGGAGGATTGAAAGAAAATGTGTTGATTAGGCTATTCATTAAGAAGATTTTTAATTTATTATTGCTGTTATAATGGTTTAGTTTGCTGATTTTCTTTCTCCTCACTCTGTCTACTTATTATTACTGACATCAAGCTTATCTTTCTGTAGGAGAGATGAAGAAATGACCATTGGCCCAGAATTTGTTAGCAGACTCCTTTTACTTTCATCTCTGTCTAATATCCATTCCTATAAGTGGAATACTACGTATAGGATAGTATTACTAAGTAGATATTTTAGAATTGAAAACAAAACAGTTGCTGACATAATTTTCCATGTTTTTGTGGTTGAGAAAAACTATAAGCCTCTTTAAAAATATAGTATTTATATATGAACAGACCCACAGACCAACTGAACAGAATGCAAAGCGCAGAAATACATAGAAAGCCCAACTACACATGGAAATATATTTTATGTTAAGGTGCAATCATAAATCAGTGGGGGAAAAGGGACTTTTAGCAATTGATAGGTAATCACCCATAGGAATATAAAAATTGGCTCTTCATCACTGTGTACACCAGAATTAACTCCAAATGAATTAGAGATCTAAATGCAAAAAATGAAATAAAACCTACCAACCCAGTGGCGCTGATTATGGTCTTGAAATGCCAACCTAGTAACAAAACCTGGATTCTAATAAAGAACCTGAATTCTTTGGAGAAATACCTGATTCCTGACTGGGGCAAGAAATGAGTGCCATGAAATGGGGATATCTTGTCTTATTGGATAGCAAGGAAGATTCCAAAGACTACTTGCCTTTCTAAAAGTTGAAAAGTGAAAGACCAAAACAACAGAAACAGAACAAAACAAAAAACCCAAACCAAACCCCCCTTACAAATGCATCAGTGGGTATGATGCATGAACCAGTGGTTCATAGGGAAAGAAATGCAAATAGTCTTTAAACATATGAAAAGATGTTTAACCTCATTTAGTAGATGAGGCTATAGAGAAACAGGACTTTTCATATCTTGCTGGTGGGAGTGTAAAGTGGTAAATTCCTTTAAAGGAGAAATTGCCAATATCTTATGAACTTACAGTTGTATTTTCCCATTTGTATGAGAAAGGAAAGGAAATAAATACATATATTTGTTGTTTATTATTGTGGAAAAAACTGGAAAGGTAAAATTAATAACCACATTTATCTATGGGGAATGTGGAGGAATGGGATGAAGGGATAGCTTTGTGAATTTTCTAATACCTTTTTGTGTAATTTTGATATTTGGACCATATACAAATTTTGATGTGCTTAAAGAATACCCTAAAACTGAAAAGAAAATGAAACATATGAGCTTAAATATGCATCTAGTTGGTAATGTAACTGAGCAGAGAAAAAGAAAATACTTCAAATATTTGGAATAGAGTCAGTACATTGTCCTTCTTTTGCTGGATATATCCTCGGGATAAAAACAATGGCCAGTGAAATGTTAAAATTAACTAAGTGGTTTTACTGTTTTTTTTAATTTTATTTTTTAATACTTTAAGTTCTGGGATACATGTGCAGAACATGCAGGTTTGTTACATAGGTATACATCTGCCATGGTGGTTTGCTGCACTCATCAACCTGTCATCTACATTAGGTATTTCTCCTAATGCTGTCCCTCTCCTTACCCCCTCCTCCCCCCGACAGGCCCTGGTTTGTGATGTTCTCCTCCCTCTGTCCATACGTTCTCATTGTTCAACTCCCACTTATGAGTGAGAACATGCGGTGTTTGGTTTTCTGTTCCTGTGTTAGTTTGCTGAGAATGATGGTTTCCAGCTTTACCCGTGTCCCTGCAAAGGACACGAACTCATTCTTTTTTATTATGGCTGCATAGTATTCCATGGTGTATATGTGCCACATTTTCTTTATTCAGTCTAACATTGATGGGCAGTTGGGTTGGCTCCAGGTCCTTACTTTGCTGGATATATCCTCAGGATAAAAACAATGGCCAGTGAAATGTTAAAATTAACTTACTGGTTTTACTGTTACATTGATAGTGGTGCAATGATTTTGAAACAAGTTTATCAATATGGTATATTAAAGCAAATAAATATATAAATGTAATTATGAATCAAGATTTTCAGGATTAGAGAAAGGTATGAATATAAAATCAAAGCAGATAACAATATTTTGGGAATTTCACCATAAACTCATTATGTTTAAAAAATATATTTCCTAGATTTACTCACCAAAAGGGCTTGGAAGTACTGACTCCCTAGTAGCAATGCATACATATAGTGATGTATATGTATATGTATATGTATATGTATATGTATATGTATATGTATATGTATATGTATGTATAAGATCCTGGTTCCTAAATGCATTGCTTAGTAAAAAGCCAGGGCTCCTTGGAGAAAAGGCGGATTCCAAATTTGGAACTAAGAAAATAAAAGACGAGCCCTAGACAGCAGTTCCCAACCTTTTTGGCACCAGGGACTGGTTTCATGGAAGACAGTTTCTCCATGGACTGGGGGTGGGGGATGTTTTGGGATGAAACTGTTTCACCTTAGATCATCAAGCGTTAGTTAGATTCTCATAAGGAGTGTGCAACCTAGATCCCTTGCGTGTACAGTTCACAGTAGGGTTTATGTTCCTATGAGAATATTATGCTGCCACTGATCTGACAGGAGGTGGAGCTTAGGCAGTAATGCTCCCTCACCTGGTGCTCACCTCCTGCTGTGCAGCCCGGTTCCTAACAGGCCACCAATCAGCACTGGTCTGTGGCCTGGGGGTTTGGGACGCCTGGCCTACGTACAACATTGTGCCTTGTCAGAAATCAAACATTCAGTCTAATGGACGCATGTGAAAAGGACAGAAGAACCAACTAGAAAGTGCTTCTTTTGGGCAAAGTTGGTGCAATTTGAGGATAAAACAGAATAAGGGTTCTTACTGATAATAAAACATTTAATAAGCAAAGTCATGGTTTCATAATCTCTTTAAAAATATAGCCAATTTGCCATTTTTAGATTAAAGTTATCTGAAAATTGGTAACCAGAGGGAAAGAATTAAGCAGTTGGCCTCTTTATGAAGAACTGTGATTTATTTGCAGGTAAGGAAGGAATGTTCTTCCTTATCAAAGAATACAGTCTGATGAAGGTAATGAATATGATAGAATTAGAAAAATCAACCTTTTGCCCTGTGTGGTAGATATACCTCTAAACATGTTCCTCAAAAATTTCCATTTCCTGCTTACTCAATCAAACACGAGCCTAAGTACAGCTGTGAAGGGACTTGGAATATATAATTAAGGTTACCAGATAGCTGACCTTAAGATACGGATATTATCCTATGTCTTAGCCCATTTTGTTTTGCTATAACAGAATTCCAGAGACTAGGTAATTTATAAAGAAAAGTTGTTTATTCGGCTGATAATTCTGGAGGCTGGGAAGTGCAAGAAGCATAACACTGGCATCTGCTCAACTTCTGGTGAGGGCCTCATGCTGCATCATAAAGGGAGAGAGAAGCAGACATTCCAAAAGTGTAAAACACAAGAGACAACCTCACTTTGTAACAACCTGCTTGCTAGAGAACTAGCCCATTCCCACAAGAACTAATCCAGTCCTGAGAAATAACCCAGTCTTGAGACAAAGACATTAATCTACCTTAAGGACCTAATCACCTCTTAAAGGCACCACTTCCCAATACTATTTCATTGGCAATTAAATGTAAATGTGACTTTTGTCAGGGACAAATTACATCCAAACCATAGCACTCCATTTGTGTCTCCCCAAAACTCATGTCCTTCTTACATGCAAAATACATTCATTTTGGCCAGGCACAGCGGCTCATGCCTGTCATCCCAGCACTGTGGGAGGCCGAGATGGGCAGATCACTTGAAGTCAGGAGTTTGAGACCAGCCTGGCCAACATGGTGAAACCCCGTCTCTGCAAAAAATACAAAAATTAGCCAGGCATGGTGGCAGGTGTCTGTAATCCCAGCTACTCGGGAGGCTGAGGCAGGAGAATTGCTTGAACTAGGGTGGAGGAGGTTGCTGTGAGCTGAGATCACACCACTGTACTACAACCTTGGTGACAGAGCGAGACTCCATCTCAAAACAAACAAAATCACATATATATATATATTCATTTCATCACAAAGGTCCCCTAAATCTTAACTCATTCCAGCACCAATTCATAAGTCCAAATTCCAAAGTCTCATGTGAGACTCAAGGCACACTCCTTCTGGTTGTGAGCCTGTAAAATAAGAAACAAGTTATCTGCTTCCAAAATACAATGGCAGAACAGGCATGGGGTAAACTGTATTAGTATATTCTCACACTGTTATAAAGAAACACCCAAGATTGGGTAATTTGTAAAGGAAGGAGGTTTAATTGACTCACAGTTCCACATGTTTGGGGAGGCCTCAGGAAAGTTACAGTCATGGCAGAAGGGGAAGCAGGCATGTCTTACATGGTGGCAGGCAGAAGAGAAGAAGTGAGCAAGAGAGGAACTACCAAAACACTTCTAAAACCATCAGATTTCATGAGAACTCACTCACTATCATGAGAACAGCATGGAGGGAACCACCCCCATGATACAGTCACCTCCCATCAGTTCTCTACCTCAACACTTGGGGATTACAATTCAAGATGAGATTTGGGTAGGGACACAAAGCCTAACCTTTATCATAAATGTTCCTTCCAAAAGGGAGGAATGTGCAGAAAGAAAGGAGTAACCACCTCAAAGCAAGTCTGAAACCTACAGGACAGGTATTAAATCTTAAAACTCCAGAATCATCTCTCACTTTATGTGCTGCCTCCAGGACACAATTGTAGGATGATTGCAAGGTGAGGGATGGGCTCTCTTGGTTTTGGGAAGTCCTGCCCCTATGACTTTGCTGGGTGGAGCGCACGTGCTTGTCTCTCAGTTTGGGGTTGTGTGCTTGAGCCTGTGGCTTTCTCAGGCTGGCGTTTGATGTAGTTTGAATATATGTCCCCAACAAATCTCATGTTGTCTTGTAATCCCCAGTATTGGAGTTGGGGCCTGATGGGAAGCGATTGGATCATGGGGGTGGATTTCTCCTGAATGGTTTAGCACCATTCCCGTGGTGTCTATTTTGCAATAGTAAGCTGTCACAAGATCTGCTTGTTTAAACGTGTTTGGCACCCCTCCTCATCTGTCTCTGGCTCTGGCTCTTGCCATGTGAGACACCTGATTCCTCTTTGCCTTTTGCCATGATTGTAAGATTGCTGAGGCCTCCCCAGTAGTCGAGTAGATGACAGCACCATGTTTCCTTTAAAGCCTGAAGAACCATGAGCCAATTAAATCTCTTTTCTTTATAAACTTTAAGCAGTGCAAAAACAGCCTAACACAGAGTTACATGTTGATGGTCACTCTACAGTTCTGGGGTCTTGAAGGTGGCAGCTTTGTACCTGTCACTCCACTATGCATTCTTTTAGGGATTCTCTGTTGGGGCTCCATTCCTGCATTAGGATTCTGCCTGGGCTCCCAGGCAGTTTGCTGCATCCTTTAATATCTAGGAAGAAGCTAACATAATCCTCCAGCCTGCACACCTCTGCACATCTGCAGAGACAGCACCATGCTGACACCATCAGAGCTTATGGTTTGAGAGCAGCAGCACAAGTGGCATCTTGGTTCACTTGAGCCATGGCATTGTGCCACAAAGGTTTATGGCTTGTACTTTTTGGAGCAGCAAGTCAAGCCACACATGGGCTGATTGAGTAATGGCTGGAATGGGTGAGGAGAGCTGCACTGGAATTCAGGAAGCAGACATTTGGAGAGCAGACACTTAAAGGGTGGCCTAGAAGATCTCTGCAATGCTTTTAGTGCCTTTTAGTCATTGCTTTGATGGTTAGTACCTGACTTCTGTTTATCCATATTAATTCTTTTAGCAAATGGCCTGTGAGCTACACCCTTGGTTTCCTCTCCTGAACATGCTATTTCATTCTCTACTACTAATCCTTGCTGGGAATTTTCCAATTATTTTTGCTCTGCTTCCTTTCTCTAGCATCTCGCTGTAAGAAGTTACTTCTAACTGCTTTGCTGCCTAGACATTTCTTCAACCATATATGCTATTCCAGTGCCCTAAGTTTGGCCCTCTATTAAGTCCTAGGGCATGGCTACAGTATAGCCAGGTTGTTTGTTACTATATAACAAGCATGACCATTACTTCAGTTCTTAGTAAGATATTCTTTGTTTCCATTTGAGACCTCATCAAAATGGCCTTTATTGTCCATATGTCTATCAGCATTCTGGTTATGACCACTTAAGGTATTCCTTAGTTCTTTTCATCTTCTGAGCGCTCACCAGAATTGTCCTTAGTGCTCCATTCACAGCAATAGAGGTTTTTTTCTAGCTTACTCCTTCAGATTCTTCCAGCCACTACCCATTACTCAGTTCCAAAGCTGCTTCCATATTTTCAGGTATAGAAACACCTCACTACCCAGTACCAGTTTTCTATCTTAGTCTGTTTTGTGTTGCTATGACAGAATGCCTGAGACTGGATAATTGATGAAGAAAATAGATTTATTTGGCTCACAATTCTGGAGACTGGGAGGTTAAAGAAGCATGCAGCCATTGTCTGTTTGGCTTCTGTTGAGGGCCTTGTACTGCATCATAACATGGTGGAGGAGTGGAAAAGGAAACAGGTGTTCCAAAAGGGCAAAATATGAGAGGCAACCTCGTTTTATATCAAGCCATTCTCTTCAGAATTAATCAGTTCCTTCAAGAACTAATCAATTTGCTCAAAAACTAAGCCATTGTTGCAAGAAAGACATTAATCTAAACTTAAGGACCTAATCTCCTCTTAAAGGCTCCACCTCCCAATACTGTTACATTGGCAATTAAATTTCAACATGAGTTTTGATGGAGACAAATTACAACCAAACCATAGCATGCTGGATTATCCAGGTAGACCCAGCGCATCACTTAAGCTATTAAAAGCAGAAGAGGAAGGCAGAAGAGTCTGTTATGGAGTTGTAGCAGCAGAAGTGGAAGCCACAGAGATTCCACACATGAGAAGGATTCATTGCACTGTTGCTGGCACTGAGATATAGGGGCCCATGCCCAAGGATCAGAAAGAGGCCTCTGGAAGCTAAGGTTGTCCCCCAGATGACTCTGCAAGGAAATGTGGATCTCAGTCCTACAACTACAATAAACAGGATTTTGCCAACAACCTGAATGATCTTGGACGCAGACCCCAGAACTTCCTGATTTGAGCCCAGCTGACTGATACTTTGATTTTAGCCTTCTGAAACCTGTAGCAGAGAAACCAGTGGAATCAACCCAGACTTCTGATCTATAAATTGTGAGAAGCTAAATTGTGTTGCTTGTTACAACAGTAATAGACAACCAATTGATATGGTTTAGCTGTGTCCCCACCCAAATCTCGAGTTGTGTAGCTCCCGTTATTCCCATGTGTCATCAGAGGGACCCGGTGAGAGGTAAATGAATCATGAGGGCAAGTTTTTCTTGTGCTGTTCTCAAGATAGTGAGGATCTGATGGTTTTATAAAGAGGAGTTTCCCTGCACAAACTCTCTCTCTCTTGTCTGCTGCCACGTAAGACACCCCTTGCTCTTCCGCCATGATTGTGAGGCCTCCCCCGCCATGTGGAACTGTGAGTCAATTAAACCTCTTTCCTTTATAAAGTATCCAGTCTTGGGTATGTCTTTAAGAGTGAAAACAGATTAATACGCCATTATACAGCTCTTCACTGAAATAATTGATTCAGATTAGGATCACTAATGGACACTAATTCCTTTAGGTGAAAGGATATGAAGGAATAGAATATTTGCACAGTACCAAAATATCACCTCAAGGTTTATTGGAATTGTGTAGGGAAGAATATACCTTACAACAGAGATTTAGCTGTTACAACTTTACCTAAGTGAACAAAGTTAGGATCACTGATAATACAGCAGCCTGACATTGTGTGTTTTCTGATGTGATGCAACTTGAAGCACATAGCATTAACTGTGAATCTTCTTTTATAAGTTGAATCTGACTGTATTCAGACCTTTAGGTACATTTTCCAATTTTAATGAAATACAGGGGATAGATGAAAAGTTAAATAACATCACAAGGACACAATTAGACAAATCTAGAACACAGGACATACGAAAAGATAATTGGCCTGGTCTCTTCAAAACATAAATGTCATTAAAAATGTTAAGATGAATGTGTTGGAAATCAGGGAGACTGTTACACATGAAAATGATTAAGGAGATATGAAGACCAAATGCAGGCCAGATGCAGTGGCTCACACCTGTAATCTAGGCACCTTGGGAGGCTGAGGCGGGTGAATCACTTGAGGTCAGGAGTTTGAGACCAGCTTGGCCAGCATGGCAAAACCCCATCCCTACTAAAAATACAAAAATTAGCTGGACATGGTGGCATGCTCCCATAATCCTAGCTACTCGGAATGATGAGGTGGGAAAATCGCTTGATTCTGGGAGGCGGATATTGCTTCACTGCACTGCAGCCTGGGTGACAGACCAAGACTCTATCTCAAACAAAACAAAATAAAACAAAACACTCCCTCCCCCCGCCACCCAAATGCAGTGTGTGAACCTTGCTGTGATTTTGGTTTAAAAACTAATAAAAATACCTATACTTTTAGGGGCAATTGGGAAAGAATTAAGTTTCTTAAGGGAGATAACGGTATTATGGTTATGTAGAGAAATGTTCTTATTCTTAGGAGATACATGTAAACTATTTAGGGAGAAAGTCATGATGCCTGAAAGTTATTTCTAAATGCTTCTTTAAAAACAGAGAAAAAAACCCCACAGAAATAGAAAGAAGCATTTTTGGCAAAAATGTTAACAGTTGTTCATTCAAAGTGGTTGGTGTAAAGGTGGTTTTTGTACTATTTTTCAACGTTTTTATATGTTTGAACATTTTCAAAATTAAATATTAAGAGAAAAGGAGAATAAAGTTTTAGGAAGCTTGAAGGAGGTTCTTGTATGTGAGTGAGGATAGTTTACTGGCAGGCTTCATTTTAGTGTTCTTGGGTAATTCTGTTTTATTTTGGTCCCTTTCAATACTAGACTTTGGAATACTTTTTTTCTGGGGTAACAACATCCATTCTAGCACTTGAATTGTCTCTAAATAGTTTATTCCATTTTTAAAAGAGGTATGTCAGTTAATATTTTGCCTGGAGCATACATACCAGGGCTGCTGGCTGTATTGCATTTGGGATCATGGAGGGAATGAAACAGGTGGATGAGTGTTGTGAGAGACAGTCCTCCATGATTTTCTCATGCTCCCACATGTCTTACTGGATTTGCCAAGAATGAAAGGCCCTGACTGCTTTTTACCTGGGCCATTTCTCAGGGTTGTGTTTGTAGAGAGCAATCTTGAGAGATGAGATAATGTCTATCTGGGACAAAGAACAGGCTTGCTTACAGCTTGCAATAAAATAAGAGGCTCTTGTGAGTGGAAAAACCTCAAACTGTTTTTTCTTTGCTTTTACAACACAACAACAATCGACACAGAAGACTTCTTTGACCACATGTGTGGGTGTTTCTTTCTATACACCAAGCAAGCAATCAGTTTTGCAAATGGACACCAGCTGGGGGGTCCTCTAATTCAATTCACTTCTGATGCTATCTACCTGGAGATAGCCTCTGAAACCACAGATTGAGGGCTCAGTCCCACAAGATCACCCCTTCCTTCCCACTAGTCTCAAGTCCAGGCTCTGGGACATCTGACCAACCCCAAGTTTCAGGTCCCATGAACCCCCTCGTTGGGTTTAATTTGCTAGAGTGGCTCACGGAATTCAGGGAAACATGTTTGCCTGTTTATTACAAAGGATATTTTAAAGGATAAAAATAAACAGCCAGATTAAGAAATAGAAGTGTCCTAGCTTCCTAACCACTGGAGCTTCTGTCCCTGTGTACCGCCCTACTGGCTGGGGGTACATTAATGAATTCTTGTTCCCCTTCCTGTCAGCGTCTGTGTGTTTAACTATTCAGAAGCTCTCCAGACCCAGTCCTTCCTTATTTAACTATTCAGAAGTTCTCCAGACCCAGTCCTTCCTTTTGGGGTTTTATGGAAGCCTTATTACCTAGGCTTGACTGATTAAACCATTGTCCATTGATGATCAACTTATCCTTCAGCCCCTCTCTCCTCCTTGGAGGTGAGGGTGGGGAATGAAAGTCCTAACCTTCTAATCATGCCTTTGTCTTTCTGGTGACTGGCCCCCATTACCTAAGGGCTTCCTGCCAGCAGTCATCTCATTAGCATACAAAAAGACATCAGGTAGGAATTTCTGAGGATTTTAGGAGTTGTATACCATGGTTGAAGACCAAATATATAGTTCACAATATCACAGCTCCCAAGCTTGGCATTCTTCAACTTCGACCTCTACCACTACACACCATCTAGCTAGACTCTTATCTTATTACCCCCAAGGATGTTGGGTTTCAAGGAACCAGTGCAAATAAGCTGATGCTGTGCTGTGGTGAATAAAGTCCTTTGACCCAGGAGTCTTATGTCTACTGCCAGCATCCTTGAAACAGTAACAGGCTAACTGATTAGCTTGTAAGTAGAGTAAAAATCTCAAACCCTTCGGTGATGATTGAGACTTCAGTAGATAGATCTTCAGGAATCCTCTTTTGTCTGACTTTTCACTTCTGCTCTTCACTAGACCTGCATTTTCAGAGTCTGAAGCTGCTAGGGTTTGGCTGGGCTATTGATAACAACATGTGGCAGACAAATCCTAGGCAGATGGGGCGGGTCCAACCTTCAAGCCAAAGACAGTTTAAACCCAACCTTCAAGCCAAAGACAGTTTAAAGCCTGAAAGCCAAGCTACAGGTCAAATCCAGGGACCAGATTGAGAACTTGTCTTCCCATTTGGCGTACTTTACTCTGATTGATCCCCACCCTTCACCTATTTTACATATACCTACTCTTCCCTAATTGGTTCTTTACACTGTTGTGCCCACCTTTGAGTGGTACTTTTGTTTTAACCTTTTTTGCATACTCACAAACCAAACCAATCAGCACACATTCCCCCATTCTGAGCCCGAAAAGCCCTGGACTCAGCCACACTGGGAGAAAAATCATCCTCATGTCCTTTCTCCACTGAGAACTGTTTCTTCACCCAATGAAATTCTTCTTTGCCCTCATCGCCCTTCAATTGTCAGCATGCCCTCCTTCTTCTTGGACACAGGACAAGAACTCAAGACCCACCGAATGTGGGTACACCAAAGGATATAACAGTTGTGGCCCACTGCCCTATGCCAGCAGAGGGCAGCCACCCCATACGACGGGAAGCAGCAGGGCCAAGCCAGCCCTGGAGCTGCAGGGTAGAGTGAGGCTAGGGGCTGACAGGGCTGTTAATTTACTGCTGTTCATCAGGCTGCAGACGGTAGGACTGAAAAAGCTAATTAGCATGCTGTAACATCCTCTCTGGAGCTTTAGCATTGTGGTCACCCCTGCCTGGACACCACTGCATTCCCCTTATCTGGACACCAGAGTCCACTGCAGGACTAGCTTGCAACACACCTGGTCTAGCTGCAGGCCCCACATGGAGCCCGCTTCTTTGCTGGCCCTTGCCTGGAATAGCCAGCTGGACCTTGCACTTGCTCACTCACATGGCCAAGGTCCGCTGCAGGATCCATGCCAGAGTGCAGGCTGGGTGTGGCCCTGTGGTCTGATCGGACAGAGCATCTTCTGTGGTGTACCTGGGCCCAAGCAAGGCCTCGGCAGGGGCGTCACTGGCCAGAGGTCTCTGGCTGGCAAAGTGACTGAGAAAAATCCCATATCATTATTAACCTGCTTTCCTTGTTTAAATGGACAGTACTAACATTCATTCAGTTATTTAAAGCAGAAACTTCATATTCTTTTCACTATTTATATTTAACTGGTGAACAGGTCTTTTCATTTTACATTCTTAGCATCACATTTTTCTCCATCTTCACTGCTATTGGTTTCGCTTAGGTCTTTAGTCTCTTAACTAGATTACTGTAATTCCTTACTGTTATTGGACTGGGTATCCCCATCTCTGACGCCATTCATATGTTGAAGCCTTAACCTCCAATGCTATTGTATTTTGAGGTAGAGCTTTTAGGAGCTAAAGGTTAAATGAAGTTAAAAGGGTCGGGTACTAATATGATAGGATTGGTGGCCTTACAAGAAGGAGAAGAGAGAGGTGTCTATATGTGTGCATACACTGAAGTAATGTCACATGAGGACATAGTGAGAAGGCAGCCATCCATTAGCCAGGAAGAGAGCCCTCCTCAGGAACCAAATTGGCTAGCACCTTGATCTTGGACTTCTGAGCATCCAGAACTGTGAGAAATAAATGTCTGTTATTTAAGCTACCCTGTGTACCTGGTATTTTGTTATGGCAGACCAAGATGACTTAAGAAACTTAATTCCAATGTAGTCCATCTATGCCTGCTTTGCTCCCACCATTTTTATCTTTCTGAACCTTAACACTGCTATCAGAAGTATGTTTTAAAGTTGCATCTTTGGTCAGGTTGGTATGTTTTTAGAGCCATTATGTGTTTCTCTGCAAAGTGAAATTCAAACTCCTGCCTTGTCATATCAGACCTTTCATGAGTTGGCCCTTTTATATTTCTCCAGCTTCATCTCTTGCCTCCCTCTTGTCCCAGTCCCTTTTCACCCTGTGCATGAGCTATATAAACCTACTTGCGTTTTTTAGTTTATCATGCTGTTTTATATCTCTGGGCCTCTACTCAGGCAGAGAGCATTTGGTGCCAAGGATGCTGCTTCACCACCTCCCTCCCATCTGCTTGCAGAATATTTATTCATCTTTCAAGCTTAGATCAACCTCTAAGAAAGCTTTCTCTTATCCACATAGGCTAGAATGACCTCTCTCTCCTTTGTGTCTTGTGTGCTTTTAAAATAATTCTTTTATTCTTTTGTAGCATGTATAACACATTATTTCCCTTAGTGTTTAATATATCGTTCTACCTTTACTAGGTGTGTGGTGGTGGGGTGGCGGGCTGGGGAGGGAGTTCATCATACTAAGGCTAGATGGATAGTTAGGGTTCTCCAGAGTAACAGAACCAGCAGGATGAATATGTATATATGTTTATATAAACACATATACACACATTCATAAAGACATGTATTTTAAGGAATTGGCTCATGTGATTATGGAGGCCAGCGAATCCAAAATCTGATGGGGGAGGCCAGCAGGCTGGAGACTCAGGAATGAGTTGCAGTTTGAGTCCAAAGGCAGTCTGCTGGCAGAATTCCCTCTTGCTTGGGTGAGGTCAGCCTTTATTTTGCTAAGGCCTTTAACTGATTAAATGAGGTTCACCCAATCTGCTTGACTCAAAAAAACACCAATTTAAATGTGACTCTCATCTAAAAACATCCTCACAGAAACATCCAAAATAGTGTTTGACCAAATATCTGTACAATGTGGCCCATCTAAATTGACATAAAATTAACCATCACATATAATGATCATACCTAGATGTGATTTAGTCTGAGTATGCCATAAGACCTCACAAGTCTTTCTCAGGCTCTACGTGAAGTCATTTCCTGTGGGGATTCAAGCTCACCAGTTAATGCCTACTGCTTTATTCCCACCAGAAACCCACCATTTCTTTCTATCTTGTCTTATAGCTTTCTACCCACAAACAAGGTTGATATGTATTTCAGCACACTATGGCACGACAGGCATGTAGAAGCTCTATTTTGTCCATCGTAACCAGGAACCTTTCTAAGCTTTTAGTCATTGAGGCTTACAGTTACACAGTGATCAGTCCTCTGGGAGTTGTATACTGCATAATTTGATAGCCCAGCCAGGAGCAGTTTCTGGAAATTCTTCCCAAATGATATCCTTTGTAGTAGATGTAACCTGAAAAATAAAAAAATAATACTGGTACGTTACTGGAGTTCCATTCAGTCATCAGCAGTTGGTTTTATTCATCATTGTAGTGAATGAACAAAATGTCTCCAAATTGATGCCACTCAGATTTGCAGGTTACTATTAGACCACATCAGGTTCCAAAGCAGAGGTGGTGTTGGCAAACATGACTTCACCCCTTCAGGCATCTGGTGTAATTATTTGAATACACAATATTGTTCTCTTTTTCTGAACCTTCATCAAGGCACCAGTGTAATGTTGGATTTCCCTCATTGAGTACCTGTTCATTCATTCATATACCTTCAGCTATTATTTCTTCTTCCCATTTATCATTGATTTTAAGTCAAACCATTCTATCCTTGGAAGGGATATTGGGCTCATCTATGGTGCTGATAGTGATATGGGTCTGCCAAGTGCTCCCCCTTCAGTACGTTCCCATTCATATAGGGTAAGATTACACAGATATAGAACTTGTGGGCTATCTTGGCCACTGGACATTATAGCTGCATACAATGGTTGACTGCAATTTTGTCAGATTGGGTGAAAGCAGAATTCATCCTATCAGGCCCTTAGATATTCTGGCATAAAGATTTAAAGGTATAATCAGTTTCTTGGTTAAGGATTATCTCTGCTTCCAGCACTCACAGTTCAAGTCCTAGTTCTGGAATTACTTTATTGGGTAGGAAATGAGTGTTGAGGTGATGTGGGGAAGAATTGTATGGTCATACTTGTATCCTCCTTAACGTCATCATCCTCAAATCCCTCACAAAAGCAGAAGAATCCTAACTCATGGGGCATGACCTTCCCATGGTCTGATTTGTGTTGACTGAGTGTACACT
Source organism: Homo sapiens (assembly GCF_000001405.40). NCBI lineage: Eukaryota > Metazoa > Chordata > Mammalia > Primates > Hominidae > Homo > Homo sapiens. The sequence goes on along the minus strand of NC_000005.10, from coordinate 94,022,846 downwards.
TGTGAAGGCCTACAAGCCAGTGCTTCTTGCCTTTATTTTCTCCTACTTTTGATAACAAGTATTTCAATTGCCCACTGCAGTTCTCTGATTTCTACTTTCAATTTCCTGTTCCATCCTATTTTGAGGATAAGCAAATTGATGTGTCAACTTCATGAGTTCTCTCTTTGCCCATATTTGGACAGTATGTACAAATATAACAGGTATAACTGAACAAATGTAACTCAACTTTCCAAATTAGTATAGTATTATTTGCTCCAAACCTTTTATTGTGTTTTGAGTATTGGTGTCTATTACCAGGTATGCAAAGCCCAGTCCAGAGTAAATGTCTTTTCCTGTCACACCCATGACAGCCTCCTAGGGCTACAGGCAGTGGTCCAACGTAGTTTGTTTTCCAGCTATGTGCAGAGCCTTTACCCTAGGGAATCTGTCTCATCATTGTATGCAGTCTTTCTGACTGGTAGATTGGACTGTTCATGTTGCCATTTTGTGCCTCAGAGAATACAAGAGGAATATGCTGATTATCAGCCACCATCTGTGTCCATACACTTTATGAACCCAAGTGGCTAACTGGAGTGAGCACCCTAAGGTATTCACTTGTTGGTTTCAATCATCCTTTGATTCTGGAAGATAATAATAATAATTGTTATTATTATTTGGGACAGAGTCTTGCTGTTGCTCAAGCTGGAGTGCAGTGGCACGATCTTGGCTCACTGCAACCTCCGCCTGTTGGTTTTAATCATCCTTTGATTCTGGAAGATAATTATTGTTATTATTATTTGCGACAGAGTTTTGCTGTTGTCCAGGCTGGAGTACAGTGGCACGATCTTGGCTCACCGTAACCTCCGCCTCCCAAGTTCAAGCGATTCTCCTGCCTCAGCCTCCCTAGTAGCTGGGACTACAGGTGCATGCCACTACTCTCAACTAATGTTTTTGTATTTTTAGTAGAGATGGGGTTTTCCCATGCTGGCCAGGCTGGTCCTGAACTGACCTCGGGTGATCCACCTGTCTCAGCCTCCGAAGGTACTGAGATTACAGGCATGAGCCACTGCGCCTGGCCTGGAAGAGAATTATTTTGATGTGTATCAACATGTCCTACTTTAATGAGTTCCTTAAGTTTCTGTAGAACCATACCTTATACTCATGGGTAGCACTCATGGACTGCAAACTCCAGTCTCCATTTCTTCATTACTTCAGTAGTCCAGTTTCTTATTGTCCATCTGTTTGACCGTATAACCAAGCTGTTCACTCCCACCTCTGAGTCAGAATACACACAAACTTCAGAGCTCTTGCTGTTGTCTATGTCTTCTGTTACTGCACGGATAACAGCATGCAGTTGAGCTCAGTGAACTGATTTATTCTTACCTTCTTTGATCAGAGTTTTTTTTCCATCAGTTAGTCACAGTATGGCAGCTTTCCAAACAGGATGCTGTCCATCACCTTGGAACTGCCATCTGTAAATAAAGTGGCTTTTTGTTTGCCAACTAGGGCCTGGTAGAAGGGCACACATATGTGGCAGTAGGATCTAGTAATTCTCCAGATGCCTCCAGAATCAGTCATAAGTTAAGGGAGGCTATCTGCTTGTGAATATGATGAGTATTTCCTTGCTTTTCTCTTTTCCTGTATAAACCATTTCCATTTTATTATGAAAATTCTCAGTACTGCCTTCCTTGTTAGAATGAATGTTTCTCTGAGATAACCCAAAATGTTATATGTATTGCAGCTTTCAAGATTTTTTTTTTAGTCGTGGAGGCAGTTTGAATTAGTGACCAATAACAAGCCAGTGTTTTATCTTATTTTATTTATTTATTACACTGTAAGTTCTGGGATACATGTACAGAACATGCAGGTTTATTACATAGGGATACACGTGCCATGGTGGTTTGCTGCACCCATCAACTCATCATCAGTGTTTTTCAAACAGGATGCACTATGTTGCTACATCTGGAAATTTCCTTGTCTAAAATCCCAGCAGTCAATGCTGGATGGCAATCATGGGCTTTTTCCTTAAGTTTTAGTCCGTAGACACTTCCAAAATCTTATCTAAATGTGGATCATAAGAGCCCAAAGGTATTGATTGTATTACTCTGGCTTTTTGTAGTTCAGACATAGCCTGTTGTGGTTCAGGCCTCTATTTAAATATGACCTTCTTTCACATAGCTTTATGGATAGGAGTTAGCAATATTATCAGATCTACAATATGTACCCTCTCTAATCACAACCATCCAACCAAGTGTTATGTTTCTTGTTTAGTTTCTAGAGTAGGAAGGCACAACCATTTATCCTTAGTAGCCTGTTTGGTAGCATCAGTGACTCCTACCCAGGCAATCACCTAGACTTACCATTTGGGCAGGCCCTTGGATCTTTGCTTGGTTTACCAACCACCACTGTTAGTCATGTATGTCACCATTGTTTTTTTATTATTATTATACTTTAAGTTCTGGCATACATGTGCAGAACGTGCAGGTTTGTTACATAGGTATACATGTGCCATGGTGGTTTGCTGCACGCATCAACCTGTCATCTGCATTAGTTATTTCTCCTAATGCTGTCCCTCCCCAGCCCCCTACCCACCAACAGGCCCCAGTGTGTGATGTTACCCCCCCCGCCCCGTGTCCATGTGTTTTCATTGTTCAACTCCCAAACTCCCACTTATGAGTGAGAACATGTGGTGTTTGGTTTTCTGTTCCTGTGTTAGTTTGTTGAGAATGATGGTTTCCAGCTTCATCCATGTCCCTGCAAAGGACATGAACTCATCCTTTTTTATGGCTACATAGCATTACGTGGTGTACATGTGCCGCATTTCTTTATCCTGTCTATCATTGATGGACATTTGAGTTGGTTCCAAGTCTTTGCTATTGTGAACAGTGCTGCAATAAACATACGCTGAAGGTATGTGAATGAATGAACAGGTACTCAGTGAGGGAAATCCAACATTACACTGGTGCCTTGATGAAGGTTCAGAAAAAGAGAACAATACTGTGTATTCAAATAATTACACCAGATGCCTGGAGGGGTGAAGTCATGTCCTTTATAGTAGAATGATTTATAATCCTTTTGGGTATATACCCAGTAATGGGATTGCTGGGTCAAATGGTATTTCTGGTTCTAGATCCTTGAGGAATTGCCACACTGTCTTCCACAATGGTTGAACTAGTTTACACTCCCACCAAAAGTGTAAAAGCATTCCTGTTTCTCCACATCCTCTCCAGGATCTGTTGTTTCTTGACTTTTTAATGATTGCCATTCTAACTGGTGTGAGATGGTATCTCATTTGATTTGCATTTCTCTAGTGACCAGTGATGATGAGCTTTTTTCCATATGTTTGTTGGCTGCATGAATGTCTTCTTTTGAGAAATGTCTGTTCATATCCTTTGCCCACTTTTTGATGGGGTTGTTTTTTTTCTTGTAAGTTTAAGTTCTTTGTAGATTCTGGATATTAGCTCTTTGTCAGATGGATAGATTGCAAAAATTTTTTCCCATTCTATAGGTTGCAGTTTCTATTGCTGTGCAGAAACTCTTTAGTTTAATTAGATCCCATTTGTCAATTTTGGCTTTTGTTGCCATTGCTTTTGGTGTTTTAGTCATGAAGTCTTTGCCCATGCCTATGTCCTGAATGGTATTGCCTAGGTTTTCTTCTAGGGTTTTTATGGTTTTAGGTCTTACATTTAAATCTTTAATCCATCATGAGTTAATTTTTGTATAAGGTTTAAGGAAGGGGTCCATTTTCAGTTTTCTGCATATGCTCGTCAGTTTTCCCAACACCATGTATTAAATATGGAATCATTTCCCCATTGCTTGTTTTTGTCAGGTTTGTCAAAGATCAGATGGTTGTAGATGTGTGATGTTATTTCTGAGATCTCTGTTCTGTTCCATTGGTGTAAATATCTGTTTTGGTACCAGTACCATGCTGTTTTGGTTACTGTAGCTTTGTAGTATAGTTTGAAGTCAGGTAGCGTGATGTCACCAGCTTTGTTCTTTTTGCTTAGGATTGTCTTGGCTATATGGGTTGTTTTTTCGTTCCATATGAAATTTAAAGTAGTTTTTTCTAATTCTGTGATGAATGTCAATTCATCACAGAATTAGAAAATGGGGATAGCACTGAATCTATATACTACTCCCATTCACAGTTGCTACAAAGAGAATAAAATACCTAGGAATACAACTTACAAGGGATGTGAAGGACCTCTTCAAGGAGAACTACAAACCGCTGCTCAAGGAAATGAGAGAGGACACAAACAGATGGAAAAACATTTCATGCTCATGGATAGAAAGAATCAATATCATGAAAATGGCCATACTGCCCAAAGTATGTTACCATTGTTTTTAAATCAGTCTTGGCTTGCTCTTCAGTTTTTGGTAGTATAATAACACAGTATATTATCATAGTGGAGACCTACACCAAGTCCAGATCTCTCCCAACCAAATTATGATAGTAAGCTAGTGAATTCAGATAATCCTTTGGCAACACAGCAAATGTAAGTTGTGATCCTTCCCAGATGAAGGGAAATAGTGGCTGACTTTTCTGATAAATATCAAGAAAAAGGCATTTGTAAGATCAGTCACTGAGTATTGGTCTTCTTTAGATTGTTATAGTCTTTGTACAGCTGATGTCTCATCAGGGGACTGCTGCTGCTATAGGCAGCACCACTTTATTGAGACTTCAGTCATTTACTGTTAGTTTCCATCTATATTGGTTCATTTTTACACCACTGATAAAGACATACCCGAGACTGGGAATGAAAATATGTTTAATTGGACTTACAGTTTCATATGGCTGGGCAGGCCTCAGAATCATGGTGGTAGGAGGAAGGCATTTTTTACATGGTGGCAGCAAGAGAACAATGAGGAAGAAGCAAAAGCGGAAACCTCTGATAAACCCATCAGATCTCGTGAGACTTATTCACTATCACAAGAATAGCATGGAAAAGAACGGCCTCCATGATTCAGTTACCTCCCCCTGGGTCCCTCCCACAGCATGTGGGAATTCTGGGACATACAGTTCAAGTTGAGATTTGGTTGGGGACACAGCCAAACCATATCACCATGAGTCATCCACTTCCAGGCTACACAGGACTAGTCCTGTAATAGTGGGACTACTGTACAGAGAATTTGTCATATCAGCACTACAGCTTCTAATATGTCACTGATTTAACCTACAGTCTCTTTTTATCCATCAGGTATTCTCTGTTGTTTCAGAGTAACAACCTTTATAGGCTGGAGTCTATTTAGCATATACTCTTTTAGCATATCTGGTTACTACTGGCTGAAGGGCAAACTTATGTGTTTCTTGTTTTACAGTACTAGGTATGGGAAGCATTCCCCATCAGATACCATATCCATTCCAGTAATAAATTCAGGTAAAGGATACTTCACATAACATCTGTTCATACATTCTAATTCTTATCCAAACTTTTATCTTAATTCCATCACCCATAACATTCCCATATCTTTCCAAACTGAGTTTTATAAAAATGTTTGGAAACACAGCACATTGGGCTCCTGTATTAAGGAATCTCAGAAATTTTCTTCCTACCTTTCTTTCAAACTGATGAAAGACAAACAACTACTATCTAAGCATACTGTATCCAGCCAAGCTATCCTTCAAATATGAAGGAACAGTAAAGTCTTTCTGGCACCTTACACATGCATATTGCTTTCAGTAGCCAGCCAAGATTAGACAAATTGACTCCGGCCATTCCATTCAATCTTTGTCCTGGTTCATCTGTCCTATCATTACCTCCAGTGAAGTGAGGACATACTCTTCAATATGATCTTGCCCTCTGGCTTCTCATATTCTTCCAAAGTGGGGTAAATAATTAGGTTTGTTTAAGGCCCTTCAGTGCTAGGGAACTGGCAGAAACTCTGATTGGTCTTCTACCGTTCAATAATGCTGCATTAAAATTTTATGTTCACCCCATCAAGTCCTTGATCCCTCTCATTTCTTAGTAACCACTTAAAAACTTCAACCCTACTTAGACAAGTCCTTTTGCCATCTTCTTGCCTCCCAACCCCCAATCCCTACCTGACTTGTGAATTATTTTAATTTTCTTAGCATCTGTAAAACCCATAAGGAGAAGCTGAGACAGCATATCTGATATGGCTTCTAGAACCATTTCTTGATTTTGTAATAGTAAGGTTATTTTAAGGAGGGAGGGCATATAAAAAGAGCTCCCTTAATTGCATTTCTCATCATCTGCATAAAGGGCTTGTTGTAAACATTTTGGGTATTATAAAGCCAATCCAGCATGGCTGGCTTACACCATGTAACATATTAGCTGCTTCATCTGGTCTATTCCACTTAGTATACAAAGGAGGGACAAGACAAAAAAACTTTATGATAGCCTTTAAGAAGTCTATGAGACTAAACACCCATCACGATGAGTTTACTGCATGTTTACATTATTTATATCCATTTGTGACTGTCATTGGTAAATTGTGGTTCCTAAATTAACCCAAACATGTTTCTCTATTCTACAGTATTCAAACCCAAAGATACAGCTCCTAAGTTAGCCACTTTCATAATACTTTAGTTAAGGAAGCCAATGATACCAATCCACAAAATGAGATACTTTCTTAACACTATACCCCCAGGTGTGTGTGTATGTGTGTGTATCTCCTTTTGCTGAATTGACCCTTTTACATTACATAGTGACTTTGTTTATCTCTTTTAACAGTCATTGATTTGTAGTCTATTTTATCTGATGTAAGTACAACTACTTCTGCTCTTTTTTGCTTTACAGTTGCATGGAATATCTTTTTCCACCCTTCACTTTCAGTCTGTGTGTCTTTATAGGTGACATGGGTTTGTTGTAGACAGTATATAATTGGGTCTTGTTTCTTACCCATTGAGCAACTGGGTGCTTTTTAATTAGAGAATTGTGTTCGTTACATTCAGTGCTGTTATTATTCACTTACTACTGCCATTTTGTTGCTTGTTTGCTGGTTGTTTTGCAAATCCTCTCTTGCTTTTTTCTTTACTTAGTGTCTTTCATTGTGATTAAGTGATTTTCCCTGGTAGTGTGTTTTAATTTGTTGCTTTTTATTTTAGTGAATATTATTGGTCTTTACATTGTGGTTATCATGAGGTTTACAAAAAAAATCTTATAGCAAATTATTTAGATCACAAAGAAAATAATAGAAATACACAAGGAAAATAAATAAACAATTCTTCATTTTAACTCCATAACCCCCAATTTTGACTTTTAATTGCCTCAATTTACATATTTTTATTTAACCTTTCTCAATAGTTTGCTGTAGCTATTACTGTTTTTGATAGATTTGACTTTTGGGCTTCATACTAGAATTATGAGTAGATTGTACACCACAATTACTGTATTAGAGTATTCTGGGTTTGTCCATGTATTTGATTTTAACTGTCGATTTTATACCTTCAAATGTTTTCTTTTTGCACATTAGTTGTTTTTTTTTTCTTTCAAATTGAAGAACTCTCTCTTGTGTTTCTTGTAAGATGAGTCTGGTGGTGGTGAATTCTTTCAGCTTTTGTTTGTCTACGAAAGACTTTATTGTTCCTTCCTATTTGAAGGATAGCTTTGCTGGGTACAGTATGCTTAGATGGTAGTTGTTTTTCTTTCATCAGTTTGAAAATGTCATCTCACTCCCTTCTGGCCTATATGGTTTCTGTTGAGAAGTCTGTTGCCAGACTTGGAGCTCTTTTACATGTTATTTACTTCTTTTCTGTTGCTGCTTTTAGGATCCTTTCCTTGTCCTCGACTTTTGACAGTTAGATTATTATATGCCTTGGGGTACTCCTATTTCGGTCAAGTCTGTTTGGTACTCTCTGGCCTTCATGTACCTGGATATTTATGTCTTTCTCATGTTTTGGAAAGTTTTCTGTTACTATTTCTTTGAGTAAACTTTCTACTCCTTGCTCTTGCCCAGCTCCCTCTTGAACACCAATAATCCTTAGATTTGGTCTTTTGAGTTAATTTTCTGTATCTCGTAGGTGGTCTTCATGCCTTTTCATTTTTCTTCCCTCCTGTGACTGTGTATTTTCAAATAGCCTGTCTTTGAGTTCTCTGATTCTTTCCTTTCATTGTTCCATTTTGCTGTTGATAGCCCCTAATGAGTTTTTCAGTTAAGCAAATGTATTTCTCCGTTCCAAGATTTTCATTTGATTTTATTATTATTATTTCAGTCTCATTAAATTTCTGTGATAAATTTCTGAATTGCTTTTTTGTGTTGTGTTGGATATCAATGAGCTGCCTTAACACTGCTACTTTGAATTCTTGGTCAGAAAGCTCATACATTACTATCTCATTAGGGTCAGACACTAGTTCCTTGATTTGTCTATTTGGGGAAAGTTATGGTTCCCTGTTTGCTGTTGTTTCTTGTGGATGCATGTCTTTGTCCTCACATTGAAGGATTAGTTAGTTATTCCAGTCTTCTCTGTTTGGCTTCTTTTGTTTTTTATTTGATATATTTGCTTAGAGATAGATTCTTTACTGCAAGGCTGCTGCCGTGTTTTTGGCTGTAGGTGGTACCTTAAGCCCATGTTTACCTCAGTTCCAGTAAATGATTGGAGTGCTGCTCATCCCAAATGGGGGAGGCCTCAAAGAGGATATCTCAGTGTGTTGGAAGGCTAGCTAATGGTTTGTGCCCAGGTGACCTGTGGAATGCACCTCCTACAGTGTGATACTGATGAACTACCACTCTTGATTCGGTGTCTCATTTGGTTAAGCCTATCATCCAGGGCTGTGGATGATAGTTCCACTTCCCCTGTTTGTCTCTACCTATCCTCAGGGATATGTCTGTCTTTTGGCACTCATGATGCTTCTTATGGGTTAAGGCAGGGGCAGGATTTTTGCCAGGGACCCCAAGATGGTGGGGATCTGGTTGTGCACTTCAATCTCACCTTTTCTAGTGTGGAAACTGTGAATTGGAGGGAAATTTCCCATGTACTAGGTGCAGGGCAGTATGTGGGGAGAGGCATCACAGAAATAGAAGTCCAATTCTCTTACTATCTACCTCTTACATCTCTGTGACCCTGGGAACTGTCTCATTCTCATGTTTGAGTTCTGGGATACTGCTGGTGATAATCTCAGTGCTGTGTATTTGTTTTTGTTTTTTTTGTAGGGGAGAGTGACACTAGCTTCTTTATATTCCAGCATCTTGGAACTGGATACCTAGTGTCTCTTTTCCCTTTTTTCCTATTTTGGCATGTACTATTATGCTGTGACCCATCTTCTGTAAATTATCTGCTCCCTTCATCTTTCATTGTATTTTCTGTATTGGCTTTTTCCCATCAGCATTTAAATATGCTCATGTGAAATCATGCCCCAAAGAGTTAAAGAAACCAGTAACTAACAGAAATTCTTGAGTTTACAGGATGGCAGATAAAGAAACAACTTACTGGCCGGGCACGATGTCTCACGCCTGTAATCCCAGCACTTTGGGAGGCTGAGGCAGGTGGATCACGAGGTCAGGGGTTCAAGACCAGCCTGGCCAAGATGGTGAAACTCCGTCTCTACTAAAATTACAAAAATTAGCTGGGCGTGGTGGCGGGCACGTGTAATCCCAGCTACTCAGGAGGCTGAGGCAGAAAATTGCTTGAACCCGGGAGGCAGAGGTTGCAGTGAGCTGAGATTGCGCCACTGCATTCCAGCCTGGGTGACAGAGCAAGACTCTGTCTCAGAAAAAAAAAAAAAAAAAAAAACAACTTACTGAAACTGTCTCTGTTCATGAGATTTAAAAACTGGTTGAAATCAGTTGGAACCAATATGACCAACTAGACTTTCTGCAAAACGAGTTTGCTTGTGTCACAGACTGAATTTTCATCACGTGTTTCATACTAACTCTCCCAGAATTTGCACATGGGACCTATGAGGAGTCATGAGGAGATAACTGCACATGCCTGAAGACTTTCCAGACCTCCCGTTTCTTTCTACCAATCACTGCTAATGCCAACATCTACCCCGTAGCCCTTTTCTAATACAAATACTACCTTAAAGCTGGCACAAGGAGACAGATTTGCGCTTGATGCTCCTGTCTCCTTGTGAGGAGATTTGCAATACAAAGCTTTTCTTTTCTCAAAAACCCATTGTTATAGTATTGGCTCCTAGCACAAGAGCCAGAATTCTGCTTGATAACAGTCTTTTCATTAAAAACAAAAAAAAGCAATAAGCATTTATTTTGCTTACAAGCCCGTGAGTTAGCAGGTTAGACTGGCTTTGGCTGGACAGTTCTGCTCTTGAGTCGCTCCCTGATGTACCTGGCAGTTGACTGAGGTTCCGCTGATTTAGCATGGCTTTGGTCAGCACAGTGCGGACAACTCAGCTCTGTTCCAGTTGTCTCATCCTCCAGCAACTTAGCCTGGGCATGTTTTCATGGCAGAGGCAGAGGTGCAAGAGTAAGAGAAGAAACACAAAATGCTCCTGTCACAATCGCTAATTTTATCCTTCCATCTTAATGTTTTGTTTGTTTGTTTTGAGATGGAGTCTCGCTCTGTCCTCCAGGCTGGAGTGCAGTGGCGCGATTTCTGCTCACTGCAAGCCCCGCCTCCCGGGTTCACGCCATTCTCCTGCCTCAGCCTCCCAAGTAGCTGGGACTACAGGCACCCACCACCACGCCTGGCTAATTTTTTGTATGTTTAGTAGAGACGGGGTTTCACCGTGTTAGCCAGGATGGTCTTGATCTCCTGACCTTGTGATCTGCCCGCCTTGGCCTCCCAAAGTGTTGGGATTACAGGCGTGAGCCACTGCGCCTGGCCCCATCTTAATGTTTTTAAGATTATTTTTCCCACTTAGCAATATTTAACATTGTGACTTTTTTCTTCTCAATATGTTATCTTAACTATGCTGTCATGTCACACTAGTCTCTGGTTTTCCCTTTACCTATCTGAACGCTCATTTTCCGTGTCCTTTGCCTCGTCTTTTTTTTTTTTTTTTTTTTTTGTCTACCCTTTAATTTGTCGGGGCTCATTTCTAGGTCTTTTTTTTTTTTTTTTAAATCACTCTGTCCAATTTCCTTTGGTAAATGAATTCACTCTCATAATTTCTAATACCATGTCTGTGCTACTTGACTCTAAATCTGTATCTACATCCTGTCTCTTTCTGCTCTGGACTAGACGTCTTCACTTGAGTATTTTATTCAGTGCCTCACATTCTACATGTGCAAAACCGAATTTATCGTTTTTCTACTCCACCCACACCAGCTACCAGGAAGTTAAGCTTGAGTTCCTTCTTTCCCTCAATCTGTAGAGCTAGCCAGTCTTTCTACATTATATTGGTTATTCCTTTAATCTTTTGTGCCCATGTTGCGTCCACTTTAGTCCAGGCTTCTTTCCTTTGCTCATTCATTCATTTAGTTATTAACATGTATTTCTTGGCTGTCTACTCTCTATCAGGCAGTATTCTAGGTACCGAGAGCACATAAGTAACAAAACATACAAACATCCCTTCCCTCACAGAGATTACATTCTTGTGGGAAAGGGAAGACAGATAATGAACAAAATAAATAAGTAAAAGACATTGTGATTAGATGGTAATAGTGCTTTGGAAAAAATTAAAGCCATTGGTGAGGATGACTTGAATAAAGGAATGAGAATATATAGAGAAAAAATCCAAGCACTAGGCCGAGGAGCACTTCATCATTAAGAAGAGGAGATGAGAAATCAGCAATGGGGACCAAAAAGCACAGTTCATTGAGACAAGAGAAGAACCATGAGACTACTGAGTCTTTAAAGCCATGTGAAGGATATCTAACAAAGGAAGGAGTAATGATGTCTTTAGATTTAGTCACATGGAGATGAGTGAAGTGCTCTATTGGAGTTCTCCTGACTCATCTCCCTTGCTCAAGTTGTGCTTTTTGCCAGTTGTTCTCTGAAACCAAAATGAGGTTCCAAAATGACAGATTTTGTTACCTTATATTTCTCAGTGACTTAGGTTCCTTGATATGGCTTACAGGCCTCAGCTGACCTGTGTAGCGTATTTTCCTCTGACACACTCTACACTCAACCCATTATGAACTTTTTTAGTTGTTTTAATTTTCCTTTTGTGCCTTTAGTTGTTTTAATTTTCCTTTTGTTTTTATGTAAAATAGAAAAACCTACCATTAAAATAATAATAATTATACTTTTTGGTGGTTCTATATTTAGTATAATAATATAACAGGAAAAAACCTTACAATTCAAAGAAAGTGAGATTGAGGTTAAGGTAAAATGTATTCTTAGATTTATATAGACTGTAAATGAGAAGGCTCCAGAGAACTTGACAGTTTAGAGATCCCTTCAAGATAACACTATAAATGATGAAAAGGAATTATTATTATTTTCCTGAAGATCTTGGGAAAGCATCAACTGCTTGAAGCTAAGGAAAGAAAAGTTTGAGCTGAAGATTCAGAAAGAAAAGTTCTCCACTTTTACAATGAGACCATATTCTGGGCCGTAATACAAGCCCCAAAAGGATTAAAGTCATAAAATGTATGTTTTCTGACTATATACAATATGCTTTCTCGGTTAGAGAGCTACCTGGAAAGTCTCCAATTTTATTGTTTAAAGCTAAGCAAAATGATTCTAAATTATCCATCATTCGAAGAGGAAATTGCAAAGAAAATTAGAAAATACTTAAAATTTACTGAAAATGAAGACGCAATATATCAAAACTTATGGTATGCAACTAAAACAATGCTTGCAGGAGAATTTGTAGCACTAAAGTTTTTTATTAAAAAAGTAGAAAGGTTTAAGATTGGTGACCTAACCTTCCACCTTAAGAAATTACATAAAGAAGAGCAAAGTAAATCCAAAGTAAGCTGAAGAAAGAAATGATGAAGGTAACAGCAGAATTCCATTAAATAGAAGAGAGCAATGCAATAAAGAAATATTAATAAAATCTTCAAAAGCCAGTTCTTCAGTGTTATCAGTAAAATTGATAAAGCCGCTAGCCAGACTAATTGGGTTAAAAAAAAAAAAAAGACCAAAGATGCAAATTGACAATTTTTAGATACGAGAGAGGGTATCACTACATATCTCATAGATATCAAACAATAGTAGAGAATTTTATGAATAACTTTATACTAATAAATTCAACAACTTGGATATAATGGACAAACAACTTGAAAAACACACACAACAAAATCTCACTCAAATAATGCTATAGATAACCCAAATAACGTTATATATTTATTTTAAAAATGCTTCAGATTTCTTTCTCAAAGCTCTAGGCCCAAATGGCTTTAGTGGTGAATTCTAAAAAGCAGTTGCAAAGATCACACTGGAGAAATTATGCTAATGTTATTGTAAATTTTAGCCCTTCCTTTAAAATGGCTGTGGTTTTAATATGAGAAAAAATAATGTATTATTTGGAAATTTTAATATTAATTCTATGTAAGGTAAGATTCATCCTTAATTTTTATTTTAGAGGGTTGGTATCAGGGTGAGATTTTTATATTTGATGAGTTCTCAGTGTTTGTTTATGCAGACTTCTTATACTGGGGAACTTTGAGTAGCAAATTCACACAAAGAAATAATGCTGATGAGGGTAAATTATTGATATATTGGTCCAGTCTTTGGAGAAAGCAGGTGGGGGCTGTTCTTTTTACAATGAATGACTGACTGTTCTGGACTATACTTGTAAATATTACCTTTTTTGTATGTAAATGCTTGTTTCTGAATAATATCCTTTATTACTATTGTAAATAATTTGAGGCCAAAGTGTTTGAATGTGAGCAGATGCATTTGCCATTATTCTCTGAAAGTCATATTTCTTGTGATTAAGGATTTATAAAAACTAACCTAATTTTGAGACATAATACATGATCCTGACATTTCTTTCCAGAAATCAAATTAGTTTATTCTCATAATGTAAGTTTTCACAGCCCTGTTAAAATGAGTTTATTCTTTGAACTTGTACAGAAACCTACATATTGCTAAAATGTTATCAAAAGACCTTTTAAAAAGTGCCAAGAAATGAATTATATATTTAGGTTTATTCTTAATACTAGCAGCAGGAAGAGCACATTGTGAGCTAAATTGGTTAATTGAAGTTGGAATCAGTACTACCTTTATACATAGATCATATACCAGAAGATAATTAAGAACTACATTAAGATAGTCTTGAGGACCAATATGCTCCAAATATTTTTGTGTGAAGAAAAGCATACAGATATATTATATAGAACATATAATCGTATGGATTTATTTAGAGTTGTTACTTGAAAGTAAAATTTCTAATTATTATTAGCCACAAATTGAAGATAGTATATATGAGTAACTTTTTTTTCTGTGATAGAAAATTTTAAAATCTCATCTGCTGAACAAATTTAGAATATAATTCATCACAGACTTTGCATAGTCTGCCTGATTTGACACTCATCGAAAGTCTTCTAACACTTGCTACTCAAAGTGTATATACTCAAAGCAGTATGCACAATACCTGGCAACTTATTAGAAATGTTCACTCTCAGGCCTCACCACAGACCTACTGAATGAGAATCTACATTTAATACTATCTCCAGATGATTGATATGCATATTAACATGTGAGAAGCATCAAAGAACTTCTTTTGGCAAAGTGTGAGCTTGTGTGGAGCTATATTGCCTGTCTTTTTAATAACATTCTTAAACATGTTAATCCTTTTTATTCCTGTTTCTCATATACTTCTACCATTTCTTCAACTAATGTGTTAGACTTCTAAAGTTAGGTTCTTTATAGCAATTACAGCCTCCCCAGTGAATAAAAGGTGGTAGAGAAATGCTTCTCTCTTTGTAGATTCTGGCCAGACTTAGCTTACAGTGAACATAAGTACTGGATCTTTGGTGTTGTGTGAATGTAGGCTTATATTTAATGTCTTTGTGTATTTTATTTTAAAAAAGAAAGTACAGATCTGTATTTTGTAATAATTTGTTTACTTATTTAATACTTATATCTACATTTTCTCTGTAATGTAATGTAATACTCTGCATGTGCAGGTATCATTTAGGCCATTGTGTTGCTCCCATGGAACAACACAGTTGCAGGGGGGTACTGACACAGATATGCTCATGTTGCTTGCTGTGATATTATTAATAAAGTCCTTTGTTTTAGACATGTGAGTCTTGTGTCTTTTTTTTTTTTTTTTTGAGACAGAGTCTTGCTTTGTCACTCAGGCTGGAGTGCAGTGGCACAATCTCAGCTTACTACAACCTCCGCCTCCCAGGTTCAAGCCATTCTCTTGCCTCAGCCTCCCAGGTAGCTGGGAATATAGGCATGTGCCACCATGCACAGCTAATTTTTTTGTATTTTTAATAGAGATGGGGTTTCACCATGCTGGCAAGGCTGGTCTCGAACTCCTGACCTCAAGTGATCTGCCCGCCTTGGCCTCCCAAAGTGCTAGGATTACAGATGTGAGCCACCGCACCCAGTTTTGTGTCTTTTGCTAACATCTTTGAACAATAGTATGTTAACTTCTTAGGTTTCTAGTAGAGTAAATTCTCAGACCTTTCACAGTTCTTGAGAGTTGGTTAAACTGGATCAGTCTAAGATATTGTGTAAGTTTATTATTTCTCTGTGGCACAAATGTTAAATTTTTTATTGCAACTATTGCTTTTCTTTCCCTCTTATACTTTTAATCTTTACCAGCTAGCATATATTATTGTCATACTATTTAGAAATAAGAGATGGGTTAATTTTTTTCTTAATGACATGTATGGTTCCTTGTGATATGTTACAAATAAAGATAGTGGTCCCAATCTAAAATCTATAGATCACTTTACTCTTTTCTACTTGATTTCGTTTTCTGGAAGGAGAAATAGATTTGGGAATAATTTCTGACTCTTTGTCTTATGGGGTATGCATTTGTCATATGATTTGTTAGAGATGCAATCAGTGGCAAGAAAATAGAACAATAAATGTTTCTATAATTGAATCAGATTTGTGACATCAGATTTAGAACTAAATTAATGCTATACTAGCACTCAAAACCAAAAGATCTTTGATTTTAGTTGTAATTTTGAAATAGCTAACACTTTCATTTTCTGTTGAGGAAGAAACAGTGATAAAATACTTCGTTATTGCTGTTGCTCCGAAAGCTTTAAAACTTTTAATTTTATGAGCAATTTCATATTTTATTTCATTGTAATGTATCCTAGTAGCCTTTAAAAATGTATACTCCTCTATTAGCTCACATTAGATTTGTATGAATTAAAATAAAGAATATTAGTACCATGACTTAGAAATTTCCACTATAAGAAAAAATATGATTTACTGATAAATATAGTTTAAAATCTGACTGCATTTCACTGTTTTCATTTAGCTTTCTAATTTGAGATAGTCATACAAGTGCAGTTGTAAGAAATAATGTAGAGATTGCTTGTGGATCTTTATCCTGTTTCCCCAGTGCTAGCATCTTGCAAACTGATAGTACAACATCATATCCAGAATGTTGAAATTGATATAATCAAGACGTAGAACATCTCCATCATCACAAGGATCTCTTATATTGTCCTTTTATAGCCACAGCACTTCTGCCTGTCCCAACCCTCCCCTAAACCTCTGGCAACCATTATCTTTTCTCTAATTCTATAATTTTATTATTTTAGTAGTGTTATATAAATGGAGTTATGGAGTGAGTGTGTAACCATTTGGGATTGGCTGTTTTTACTCAGCATAAGATTCATCCAGGATGTTTCATGTTCCAGTATTTGTTCTTTTATATTGCTGAGCATGATTAGATGATAGGGATGTATCAAAGTTTGTTCTAACATTCACCAGCTTGGTGGACATCTGAGTTGTTTGCAGTTTGGGGTTATTATAATAAAGCTGTTATAAATGTTTATGTACAGGTTATTTTGTCAGGCTAAGAGTATATTTATCTGGAATAAATGCTCAGGAGTATAATTGCTAGTTGTATTGTAGTTGCATGTTTTAGTTTTTTAAGAAACTGCCAAAGTGTTTTCCAGAGTGTCTGTACCATTTTACATTCCCACCAGCAGTGTATGGGTTATCCAGCTTGGCTACATCCTCAGCATCATTTGATGTTGTCACTATGTTTTTTTCAGTCATTTTGACGAATGTGTAGTGATATTTCATTATGGTTTGAATTTGAATTTCACTAATGGCTAATGATGGAGACATCTTTTCATGTGCTTACTCAACACCTGTGTATCCTATTCAGTGAGCTCTCTCAATGTCTTTTGGCTGTTTTCTAATGGAATTGTTTGGGTTTTTACTGTTAAATTTAAGAGTTCTTTATGTATTATAGATACTAGTTCTTTTTCAGATAGGTGGTTTGCAAATACAGTGGATGCTCATTATTTTGCAAATTTGCGTGCTTGCTAAAATTTATTTGAAATGCCAAAAATCAATACTTGTAGTGCTTTTGCAGTCATTTGTAGATATGCACAGAGTGGGCCAGGTGTGGTGGTGCACACCTGTAATCCCAGCACTTTGGGAGGCCGAGGTGGCTGGATTGCCTGAGTTCAGGAGTTCAAGACCACCCTGGGCAATATGGTGAAACCCTATCTCTACTAAAATACAAAAAGAAAATTAGTTGGGCCTGGTGGCAGGTGCCTGTAGTCCCAGCTACTCAGGAGGCTGAGGCAAGAGAATTGCTTGAACCCAAAAGGCAAAGGTTGCAGTAAGCTGAGATCATGCCACTGCACTCCAGCCTGGGCGATGGAGGGAGACTGTCTTCAAAAACAACAACAACAACAAAAAAAACACGGAGTGGCAAAAAATTTGAGTCTTCCAAATTGTACCTTCCCAATTGAGGTCAAACAAGATGATACTCTGCCTATTTTTTTCAATTTTTCATACTGTGAACATGTCTCTTTTGCAGATTGTTTTGTGCCACTTTTTTTTTTTTGTTTTGCATTTTTGTGTCCTCTCTCTTTTTTTTTTTTTTTTTTTTTTTTTTTTGCTGATAAAATGGCTCCTAAGTGTAGTGTTGAGGTGCTGGGTAGTATTCCTAAGTACAAGAAGGTGGTGATAGACCTTGCCTTGTTTCCAGGGCAAGAAGAAAATATGTTTATTAGATAAGCTTTGTTTTGGCTGAGTTCAATGTGTAAGAATCAATAATATATATTAAATAAGGTAACTTTAAATAGAAACACAAATAAAACAAGTAATATATTGATTTGCTGATGAAAATGTTACTAGAGGCTTGTAGGAACCTATATATTTCAGTATTTGCTAATTCAGTATTCATGGGGAATTGATAGACCATAACTACCAGGAATAATAAGAATTGATTGTGTATTCTCCCAGCCTATAACTTGTCCTTTTCTCCTCTTAACAGGTTTTTCACACAGCAAAAAAAAATTTTTTTTTTTTTTTGAGATGGAGTCTCACTTTGTCGCCCAGGCTGGAGTGCAGTGGCACAGTCTCGGCTCACTACAAGCTCTACCTCCCAGGTTCACGCTATTCTCCTGCCTCAGCCTCCCGAGTAGCTGGGACTTCAGGCGCCTGCCACAATGCCTGGCTAATTTTGTGTATTTTTTAGTAGAGATGGGGTTTCACCATGTTAGCCAAGATGGTCTTGATCTCCTGACCTTGTGATCCGCCTGCCTCAGCCTCCCAAAAGTTTTTAATTCTAATGCAGTCTAATGTATCAGTTGTTTTTAATGGATCATGATTTTGGTGAAACCTGCCTACTCCTAGATCCTAAAGATTTTCTTTTACATTTTTCTAGAAGTTTTATAGTTTACTTCACATTTAAATTTGTTTTGAGTTAATTTTTGCATATGGTGAGAGACTTAGGCTGAGGTTCATTTTTTTTGTTTATGGCTGTCCAGTTGCTCCAGCACTGTGAATTGAAAAGGCCATCTTTCCTTCATTGAATTGCTCTTATAGCTTTGTCAGAAATTAGTTGGGCATATGTATGTGTGTCTGCTTCTGAATTTTTAATTATATTCTATTGATCTATATGTCTGTCATTCTACCAGTACCACATAGTTTTGATTGCTGTAGTTACAAGTCTTGAAATTGGATTGACTAATTTCTCTCACTTTGTTTTACTTTTTCATAATTGCTTTATTCTAGTTCCTTTTTCTTTCCATATAAATTTTTAAAATAATCATCTATATCTACCAAAAATCTTGCTGAGATTTCAATAGGAGCTTCATTAACTTACCCATTTACAGAGAATTGACATGTTTATTTTGTTAGAGCTTTGTATCCATGAACACGGTATGTCTTTACATTTCTTTATGTCTTTTATTTTTTTTCACCAGGATTTTGTAGTTCTTGTTATACAAGTCTTTATACATTTCATTAATTTTGTGTCTAAGTATTTCATTTTTTAATTGATTGTAAATATTATATTTTAAAATTCAGTGTGTTTTATTGCTAGTATATGGAAATAGAATTGATGTTTCTTATAATAAGTTTATCTTGTATCCTACATTTCTTGCTGTACTCAATTTGTTTCAGGATTTTATTTTTTTCCTTGGTAGATTCTTTGGGATATCCTATGTACACAACCTGATCATCTGCAAATAAGTACAGTTTTAATTCTATGTTTCTGATTTGTATGTTTTTGATTTCCTTTTGTTATCTTATTTTACTGGCTAGAACTTCTACCACTATGTTGAATAAGTGTGGTAAAAGTACAAATCTTTTTTGTTTCCAATTTTAAGAATAAAACATTTAGTCTTTTGCCATTAAATATAATGTTAGCTATAGGTTTTTTGTTGATACTCTATCAAATTGACTAATGTAATTGAATACGTGACTGTATTTTGGTTTCAAAAAGGAAGTATTTATTTTCTGCTTTTGAAGTTGTTTATATTTTGGCTTGTCATGGTGCCAGTAGCTGGAATTTGCATATGGTTATTAATTTTGAACAATTTAGATGCTGTAATAATATTATACAAACTCTCCAAATATGGAGTAAAAATTTAGCACTATTGATTGTAAAGATACTAAGGAGAATGTTGCTTTATGTCTCCTGTTTTTTTCCATATTGCTGCCTGAATCCTTAGAAATCTTTCTTTGTCCTTCCTACTATAATTGGGGATGCCTTATCTTCTTATCTACCCGCTTTATGAGTGTATGTTTAGGATGTCTGAGATGCTGGACTCGATCCTGCTGCTTGCTTCTTTGAAAATATGTTAGTTTTGTGATTTCTTATAAATCAGGATCTTGTAAGTTATTTCTTTTAGTTACAAAATGATATATTATTATTTTAAAAGAGTTGACTTTTTTTTTAAAAAAAAAGAAAGAGACTTCTAGTCTAGCATTTGAGAAGTTTGGAAGTTACTATTCTGTCCTAAAAATAAATAAAAAGCAGAAGAAACTTTTAAAGCAACAAGGCTTTTTAGATTCGTAAGAGAAGTGAGGTCACAGGGCAAATTGCTAACCCCAAAGTTGGAGGGTGCAACAGGTGAATACAAAGAATCAAACTTACTGGAGCAGAAAATAATGCGCAGACATCACCAAGGGAACGAGTGCTGGCATAAAAAAAAAAACCTGAACTATAATCGATGACTTTAGGAGAGACTCAGTGCAGACAAGTGTAAGAGTTAAAAACTCCAGAGGGACCTAGATATGGCTTCTCCCTCTACTTTTGTGTGTTTTACCTCCAAAAGCTCAACCAGGTTCTCATAGTAAATATCAGAAAAATCTTCCTTGTGTGTTTAGGAGGGGGAGGAGAAAAGGAGCCATTTTTGAATTATGCCAGAGCTTTCTGTTTTTTTTAAGAAGGTCTACCCTCAGGGTAAATTAGTTAACCAAGCCTAACTTGTTGGGGTATTATCAGAGCCTAACTAATCTGGGGGAAGGGAAATAGTCAACTTCAATCAACTCTATCCTTTTATCTAGAAGAAGGGAAATACTCAACTCCAGCCCACCCTAGCCATTCTCTCCCACCTAAGAGGGGAAGAAAAAACTGGGAAACACCTGTGAAGCTCATAGTTTAGAGGTATAAGTACAGTAAAAAACTGAGACCTAATCAGAGAACCATTCCCCTCCCAGCACACTTTGCCATCATGTTACTCAAGGCCTATTTATAGCAATTCCTTTTACCATGTACATCATGTTTGGTTATCAGAAAGTTGCAAGTTATACTAAAGGCACTAAAAACAATTTGATGAGACATAGCAAGCATCAGACCGAGATGTGGCAGGGATGTTAGAATTACCAGACTGAGAATTTTAAACAACCATGATTAATATGTTGTGGGCTCTAATGGATAAATGGACATTATGCAAGAACAGATGGGCAATGTAAGCAAAAAGATGGAAATTCTAAGAAAGAACAAAAAAAAGTTAGAAATCAAAAGCACTGTGTAAAAATGAATGCCTTTTATCAGTGTATTAGTGGACTGGACATGACTGAGGAAAGAATCTCTGAGCTTGTGGATATATCAATTGAAACCCCCAAAACTAAAAAGCAAAAAGAACAAATTCTGAAAAATAAAAGAACAGCATTTCTAAGGACCATGGGGCAACTACAAATGATGTAAATATGCATAATGAAACAGACGGAAGAGAGAGAAAGGAATACTGAAAATATTTGAAGCAATAATGACTGAAAATTTCCACAAATTATCAGAAACCAAATTTGTACACGAGCTACTTGAGGAAAACTACAAAACTCTCATGAAAGAAACTAAAGAACTAAATAAATAGATATACCATGTTCATGGATAGGAAGCTTAAATATTGTCATGATGTCAGTTCTTCCCAACTTAATCTATAGGTTCATTGCAATTCCAATAAAAATCCCAGCAAGTTATTTTGTGGATATTAATAAACTGATTCTAAAGTGTATATGAGGAGGCAAAAGACCCAGAATAGCCAACACAATATTGAAGAAAAACCAAGTTGGAGGACTGATAATACTCAACTTAAAGACTTACTATAAATATACAGTAATGAAGATGATGTGGTATTGGCTAAGTAATAGACAGATAGAACAATGGGATAGAATAGAAAGCCCAGAGATAGACCCACATAAAAATGGTCAACTGATTTTTGATAGAGGATCAATGGCAATACAGTGGAGCAGGGATACTCTTTTAAATCAATTTGCTGGAACAAATGGATGTTCACATGCAAAAAACCGAATTTAGTCACAGACCTTATGCCTTTTGCAGAAATTAACTCAAAATGGATCATAGACCTAAGTGCAAAATGCAAAACTACAAAACTTCTAGAAGATAAAGAGGAGAAAACTCTACTACCTTGGGTATGTTAATGACTTTTTAGATGCAACACCAAAGGTATAGTCCGTGAAAGAAAGAATAAACAAGCTGGACCTTATTAAAATTTGAAACTTTTACAAAAAACAATGTTAAGAGAATGAGAATACAAGTCACAAACTGAGAGAAAAAAATTGCAATAGATACATCTGATAAAGAACTGTTATTGAAAATAACAAAGATCTCTTAAAACTACTCAACAATAACAATCCATTTTATAAATGAGCCAAAGATGTCAACAGACACCTCACTAAAGAAGCTATGCAGATGGAAAATAAACATATGAAAAGATGTTCCATATCATATGTCATCAGGGAAATGCAAATTAAAACAACAATGAGATACCACTACATATCTATTAGAATGGCCAAAATCCAAAACACTGACAACACCAAATGCTGGCCAGGATGTGGAGCAATAGGAACTCTCATTTATTGCTGGTAAGAATGCAAAATGTTTCAGCCACATTGGAAGATAGTTTGGCTCTTACAAAAGTAAACATACTCTCACCATACAATCTAGCAATCGCACTTTTTGGTATTTAACCAAAGAAGTTGAAACTTACGTCCACATGAAAACCTGCACATGGATGTTTATAGTAGATTTATTCATAATTGCCAAAACTTGGAAGCATCCAAGATGGTCTTCAATAGGCGAATGGATAAATAAATTGTAGTCCATCCAGACAATGGAATATTATTCAGTGCTAAAAAGAAATGAGCTGTCAAGCTAAGCCATGAAAAGACATGGAGGAATCTTAACCATATATTTCTAAGTGGAAAAAGCCAAATTGAACAGGCTACCTACTGTATGGTTCCAAATATATGGTATTTTGGAAAAGGCAAAGCTGTAGTGAGAGTAAAATCAGGGGTTGGAGGCAAAGAGGGATGAATAGGCAGAACACAGAGGATTTTTAAGGAGTAAAAATACTATGTATGGTACTGTAATCATGGATACATGTCATTATATATTTGTCCAAACTCATAGAAAGTACAGCACCAAGATTGAACCCTAAGGTAACTATGGGCTTTGGGTGATTATGATGTCTCAATGTAGGCTTATCATCAATTGCAGTCAATGTATCACTCTGGAGGAGGCTGTTGATAATGAGGGAGGCTGTTCATGTGTGGGGTCAGGGTGTACATGGGAAATCTCTGTACCTTCCTCTCGATTTTGCTGTGAACCTAAAACTGCTCTAAAAAAACTTAAAAAAAGAAACATTTTCTGGGCAGCACAAGGGCTTCTTGTGAAATGGTTTGAATATTTTAGATATATGGGTTCTGTTATTTAATAAAATTACAATAAGATGCATTCATCAATAGATTACTAGTGCATTGCTTATTAGATTACTGAACAACTAGTGCTTCTCTGAATGGATTCACTGAATACAGACATTTATTTGATCTGCCCTTTGTAACCCTTGATAATACTCCAAGGTTTTGCTGCTACGTGTGAGAACCCAAGATAAGCCTCAAACTTGGATTCTCTCTGAAGGTATAATGAGCTACCACCCCAGCCATTTGGCACATCACCCATGTTATTTTAGAAAAAAAAAAAATGCCTTTCAGTGGAAAGAGATTATTTTACTTTAGCAGTTTTCTATGTTATAAAGTTTAATTACAAGTTTAAATGAACAGAAGTAAATTTGTGCCCATATGGCATTAAAGTATGTTAACTTTAGGGGAGAGAAATAATATGAATAATGCTTAGAGATGTTTTTCTGTGCCAGAAACAAAGCATAACATTCTTAAAATTGTATTTGCACTGAAATGTACCTGTCTAAGAAAAGAATAATATGTTTTATGCTATTTCTTTTTCTTTTCTTGGATCATGGTCAGTTCTAAAAGTAGAATGAGATTTGTAGCCTAGTAATGGTTTTATAAGCATTACAGTAACTGGGCAAATAATCTATTGTGAATTTCCTACAGGTCTATTGATGTCATTAAACACAAGCATATTGTATATCAGAATCATTTAGTCATCCTCACTGTTACTGACGGTGCATTAGTTCATGTTAAATGGAATATCTCTTTAAACTATTCTTGGCATTTCCTAGATTAGATGAATTATGAATTTGATTATTAAAATTAACCTTTTATGTTCATCTGGTATGTTGCTCTGAGCCAATGTCCTTTTATACTAAACCTTTACCATCTTTCTATGCTCCAGGAAAAATAATCTTTATTCAGGTAAATATTTAATGCAAAGTATAATTTGCATGAAATGTAGTTTGTTTTTACATACAAATATTTTACAAATATATCTGACATGAGCCAGAAGAAGGAAGGATATATTCTAAATTTGTACATCTTTTTATTTCCTTCTTCATTTATCAAAATTGATTAGGATTTTGGAAATAATAGAGGTGAAAATTAGGATAAATTCTATTACGAATAGAGATAAACTCTATTTGACTTCCACAGTATGTGCTAATTGATACTCCTTCTACCCCACATCCCCATCTCAATACTCTCTAGGTTTTAAGAACATTTTGTTAAATTAAAGGGAAAAGATTTTAAAAAATCATGTTTGGCTATTATGTCATGTGCAGATGGGCCTTCTCATTACGCTCTTTATTTTATTCCTCTTCATGAATTTGTCAGTTCCTTTCTGATTTTTACAGGAGAGAGTGCACAAGTTGTTCCTTGAACCTTTTTTTCCTTTGTGGATACACTCATGCATCCACATATTTCTCTCTCTGTGTGTGTGTGTGTGTGTATAGACACACATATGCTATGGGAATCTTTTTGGGTGCATTTGTGAACCGTTTGATCAGGACAGTGGGATTCTGATTACTTTGTTTTGTGGTAAGGAATTTAGACAGAATTCTGGAAGTTAATTTATTCAAAATGAGTATGTGAGGGTCAATATAGCAGTATTCAAAGTTGAATGGAATGCCTTAACAAACACTAGTATAAGTCATGGACTGTCAGTTGATTTTAAGATGTTTACAGTGCAGAAAGTTGTGTTTGGCTTATTTCTACAGAGGAAGTAATCTGAGGCAGAGGATACATGAGGTTATCAAATCTTGAGTTATTAAGTCATACATTGCAGAGGTATTTGAACTCCTTACACAGCCATAACTTTTTCCAGGAGTTACAATTGATGCATTTCAAAGAGGGAAGACCAGTTTGTGAAAATGTTTATAGGCACTAGGTTTTTGAAATCTAACATTAAGTGTGGGTTTCGATTGCTAAGAAGTATGTAGACTACATTATTCGCAAAGATCGTGTATACCTTCTATCTTTGCTTAGGATCCTGAAATATCTTATTGAATACAGAATAACTAGTTGAGGGTATACTGAGATTCTTGGAAGAAGTATTCAATATTCATCTGAACGCTTTTCATCCAGTTCTTAGAACAATTGTCTTAGTGCTATGCTAACGTTATAATCTACTGACATAGACTGGACATAGCCAGTGTACAGATAAAATATTTGTTTACTAAAACCTGGTTTAGCTTAGCTAGATATTCTTTGGAGGCTGACAAGGTGCTCAAACAACTTATGTTTAGTGATGGTGATTTGATGGAAATATTAATGAAAATCATAGCATATTGATAACTGGAAATAAAAGCAGCTGGCAAATTCACTTGGCATACAGAAACTAGAGGTGAAAGTTTTAGTCAGGAATTAATGTAGTCTCTGAGGTAAACAACTATTAAATTTATTTGTTTACTTTTAATTACCTGTCTCCTGAGAGCAGACACCTGTCTTTTCTATTCTATATTCCTAATTCCTCGATCAATGGCTAGCACATACGTACTTCTCAATAAATATTTGTTGATTGAGCCAACTACCTGGCAGAGAACAAGAATTACACTTCACATTAAGCAATGGCATATTCATTGCTGTAATCAGAGTAGAAGACTTACAGTAGAAGATTAAGAATTGTAATTGTCTTGCTTTTAAACAAGACATTATTATCTCAGAGGTCATAATTATTTCCTAGAATATAACAACAAATTTATGTTTTGGTAAATGAGGAACATTTTCAAGGCACCAGTTGTTTGAATAAAAATATTATTGAAATGAGAACATCTAATTTTAGGGAAGCAGTTTATTTTTGGAGACTTAAGGTAGTATGTAACATTGGAGATAATGATTATAGAATAATTTAAGTAGTTGCCCTGAATGCAGGATGATCTTTGTTTGACATATTATAGGGGCCAATGCAAGAAATCTGACTTGGATTTGTGAACCAATAATAGTTTATTTGGGATGCTAAGTGCACTGAATAATCTCACAAATCAGTTTAACACTCTGGTTGTCTGCATTCTCACACAACCCTGAGGTCAGTAAACAATGCACTGCCCATAAGTTCAAAAAGCCCCCTGTTCATTTTTCTAATAATTTTACAAAATTATTTGTCCGTATTTATATGATTTTCAAAACCTAATTATCTATGGAGAAACAGTTATTTATTTTTTGTAAGGACAGAAACCTGTTTAATGCCTTAGTGTATATATGGATGTATACTTGTGCATGTGTATGTATGTGTGTATGTATATATTTAGGTAGACATACATAGATATGGGCATATAGATAATATATATTATACCAAAACTTTCACATCTTTCCTAATTAGTGATAGTTTCTGAATAATTTCAGAAGTGATGTGGTTGGCAATTTTGGCAAAAAAAAAATGTTCCTATAGTCAACAGAGAAGAGACTTAGTCTCCATACATTTGATCACCTTCAAGTTCTATGCTTCTATAATATTTAGGGGAAAGTATTTGGAAGAAAATGAAGAAGGGCCATATTTTGTGACTTCCTCTCCAGATAACTACATACCCAATACTGTATTTCTCCAGAAGTTTCTTTTAGTTTCCGCAAGTTTTGTTTTGTTTGTGATGATTTGGGACAGGGCTATGAAATTTCATGTATGTATGTATATTATTGTGGTAAGAACACGTAACGTGAGATTTACCCTCTTGTCAAACTTTTAAGTGCACAATACAGTATTGTTAACGATAGGCACAATGTTGTATGGCAGTTGTGTAGAACTTGCTCATCTTGTATAACAAACTGCAGTTGACCCTTGAACAACACAGGAGTTAGGGTGCTGACTCCTCACATAGTTGAAAATCTGCCTATAACTTGATGCCCCTAAAACTTAGCTATTAGCCTTCTCTTGATTGGGAGCCTTACCAATAAAATAAACAGTCATTTATTATTTCTTTACAAGATGAATCACCTTTCTCAGATGGCAGTCAACCACAGCTGCAGACATGAAACTATAGTAACATATTTAGCAATTAAACTTTTTCTTGTAATGTTATGACTTCTCTGCTTCTTGGGAACACTTTCAGCATCACTAATTGCACTTTGTACGGGTCCCATGGTATTATTCAAGGTTTACAGTATTGCACTGAACATGATGAAAAATATGCAAGAACCTTGAGAGATCACTGTTTACTGTGATACGAAGTTTACTGTAGAGATGATCTGCTCACACATGGAGATGGTTAGCATCATATGACATTTTAAGTGGGTACTCACAACACGTGAGCTTACTGCAATACCAACAGGAAGTGGCTACAAATTTATTACAGTACTGCAGTATGTACTACAGTGAGTTTTATGCAGTTATGATTTAATACTGTACTTTTACATTTGTTTACATTTCTCTCAACTTTGGTGCCATGTACATTCTGTATTTGTGTGGTAAGTTTTGATAATTTTAACTTTCTATAATAGATTTTTTTTGTATATTTTATGGTAGTAAATGATAAAAATAGACTAGTATCTACATATATTTTATACATTTATATATACCTTTTTCTTATTTATTTATTTATTTATTTATTTAGAGACAGGGTCTTGCTCTTTCACCCAGGCTGGAGTGCCATGGTGCAATCTCGGCTCACTGCAACCTCTGCCTCTCAGGTTCAAGCAGTTCTCCTGCCTCAGCCTCTTGAGTAGCTGGGACTACAGGCATGGGCCACCACACCTGGCTAATTTTTTTCTATTTTTTTATAGAGACAGGGGTTTTGCCATGTTGCCCAGGCTTCTTAATTTTTTTTTATATGTCTTAGGCTATGTGGTTTGTCTATAAGTTTTTTCAAATTGTCATGTCTCCAAATATTTACCAGTGTATTTATTGAAAAAAATCTGTGTATAAGTGAACCTATACAGTTTAAAATTGTGTTGTTCAAGGGTCAACTATATGTACCCGTTGAACACCAGCTTTCCATTTCTTCTTTCCCACAGCTCCTGGCAGCCACCATTCTACTCTGTTTCTGTGAGTTTGACTATTTTAGATGCCTCATGTAAGTGAAATCATACAGTATTTGTCATTCTGTGACTGGCCTGTTACACTTAGCATAATATCCTCCAGGTTCATATATGTCTTCAAATATGGCAGGATTTCCTTCTTTTTAAGGTTGAAAACTATTTCATTGTGTGTGTGAACCATATTTTCTTTCTTTATTCAGCCATCGATGGACATTTAGGTTATTTACATATCTTGGCTATTGTGCATAATGCTGGAATGAGCATGGGAGTGCAGATGTCTCTTTGAGATTCTGGTTTCAGTTCTTTTGGATATATACCCAGAAAAGGGATTGCTGGATCACTTAGTAATTCTGTTTTTAATTTTTTTGAGGAACCTCTTTACTGTTTTTCATATTGGCCACACCAATTTTTCATTCCCGTCAACAGTATACAGCAGTTCTTGTTGATCAAATCACTGTGGTTATCATTCAGTGATATGCCCTTGATATAGAGATATGCAATATGTGCCTGCCTCAGGTGGCCCATGCTTATTTTGTTATAATTCTTTCCAAATAATTTTAAAAGATGATTTATTTACAAGAAAAAATACCTTACACTTAAAAACTGATTTTCTATTTTTGAATCTTTTAAATAATATTTATTTAAACATAAATATAAATATATATAGTATTTAATATATATTGTCTCTTGTGATTATTACAGGTCTGCATGGTCAGTCTCTTCTTAGAGTTCTTACTGGAAATTTTCTAACAGCCCATTGTACATTTTAAATTTGAGCTTTATTATCTAATTTCTGTAAAGTTGTAAGCCATTTATTTACATTGCAAAGGAAATTACTTTTTTGGAAGTTCTTTTTTTATAAAAATAGCTCTATAATTCATAATCTTTGGAGATACACCTCTCCCACCATCTTTTATGTCAGTGCATTTATAGGGTTGAGCAAAAGATTTTATAGTGGATGACGTGAATATTTTACTTTGAGTCTACAGTGCAAAAGAATAACAACAAAAATGTGTGGGGAATTCTGTTATGAGCTAGCCTGTCTGTGGGTTTAATTTGAATTCACTGAAGAGAGTGGACTTCGTAGATTCAAGTTAATGAGCCATTTCTCTTAAAGTCTTCTGTCACTATGGGATTGCATATAGTTAGAACTGACAGTTGGAAACATGCTGAGATAGGGAAACTAAAAAAACAGCTGTCTCTCTGGGCAAATGGTACCAGCTGGTGAAGCTCTCCAAAGCAAAATATTTTATATAATAAAATAGCTTTCAGAGATCACTGAAGTTACATATTATATATTTAAGGTAAATTTTTTGTTTGTTTGCCTTCATTGAGCCAAAATACTATGATATAAAATGGCAGGTACATTTTATTCAGTTTAAGAAGTCTTTTATTTTATTGACAAGTAATCTCCTTCGCATGTGTTCATTAATTCATAAGCCTTCAGAGTTTACTTTCTAAAATCGTGTGCAGATCCCTGGAAAGGTGTTTTTGTTTCTTGTATAGATTTTAGAAATAAAGACCATTTTTTTCCTGTTAGGTCTTTTCTGGAACAAAATCTATTTTTGAAATGTCTTGAATTGTATTAGTAATTAATAGTTTATGTTTTGTTTTTAACTCACACTTTGAGAAAAGATTTATACCTCTTAATCTTAATTTAAATTTTAGAATTACCATTCTTTTGATATAGTCCAATCTGACTGCTGAAAACTATCATTTAGATTTGTCAAAAATTTTATATTTTATCTAAGTAAGAATCTATTGCTTTTTTTGGCAGAATGGTAATTACTGAATTTTTGGAATGTCAGTATTCTGAGGTGCTTTAGTTTTTGTACATGGCAAAACTGTATAATTAATGTTTGAGTGAAAAGAAATAGGCAAAGCGCTGGTGTATATTACATCCTTCTGTAGAAGTTCATCATGTTACTCATAAGAAAGATTTTAGCTAAAAGTGATAAATCTAATTGAATATATAGTATATTTGGTTGTAATCCACTTAACATCCTGTTTTGGCTTATGAGCTATACTTCTTTGTTTTATTTTACTGATGGTTGCTAGGGGGCTTACAATATGTATCCTTAACTTACCACAGTTTATCTTCATAGAAAATGATGCCACTTCACATATAATGTGAGAGCCTTATAACATTGTATTTCTACTTCTCTCTATATCTGGGTTTCCATCTGGAATCATTTTCTTTAGCTTAAAGAACTTACTGTAATATTTGTCATACCAGTCTGCTGGCAATTAATTTTCTTGGCCTTTGTTTATCTGGAATGGTCTTTATCTTGCTTCATTTTTGAAGGATAATTTGAATGTATGTAGAGTTCCAGGTGATGGGATTATTATTTTTTCTTGGATGACTTTTAAAGTGTTGGTCCATTTTCTTCTGGCTTGTATTATTTCTGTTGAGGAGTTGTATGTCTTATCTTTGTTACCCTCTATGTAATGTGTTGTTTTTCTCTGGCAGCTTTTAAGATTTTTTTTCTTTATCACTGGTTTTCAGTAATTTGATTATGAATGTGCCTTAGAGTTATTTTCTTCCTGGTTATTCTGCTTGTTGAGCTTCTTGGATCTGTGGCCTTACAGTTTTTATCAAATCTGGAAAATGATCTACCCTTATATCTTCAAATATTTTATCTTTTCTCCCATCCACAATTCCTATATTCTAATTACATTTGTGTTAAACTTATTGTCATTGTCCCACTGGTTACTGAAGCAGTGTTCATTTTTTCAGTCTTGCCAATCTTTTATTTGAGGGAGCTTTATTGCTATATTTTCACATTTGCTTATCTATTCTTCTGTAGCATGTAATCTGCAGTTAAATCTATCCATTATATTGCTTATCTCAAATGTATTTTTTTTTCAGTTCTTGGCAGTTCCATTTTTTATTTTTTTAAATCTATTTCTTTTCTCATTATGCTTTTATTTTCCTCTATGTGATTGAACACTTTTGTAATAGGTGGCTTAATATTCTTGTCTCCTAATTTCATAATCTCTATCACTTCTGGTTTGTTTTTATTGACTGATATTTTTCTGGTTATGAATCACGTTTTCCTGTTTCTGTGAATTTCTCTAGTAATTTGTATTGGATGGTGGTCATTGTAAATATTATGTTGATGAGTGTCTGGATATTGTTGTCTCCCTTTTAACAAATGTTGAACTTTATTTTGGCAGCAGGTAAGTTTCTTATAAGCAGCCTGATCATTCTA
The DNA here is from genome assembly GCF_000001405.40 of Homo sapiens. Classification (NCBI taxonomy): domain Eukaryota; kingdom Metazoa; phylum Chordata; class Mammalia; order Primates; family Hominidae; genus Homo; species Homo sapiens. The sequence goes on along the minus strand of NC_000005.10, from coordinate 93,991,268 downwards.
GGGATAGTTTAGCTCTCTTATGAGTTGTGACCTTTTTCAGGTCACTACTGAATATGAGTATTCCATGAGGCCTTTGCAGACTGGGTAGTTGCAACTCAACTGACTCCTATTCCCTATATGAGCTCTGGGAATTGTTAAGCTTTGAGCTTTCCAGTAAGTTTTCTCCAGTAGTTCTCTTTGTCTAGTCTCCTGCAGTTTCACCTTATGCATATACAACTTAGTATTCAGCCAAAGACTTAAAGGAACTCTTAGGGAGACTTTCTAGAGTTATTTTTCTGCATAAATCCCTTTTCAATCGAATCGTGCCATACAGTTTCCCTGAACTCTGACTCTTCTCAATGTAGCAAGGTCACAGTATTCTCTTTGAGCTCCTCTTCCTTGTGTCACAGCCCAGATACTGCCTTCAGGCAGAAAGCCAGCATGTTTATGGGGCTTATCTCCTTTGTTTTCCTTCTCTCAAGGATCATAGATCTATACTGCTTGTTTTCCCCTATCTGAAACAGTTTAATACATTTTATACAGTTGTCTAGTTGTTTATAATGAGAAGGCATGTCCAGATGTCCAAATACTAGTAACTCTATTATGACTCTGAGTTGAAATCTAACTGAATTTATTGTGCAATTTTTTTTTTTTTTTTTTTTTTTTTTTACTCATGGTAGAAACAGGAAGATTGGAGAAAACTGTTCCCAACCTCTCCTCCTTCAATGGCAGTGGTTGTGAAAGAGTATCTTTTTACTTAAGATAGCCTATCTTTCTTACAATAGTAGTTCCCAGTAGAACCTACATCATTATGTTCAATAGAATAGTCTCTTTCTAGCTCAACAAAGACTTTTCTTGTTAAATTGTTAAAACTCTCCATGTGTAAAGGTAAAAGGAAAGTGGTGAAAATAGTATCATTTTACTTCTGCTATCATTGTAGAGAATAATTATCTTCTTTTGAAAAAATATAAAGAGGCATAGTGTTAATCTATAATGTAGTTGCTGATATTATCTCTCTCACAAATTACTTTAAGCTTTCAGATGGCATAGCAAAGGCTACTCTGAGACATGATAAAATTTTCTCAGTCTACCTGATTTTTCCCCCAATCCCTATTTTTAATGAGTACTTTTTTTAAGGTAAGATAAATAATTTATAGGAAATTTATTGTTTACATGTACAATGTCTGATTTATAACTTTTTTTTCTGGGTTACTGATATGTATTACTAACCTTTTTATTTTCATCTATTGGTCTACCTTAGATGTGTGAACTTTAATGTGTTTCCTTGATTATTCTAATAAAAATCAGCACAAAGTCATTCAAACATGACTATTTGCCTTTGAGATTGTTTGTTATAAATGTTTGCTTTAACAGAGTGAGAAGGAAACAAGAAAAGATAAAAGCTAGTGGAATTCCTTACCCAGAGGCCTAACATAATGATGATGTTATACTGAGTGCCTGAGTTCAGGAACCATGGACTCTTCATTTTTCTTGGTTTTGAAACATGGATGTTGGTATTATTAACAGAAACAGAAAAAAATGGGCTCTGTTGTTTTACATCAAATCATCTGAATATACCCAGTATTAAAGTTAAAATCATATACATTTATGTAGTCAGGAAATGAATCTAGAGCAGTGCTCTTAATAGTGTGCATCACAGAGACGATGTGGATCAGACCGTTTTTTCCTTTTGGTCCACAGGGCAAAGAATATTGTGGAAAGGATCCGTAGTATATAAGTGGTGCTGTTTAGGCCAGGGGCTCTTAAACAGGGGATTGGGATGATAGGATTTAAAGGTTGTGGTCTGTTAATCTAGATGGCTTCTGTGGAATAGAAATCACATCTTTGATTTTACTAACCTCTAACCTAAATTTCTTTTAATTATAAATGGAGGCATAAAAATAGTAATATTAACAGCCTTGTGACTTTGTCACAGATAGAAATCACATATGTTCTCATATATAGTAGTTATAGTTATATTTAAAATGAATTAATAAGGAAGAATGTACATTATATCATAAATTTGGTATTTAAAGTATTTTGCACAACTTTATTCCAATATAATTGGTTTATTTTATAGTCTTATATCTTATTTTTGTTTTAAAAACATTATTCTGAGAAGAGTCCATCGACTTCATCAGTCAGCCAAGAGGATTATGCCACACAAATTAAGAGTGTCTGGTTAAAATTTCTTGTCTTATACTTTGACCATCTTTTGTAGTTAGTTTGTCTGCTAGTATATGTTACTAATAGCCCTTTAATTTCCAGTTTTGCATCTCACTCTCCCTCTCCCTCAGCATCTTTATTTATTGAAAGACTTTGTAACATAGGAAAAGTAATATACACGTTTAGAAAATAGACTCTAGACTCCAGGGCAGGTAGATTGCCTAGGTTTGAATCCAGACTTCATGACTTATTTAGATGTGTGACCATGGGTGGGTTATATAACCCTTTGACTGCCAAGGGTTCCTGGAAGGACCTTTACTTTATGGGGTTGTTGTGAAGATTTGTTGTGAATGGAGAGTTATTAAAGGACCTTATGTCAGTATGACTGCTTTGCAAATGTTTGCTACTATTATTACTATTTACTCAGAAAATATTTTATTGCCATTACATGAATTGGCTTTAGACATTCAGCCCAAGACAAGTATATAGTTGCTACTCTTTGAAAATTTAAAGTCTGGTGTCAAAAACAGAGCTTGGAAAAGGCATTATTAATTATTTAAGTGTTAGGAAGGAAGTGCAAGTTTCTTAGCTATGTCTTGAGGATAGATTGGGGGCCAGGCAAGGGAGATGTTAACGTAAGCAAAGAATGGGAGGAGCATTCAAAGCAAAGCAACATCATTTGCCAAGGTTCTGGGTGAAAAGATCCTGCCACTTCTGAGAATATAAAAGAAAGCCAGTGTGGCTACAAAACGAGAATGAGAATGGTATAGGATTAAATATGAGAAATAGATAGGGACCAGATGAGGGACTTGTAGGATTTAAGGATTTGGATCATTATTCTAGGGGCACTGGGAAGCTACTACATTTGCATTTTTAAAAGGAGTAATACATCTGCTAAGAGGAGATTGGGTCTGAAGGACACTGTTAGATACAGTAAGATTTGTTAGGAGATTACAGAAGCAAGGAAGAGATAATGACCTGTTGATATGACTAGAATGGCGATAGTAGAGATGAGGAGATATGGAGATATTTCCAATATGAGCTTGAGGGACTTGATGAATGAATGTAAGGGGAGGATGAAGGAGGAGGTGTTAAACACTTAGGCTTATAGACTGAGCAGTTAGATGGCTGGTAGTGCCATTTGTGGAGCTGATTAACAGAATGGAGGAGGAACAGCTTAGAACGTATACAGATGGATTTAGTTTGAACATACTGAGGCTCTTCAATAAATGTTTGAATATTTAAGGTGCCTGAAAAATCACTAGGAGGAGATACCAATAGTTAGTTGAATACATACAAGTCTGATTCTCTAGTGAGTTATTTAAGAATCTGGTTATTGGGAAGAAAGGGTGGGATACAATAAGGACTCTTCTTTAGAGCAGATAAAAGGAAAATATGAGAACAACTGATCTGAAGCAGCTCTAAATGGAGGACAGCTGGGGATATAGAGTAACACCTTAGGGGATGCTAATGGAAAGTTGGAAGAATGAATATTTTCTCAAAGATATGCCGAGCAAGTAGTCACTTCAAAAGATTTTTAAAAACCTTTTAGAATGTACCCCACAAGAATGAAGTATAAGAGGTTTAAAGGGGAAAAATGGAGTTGAGATGGAGATAATTTTAGTGAAATTTAAGATGTAGTTCTGACTTAAGAGGATATGAATCCAGGGTAAATGTCCTTTGGTTCTAATTAGACCACTCATTGCCATTCATTCATATCATAGTCTCTTTAATGTAAAGATGTTGGAGTAGCCCTTTTAGGTTTAGCCAAACTGATATTATTGAATAATATTAAACTTTAATTATTAAGAACTTTTATGTTTCTTTCTTTCTTCTTTCCTCTGACTCTTCCTTCTTTTATTATTCCTTCCCCCTCTCCCACCCTACTCCTTCTAGGAGGCGGCTAGGATGGAAGTAGAGTTTGGATAAATAGGACATTAAGAGGGAAAGATGACCTTTTCTAAGAAGTTAGGTTAACTTACAGGGTCGATCTTTATTTTAAATGATTCTAAGTCCCAAGATGATAATTTTGTGTATATTTAATTTTAATAGGATTCAATAAACAATACTTAATGTTAAGTTTTTCTTTTTTTTTAAATTTTTTTAGTATTTATTGATCATTCTTGGGTGTTTCTCGGAGAGGGGGATTTGGCAGGGTCATAGGACAATAGTGGAGAGAAGGTCAGCAGATAAACATGTGAACAAAGGTCTCTGGTTTTCCTAGGCAGAGGACCCTGCGGCCTTCTGCAGTGTTTGTGTCCCTGGGTACTTGAGATTAGGGAGTGGTGATGACTCTTAACTAGCATGCTGCCTTCAAGCATCTGTTTAACAAAGCACATCTTGCACCGCCCTTAATCCATTTAACCCTGAGTTGACACAGCACATGTTTCCGAGAGCACCGGGTTGGGGGTAAGGTTATAGATTAACAGCATCCCAAGGCAGAAGAGTTTTTCTTAGTACAGAACAAAATGGAGTCTCCTATGTCTACTTCTTTCTACATAGACACAGTAACACTCTGATCTCTCCTCTCCCCACACTTCCCCCTTTTCCATTAGACAGAACCGCCATCGTCATCATGGCCCGTTCTCAATGAGCTGTTGGGTACACCTCCCAAACGGGGTGGCAGCCGGGCAGAGGGGCTCCTCACTTCCCAGACGTGGCGGCCGGGCAGAGGGGCCCCCCCACCCCCCAGATGGGGCAGCCGGGCAGAGGCGCCCCCCACCTCCCAGAGGGGGCAGCTGCCGGGCGGGGGCGCCCCTCACCTACCAGACACGGTGGCTGCCGGGCGGGGGCGCCCCCCACCTCCCAGATGGGGCGGCTGCTGGGCGGGGGCGCCCCCCACCTCCCAGATGGGGCGGCTGCTGGGTGGAGGGGCTCCTCACTTCTCAGACCGGGCAGCCGGGCAGAGGGGCTCCTCAGTTCCCAGACGGGGTCGCGGCCAGGCAGAGGCGCTCCTCACTTCCCAGACTGGGTGGCGGCCGGGCAGAGGCGCTCCTCACCTCCCAGACGGGGTGGCGGCAGGGTAGAGACGCTCCTCACCTCCCAGACGGGGCGGCCGGGCAGAGGCGCTCCTCACATCCCAGACGGGTGGCCAGGCAGAGGCGCTCCCCACATCCCAGACGATAGGCGGCCAGGCAGAGACGCTCCTCACTTCCTAGATGGGATGACGGCCGGGAAGAGGCGCTCCTCACTTCCCAGACTGGGTGGCCGGGCAGAGGGGCTCCTCATATCCCAGATGATGGGCGGCCAGGCAGAGACGCTCCTCACTTCCCAGACGGGGTGGCGGCGGGGCAGAGGCTGCAATCTCAGCACTTTGGGAGGCCAAGGCAGGCGGCTGGGAGGTGGAGGTTGTAGCCAGCCGAGATCACGCCACTGCACTCCAGCCTGGGCAACATTGAGTACTGAGTGAGCGAGACTCCGTCTGCAATCCCGGCACCTCGGGAGGCCGAGGCGGGCAGATCACCAGAGGTCAGGAGCAGGAGACCAGCCCGGCCAACAGGGCGAAACCCCGTCTCCACCAAAAAATACAAAATCCAGTCAGGCGTGGCGGCGCGCGCCTGCAATCCCAGGCACTCGGCAGGCTGAGGCAGGAGAATCAGGCAGGGAGGTTGCAGTGAGTGGAGATCGCGGCAATACAGTCCAGCCTCGGTAATAGAGGGAGACCGTGGAAAGCGGGAGATGGAGAAGAGGGAGAGGGGGAGACCGTGGAAAGAGGGAGAGGGGGAGACCATGGAAAGAGGGAGAGGGAGAGAGAGAGGGAGAGGGCATGTTTTTCTTAGTGAATATTTTTGAGAAGCATTAAGTAACTTAAAAATTGATTGATTAAACCATGATAGATCCACACAATGGAATGTTGCTATGACTAGTAAAAAAGAATGAAGACAATCTCTATTACTGACAGGGGAGTTCACCAGGGTAAATTTTTAGGTGATAAAGTAACACAGCACATTTAGTCTGCTATAAGAAAGAGGGGATAATAAGACTACACTGTGCAACACAGAGTGTTTAGTGTACTGTCCTTTTTTAAGAAAGAAGAGAAAATAAAAATTTTATATGACTGTATTGGCTCAGAGAAACATTAAAAGGATGTATAAGAAACGGATATTAAGATTTCCTGTAGGAGATAGAATGAGGGTGAATACAATGGAGGAGGACAGGGATGAAGGAAGTGAGACCTCTCAATGTATATCATGTTATATTGTTTTCATTTTTAAATTGTGAATTTTACAATACAGAACTTCCTTTTTAAAATATTGTTTTTCATATAGTTCTTTATAAAAAGTGTCACATGTCTGCAGGCACTACTAATTAAATTTTTTTCATTCATTCATTATTCATGTATTGTGCACCTGTATTGTGGTTTATGCTACAATGAAGTAGGATATAATTCTTATTTATAAGGTGCTTATAGTTCAGTACACAAATGAGAATATGAGATAATCATGATGGAATGACACATGTTAAAAGAAGGGCACAGAATTCATTGGCAAAGTCAGTAAAAACTTCAGTTTGGAGGGTAGTATTTGATTTGAGTTTTGGGGAATTGAAGACAATGGGGAAGTTAAGATAATTTTATATAGGGGATAAACAATGGCACAAAACAACAAAGTATGGCATTTACTTCAGTTGTCTTGATTTTGACAAACAACAATGGGTGAAAATATCCGTAAGTATAGTTGTAGTCTTGCAACATTTTAAGAAATTAAAGTCTTTTGATGAAAGCAAATTGTTATTACCCTATTTGTCATCTGCTGCATTTTTATTGAAATAACCTGTGGCTAAAGATGCAATGTCAGTAGCATCTGAACTAGAAATATGAACAGTTTGAGAAATTTTAAAATAACTTTTTGTTTTGTTATATTTTCACACTTATATATATGGTTCCTTGTAATTATGTAAATTCCTGTGTTATATATTACTTAATCTTTTTCTGAAACATTTGCATATTTTCAAAACATTATCCCCCTTTACTACTAATATATTTGTGTATATTTCTTAAGAACAAGAACATTCTCTTTATAATTATCAGAATCAAGAAATTTTGCATTAATAAAATATTATTCTATAGATTATGTTTAAATTTTGCTAATGTTGCATAATATACTTAATAAATAGCTACTTTTCGTGAAGTACAGGATCAAATCCAGGTTCACACATTGCATTTAGTTGTCATGTCTCTTTATTCTTTAACAACTCCTTATCTTCTCTTTATCTTTCTTGACCTTGACATTTTTTGAGGAGTACAGGGTATTTGTAGAATGGCTCTCAATTTGAATGTTATATGTGTTTTCTCATGATTCGATTCAGGTTATGCATTTTTGGCAGAAGTACTTTCGAAGTGATCTTTTATCCTCCAAGCATGATATCAAGAGCGTGTGATTTTGACCTGTTCCAGTATTGGTGATGTCTTTCAGATCTCACCACAAAAGTACTATTATTTTTCTCTTTGTAATTAATAAGTAATTTGGGGGAAGATACTTGAAACTATGAATCTTTTACCTACTAATTTTAGCATCCATTGATTTTCTAACTATGTCATTTCCTCTCTATGTATTAGTTGGGATTCTGCTGTAAGGAAGAGCATTCTTCCTCCTTCCCTTTTACTTTATTTATATCATTATGGACTCATAGATTCTTGTTTTATTTAAAAGGTGATATGATCTATTGCTGCCATTATTTTGATGCCTAAATTATCCCAGATTTAGCCAGAAGGATCCTCATCAGGCAGATTTCTGTGTTCTTTTAAAATGTATAAGCCACTCTTTCAGTATTTTCTTAATTTTTGGTACAAAAAATACTTTTTAGATTTATCTTGTACTTTCTGTGCTCCAGGTCTTGAATGAGCCTTTTCTCCAGTGAGCTCTGACTCCTCTTAGTGGGGAATTGGACATGGACACACACACACACACACACACACACACACACACACACACACACACACACACACACACACCTCTCCACAGCCATAAACAACATAATGATGTGGTCAACAATGGACCACATATATAAGGTGGCTCCGTAAGATTAAAATATTGTCTTTCTACTCTACCTTTTCTATGTTTAGGTGTGTATCGGAGTCTCACTTTGTTGCCCAGTCTGGAGTACAGTGGTGCAATCTCGGTTCACTGCAACCTCTGCCTCCTGAGTTCAAGCGATTCTCCTACCTTAGCCTCCCAGGTAGCTTGAGGCTACAGGTGCATGCCACCATGCCTGCCTAATGTTTGTATTTTTAGTAGAGGTGGGGTTTCGCCATGTTGGCTAGGCTGGTCTTGAATTCCTGAACTCAGGTGATCCGCCCACCTCAGCCTCCCAAAGTGCTGGGATTACCGGCATGAGCCACTGTGCCCTTCCCTTTTTAGGTATATTTAGATACAGAAATACACCCTTATGTCACAGTTGCCCACAGTATTTAGTACGGTATCATACTGTACAAGTTTGTAGCCTAGGAGTAGTAGGCTATACCATGTAGCCTAGATGTGTAGTAGGTTGTGCTATCTGAGTTTCTGAAAGTGCAGTCTATGATGTTCATACAGCAACAAAGTCACCTAATGATGCATTTCTCAGAATATATCCCCTTCACTAAGTATTGCATGACTGTTTAGACACATGCACATGCACACACCTGCCCCACCCCAAGATCTGTGCATTGCTAGTGATGCCGGTGCTTTTAGGCCCTCAGCAAATATATTTGTGTGTCTGTGCATGTACATACATATATATTCAGCTTTTACTTTCTGCAGATAGGTAAATTTAGAAGTAAATAGGATGCAGTATATATATATTTATTTATATCCATTTTATCTGTATACATATGTGTATATGTAGTAGAAAATAGGAGTGCATACTGACATCAGCGCAAGGAATTTTCAATTTAATTTAATTTTGAAACTCAGATGAAGCCCTGAAACAGAAAAATGAGACCTGACAAAGGAGGAAATATAGGTGATTTTTTTTCTGCCTTCCTCTCATTGCATTCCCAATATCACAGCCTGAAAATATTGAAGGGAAGATTACTTTTTTTTTGTTTTTGAGATGGCCAGGACTCTTCTATTCCTCTTCTTGGCCAGTAATATGAAATGGATGCTGAATTACCACTCCTAGCAATGTGAAGTGACTAGGTAATGTTTTCTATTTGTATCTGGAGAGGTAAAGTTGGCTGTTAGGAAGGAGTAGAGACTGAAGGGACTGTGGGGGTGGTGTACTCTGCAGACTTCAGTATTTTTTTCAGTGCTTCTTTCAGTGGAAGTACTACAGATGCTCAGATTATCTAGTGATGAACTTCATTGCTTATTGTGACATGAGTTAACTTTGGATTTAATCATGCTGGATTTTAGCTGCAGTATTTTTACATATAAACACTGAATAAAATATCATAAAATACCCAAAATTAACCTCGGGCCTGTTCATATTAGCTACCCTTTCACCCTAAAATCTAAGAATACCATGTATATTAAATATTTTATTATTGTTTATTAAATATTATATTAAATATTTTAGTCTCAAACTTATGGGATTGAGAAATCTCCAGAAAGAATTGGGAGGGTAAATGGATAATCATCTGTGTTTCAGGGTTCTCTTTTAGAGTCTGTTTCTGTTAATGTATTAATAAATGATTAAAAATAGTTAAAAACCAACAAAAATTTGTTAAGTACATTGTTCTACTTGGTTTTGAGTTAGGATTAAGTAAAACTACAGTCTTTCTTCTCAAGGAACTTACATCAAGCAGAGGAAATGAGACTTAAATATAATAATCAGGACTGGGCATGGTGGCTCATGCCTATAATCCTAGCACTTTGGGAGGCTAAGGTGGGTGAATTGCTTGAGCTCAGGAGTTTGAGACTAGCCTGGGCAACATGGTGAAACTCCATCTCTACAAAAAATACAAAAAATTAGCCAGGCGTGGTGGTGCAGGCCTGTAGTCCCAGCTACTTGGGGAGCTGAGGTGGGAGGATCATTTGTGCCCAGAGGTCAAGGCTACAGTGAGCCGAGATCGCGCCATTGCACACTCCAGCCTGGATGACAAAGTGAGAACCTTTACCGAAAAAAAAAAAAAATTAAGAAATACAGTAATCAGAAAAGTAAAAGCTAGTGAATAATTATTTGCTGAGTAGACTTTGGCTGACAAAGGAAATCAGAGAAAGGCAAATATTTTAGGGGAAAAGCTCTATGAAGGTGGTATGCCTTAAGCTTATTTTTAAAAATATGACTATAATGGAGAGCTATAGGCATATTATCTTTTGATAATAGAACTATGAGTCAGAGACCTTAAAATAAATATTTAAAATGCTTGAAAACATTAAAAAGGTTAACAAAATATTTTAAAAGAATAGATTTTAAATAATACCAAATGAAATGTATATAAATCAAAATATAGTCAAGTTAAAATTCAACAGCCTACTTAAATAGAAGATTAGACATAGCTGAAGGGAGAGTTGGTCTACTAGAAGATAACTTATCTCAATAAAATTACTTAGTATATAGCTCAGAAAGATTTTAAAAAGAGATGGAAAATATGAAAAAGAGCTTATAACAGGGATAGTAGAATGAAAATGTTTAGCATGTATTAATAGGAGTTCTAGAAAAAGAAAGAGTGAGGAAATATTTGAAGAAACATTATCTGTGAATTGTCTTGAATTGGTAAAAGATTCAGGAACTACATTGAGTCCTCAGGAGGATTAATAAAACTGAACCTACACCTAGGTATTATAGTGAATCTTTGGCACATCAAAGGCATAGGGAAGATTATAAAAGCAAGCAGATAATGAAGCATGATTATCTACAACCTCAGCTAGACTGACAGCTGAAACATTAACAACTGTGGTTACCAGAAGACACCAGAGGAAATAACTATTGATCCAGAATTGTATGCTCAAATAAAACCATAATTCAAAATTAGGTTCAGATACATATATTTTCAGACAAAGGCTGACAGTTTACCTTTTGCTAAAGAGCTACCAAAGAAGCAAACTGAATTAATAAGAAGAAAGAAAGTGGGATGCAACTAAGAAAGAATGCTGAGCAGTGGAATTGGTAAGGCTGTGAGCAGTGTAAAGGAACTTTAGCTATATAAAGCAACAACAATAATAAGCAACAACAAATACAAAACCAAGGTAGAAAAATATACTATTTAAAAATAACATGAAGGAGGTAAGATGCGTTAAAAAGATGGGGTAAATCTCTCTAAAGTCTTTGAACTATTCAAGAAAAGAAGATTAATTTTAGATGTAAGTATGCTAAGTATTCATGTTAAAACTCTAAGGATGTCACTAGAGGAATAGAACCAGAATATATCACTTTTATACCAGAGAGTGAGAAATAAAGAAAACTTAACCTATTAAAATATAGGAAGAGAAAGAAAGAAACATAGAAAAAGCAAGGTAAATAAAAGGTACGGGATAAAATGATTCAGTAACTACAAAGAATAAAACCTGCCAGCTTGAGTGAAAAACAACAAAACAAAATTTTAATGTGATATATAAGACATTCGTCTAAAATGTAAGAGCAGGAAAAAGTAGAAAGTAAGCCTAATTATGCATGCAGGGTTTTTTTGTAAAAATATCAAAATTTGATATTTTCCAAGAGTGGTTATTTAATATTTGAGCATCAACATTTGCTTTTTTTGGTTAATCAATATTAGTGATAAATTTTCCCATTTTGTAAAACGTAAAAAATAATCTGTAATATTAAATTCAATATATAGGTTTCACCTGCCTATTAACTTTTACTATTTGTAGAAACACTACATTATGGTGCTGGTGTAATACTAAATTTGTTTCCATTGAACCATAATATACTTCTTGGCCCTAAAGGTAAATATTACACATTGTGAATGTTCCTAACATACTGCACTGGGGATAAACACATTTTAAATCAGGTCATTGCTCAAAGCTGAAATCTCCTACCAATTGCAATTGGTCTGTTTAGAGATGAAATGAGTAAGACTGGTTTTTAAAAAGCTGTAAGTTTTTATTTCCTGTTACTGATACATATTATTTTACACATTTATGGGGTACTTGTGATACTTTGTTATATGCATAGAATGTGTAATGATGAAGACAGGGTATGTGGGGTATTTGTCACCTTGACCATTTCAGTGTGTTAAGAACATTTTAAGTACTCTCTTCTAGCTACTTAACATGCAGTACATTATTGCTAACCATAATTGCCCTACTCTGTTATCAAACATTAGAATTTTTACCTTCCACCTAACTGTATGTTTGTATCCATTAACTACCATCTCTTCATTCCACCCTCAACCCCCACCCCACCCGTTCCAGCCACTGGTATCTATAATCTTGGTACATTTTATTTTTTGTAATATAGAAAGAATATTTTATTTATTTTTAAATTTTGGATTCAGTGGGTACATGTGCAGGTTTGTTACATGGGTATATTGCATGATGCTGAGGTCTGGGCATCTAATGAGTTCATCACCCAACTAGTGAACATAGTACCTGATAGTTAGTTTTTCAACCCTTACCTTCCCTCCTTTCTTCCCTCCCTGCCTACTTTTGCATTCCCTAGTGTTTATTGTTCCCATCTTTGTGCCCATGTCTACCCAATGTTTAGCTCTCACTTATAAGTGAGAACATGTAGTATTTGGTTTTGTTTCTGCATTAATTCACTTAGGATAATGGTCTTCAGCTGCATCCATGGTGCTGCAAAGGACATGATTTCATTCTTTTTTCTGGCTGCATAGTATTCCATCATGTATGTGTACCACATTTTCTTTATTCAGTCCATACTATTGATGGACACCTGGGTTGACTCTATGTCTTTGCTATTGTGAATAGTGCTACAATAAACATATGAGTGCAGGTATCTTTTTGGTAGAATGATTTATTTTTCTTTGGTTGTATACACAGTAATGGGATTGCTGGTTTGAGTGCTAAGTCCATTTTTAGTTCTTTCAGAAATCAACAAACTGCTTTCCACAGGGGCTAACTAACTTACATTCCCACCAACAATGTATAAGTGTTCTCTTTCCTCTGCAGCCTCACCAACATCTTTTATTTTCTAACTTTTGAATAACAGCCATTTGAATATTGTGAGAAGGTATCTCATAGTGGCTTTGATTTGCATCTCTCTGGTGATTAGTGATTTGAGCATTTTTTTCATGTTTGTTGGCTGCTTGTATATCTCTTTTGAGAACTGTTCAAACGTGGACCTTTGCCCACTTTTTGATGAGGTTATTTGTTTTTTGGTTGTTCAATAGTTTAAGCACCTTACAGATTCTAGATATTAATCCTTTGTCAGATGCATAGTTTTAAAATAATTTCTTCTGTTCTATAGATTGTCAGTTAACTCGTTTGACAGTTTCCTTTGTAGCATAGAAGCTCTGTAGTTTAATTAGGTCCCAGTTGTCAATTTTTGTTTTTGTTGCATTTGCTTTTGAGGACTTTGTCATAAATTCTTTGCTTAGGCCACCATCTGGAAGAGTATTTCCTAGGTTCTCTTCTAGGATTTTTAGTTTGAGGTCTTACATGTAAGTCTTTAATCCATGTTGGGTTAATTTTTCTATATGGTAAGAAGTAGGGGTCAAGTTTTATTCTTCTGCCTATGGTTAGCCAATTTTCCCAGCACCATTTATTGAATAGGGTATCCTTTCCCCATTGTTTATTTTTACTGACTTTGTTGAAGATCAGTTGGTTGGTGGTGTGTGACTTTATTTCAGGGGGTCCGTATTCTGTTCCATTGGCCTATGTATCTATTTTTGTACCAGTACCATGCTGTTTTGTTTACTGTAGCCTTGTAGCATAGTTTCAATTCAGGTAATGTGATGCTTCCAGCTTGATTTTATTTTATTTTATTTTTTTTTGCTTAGGTTTGGCTTGACTACTTGGTCTCTTTTTTGGTTCCATGTGAATTTTAGAATAGCTTTTTCTAATTCTGTGAAAAATGACATTGGTAATTTGATAGGAATATCATTGAATCCATAGATTGCTTTGGGCAGTATAAATATTTTAATGATATTGATTCCTCCAACTCATTAGCATGAAATTCTTTTCCATTTGTTTTTGTCATCTGTGAGTCTTTCAGCACTGTTTTGCAATTCTCCTTCTAGAGATCTTTTGCCTCCCATGTTAGATGTATTTTTAGATTTTTTTTTTTTAGTGGCTATTGTAAATGGTATTGCATTCTTAATTTGGTTCTCAGCTTGAATGTTATTGGTATATAGAAATGCTAATTTTTGTGTTTCGATTTTCCGTCCTGAGAGTTCGCTGAAGTCATTTATCATGTCTAGGAGTCATATAGTGGAATCTTTAGGGTTTTCTAGATATAGAATCATATCAGCAATGAAAAGAGATAATGTGACTTTCTCTTTTCCTATTTAGATGCTGTAGTAGTCCATTCTCACACTTCTATAAAGAAATGCCCAAGTCTGTGTAATTTGTAAAGGAAAGGGTTTTAATTGGCCTCAGGAAATTTACAATCATAGCAGAAAGCAAAGGGCAAGCAAGGACCTTCTTCACATCCAGCAGGAGAGAGAAGTTCAAGCATGTGAGAGCACAGGAAAAACTCCTGTTTATGAAACCATCAGATCTCATGAAAATTCACTCACTATCATGAGAACAGAAAGGGGGAAACTGTCCCCATAATGTAATCACTTCCCTCCCTTGAGAGGTGGGGATTACAATTCGAGATGAGATTTGAAGTTTGGGACAGAGAGCCAAACAAACCATATCAGATACCTTTTATTTCTTCCTCTTGCCTGATTGCTCTGGCTAGGACTTTCAGTACTATCTTGAATAGGAGTGATGAGACTGGATATCTTCTTAGGGGGAATACTTCTAACTTTTGCCTGTACGGTATGATATTGGGTGTGTGTTTTTCATAGATGACTCTTATTATTTTGAGATGTGTTCCTTCGATGGCTAGTTTGTTGAGGGTTTTTATCATGAAGGATGTTGGATTTAATGAAAGCATTTTTCTGTGTCTGTTGAGATGAATGATCATCTCAATAACAATAAATAACAAAAAATCGTTTTTGTTTTTAATTCTATTTATGTAATGAATCACATTTATTGATTTGCATATGGTGAACTATCCTTGCATTCCAGGAATAAAGCCCACTTGATCATGGTGAATTAACTTTTTGATGTGCTGCTGGATTCGATTTGCTAATATTTTGTTGAGGATTGATTGGTCTCTGTTCATCAGGGATATTTCGTATTGTATCTTTACCAGATTGGGATAGGGAGTTAGGGAGGAGTCCCTCCTCCTTGACTTTTTGTAATAGTTTCAATGGGATTGGTACTAGCTCTTTGCGTATCTAGTAGAATTGGTAGAATTCAGCTGTGAATCAATCTGTTCCAGGGCTTTTTTTGGTTGGTAGTTTTTTTAAATTACTGATTCAGTTTCATCACTTGTTCGATATTGTTGTTTCTTCCTCATTCTATCTTGGGAGGTTGTGTGTTTCAGGGAATGTATCCATTTCCTCTAAATTTTCTAGTCTGTGTGCATAGAGATGTATATAGTAGTCTCTGAGGATCTTTTATATCTCTCTGGGATCAATTGTGATGTCATCTTTGTCATTTCTGATTGTGCATAGATTTATTTCTTTGTTAATCTAGCTAACAGTTTATCAATTTTATTTATCTTTCAAAGAACCAAATTTTTTATTTTGTTGATCATTTGGATGGTTTTTTGGGTTCTCAATTTCATTTAGTTCTGTTCTGATTTTAATTATTTTTTCCTTCTACCAGCTTTGAATTTAATTTGTTCTTGTTTTTCTAGTTCCCTTAGGTGCAAGGATAGGTTGTTAATTTTGAGATTTTTCTGTTTTCCTTTTTTTTTTTTTTTTTTTGAGATGGAGTCTTGCTCTGTGTCCCAGGCTGGAGTGCAGTGGCATGATCTCGGATCACTGCAAGCTCCGCCTCCCGGGTTCACAGGATTCTCCTGCCTCAGTCTCTGGAGTAGCTGGGACTACAAGGTGCTCGCTACCATGCCCAGCTAATTTTTTGTATTTTTTTAGTAGAGACAGAGTTTCACCATGTTAGCCAGGGTGGTCTCCATCTCCTGATCTCTTGATCCGCCTGCCTCAGCCTCCCAAAGTGCTGGGATTACAGGCATGAGCCACCGCGCCCAGCTAAGATTTTTCTGTTTTCTTGATGCAGTCATTTAGCACTACAAACTTTCCTCTGAATGCTTTTGCCACATCCCAGAGGTGTATGTGTCTCTATTTTTGTTTGTTTAAAAGAATTTTTTGATTTTTACTTTAATTTCATTGTTTATCCAGAAGTCATTCAAGACTTTTATGTAATGATATCCATATATAGTTTGTGTGGTTTTGAGAGTTCTTCATGGTGTTGATTTCTATTTTTATTCCACCATGGTCTGAGAAGATGTTTCGTATGATTCATTTTTTATTTATTTTATTTTTTAATTTAGTTTTTTCAAAAAATTTACCAAGACTTGTATTATGACCAAGCATGTCAGCAATCCTGAAATATGTTCTGTGTGCAGATGAGAATAATATATATTTTGTTGTTGTTGGGTGGAGTATTCCATAGATGTCTATTAGGTTCAATTAATTAAGTGTCAAATTTAAGTTCAGATTTTTGTTTGTTTGTTTTCTGCCTTGATGATCTGTTTAATAGCTTTTGTGGGGTGTTAAATTCTTCCCTTATTATTGTGTGGCTATATAAGTCTTTTCTTAGGTCTAGAAGTAATTGTTTTATAGATTTGGGTGCTCCAATGTTGGGTGCCTATTTATTTGTTGAATAAAACCCTTTATCATTATGTAATATTACTTTTTGTCCTTTTTATTGTTAAAGTCTATTTTATCTGATATAGGAATAACAACCTCTGCCCTTTTTTGTTTTTACTTGCATGATAGATCTTTCTCTATAGAAAGATTTTTACTTTGAGAAAGATCTTTCTGTATAGATAGATCTTTACTTTGAGAAAGATCTTTCTGTATAGATAGATCTTTACTTTGAGCCTTTGTGTGTCATTACATGTGAGATTGCTCTCTTGAAGACAGTAGAAGGATGGGTCTTGTTTTTTCATCCAGTTTGCCACTCAGTGTCTTTTAAGTGGAGTGTATACATTGTTTGCATTCAAGGTTAATATTGATATTTGAGGTTTTCTTCCTGTGTGGTGTCGTTAGCTAGTTGCATGGTAGTCTCAACTGTGTAGTTGCTTTATTGGGTCTGTAGGCTATGTGCTTGCATGTGTTTTGTGGTAGCAAGTATCATTCTTTCATTTCCATGTTCAGATACCCCACAGGCATTTTTTGCTAGTGATCAGTTCCTTTAGCGATTGCTTGTCTGGGAACAACTGTATTTCTCTTTTGTTTGTGAAGCTTAGTTGGGTGGGATATGAAATTCTTGGCAGAAATTTCTTTTCTTAAAGAATGCTAAAAATGGGTCCCCAGTCTCTTTTGGCTTATAAGGTTTCTGCTGAGAATTCTGCTGTTAATCTCATGGATTTTCTTTTATTGGTGATGTGATTCTTTTCCATGGCTGCCTTTTAAGAATTTTTGCATTGATCTTGGATAGTCTGATGACTGTGTGTCTTGGGGAAGGTCATCTTGTATAGTATCTTGCAGGAGTTCTCTGGATTTCTTGTATCTGCATGTTGACCAATTTAAGCAAGATTAGAGAAACTTCTTAATTATATCCTCAAATATGTT
This sequence comes from Homo sapiens, assembly GCF_000001405.40. NCBI lineage: Eukaryota > Metazoa > Chordata > Mammalia > Primates > Hominidae > Homo > Homo sapiens. Next base: position 93,973,486 of record NC_000005.10, on the reverse strand, counting down.
TTCCTAGTTGCTTACTTTCTCTTCTCACTCAGGAATGCCAGTAAGTCATAGATTTGGTCACTTTACATAATCCCATATTTCTTGAAGGCTTTATTCAGTTTTTACAATTATTTTTTCTTTATTTTTGTCTGGGTTGACTTGGAAGGGCCAGTCTTTGAGCTCTGAGATTCCTTCTTCTGCTTGATGTATTCTGTTGTTAAGACTTTCAATTGTAGTTTGAAATTCCTGGCTGGGCACAGTGGCTCACGCCTAGAACTATTCATGTTAGAACTACTGGGAGGCCAAGTTGGGAGGATTGCATAAGTTCAAGGAGTTCAAGACCAGCCTGGCCAACATAGTGAGACCTGGTTTCTATGAAAAAAATTTAAAAATTATCTGGGCATGGTGACATGCACCTGTAGTCCCAGCTGCTTCAGTGGCTAAAGTGGGAGGATCAGTTGAGCCCAGGAGTTTGAGGCTGCAGTGAGCTATGATCATGCTACTGCATTCCAGCTCGGGCAACAGAGCGAGACTGTCTCAAAAAGGAAAAGAAAAAGAAATTCCTGTAGTGAGTTTTCTCTTTTTTTTTTTTTTTTAAGAGACAAGGTCTCCCTATGTTGCCCAGGCTGGTCTTGAACTCCTGGGTTCAAGAGATCCTCCTGCTTTGACCTTACAAAGTGCTAAGATCACAGGCGTGAGCCACCACAACAAGCCCCCTGTAGTGAATTTTTCAATACCAGAAGTTCCATTTGGTTCTTTCTTAATATAGCAGCTATGTCATCTTCAGTTTCTGAATTGTTTTTCTGATTTCTTCATGTTGGATTTCAGCTTCCTTCTGGGTCCCATTCAGTTTCTTTGCCACCCATATTCTGAATTATCTGTCATTTCAGAATTTTTATTCTGGTTAGGATCCATTGCTGGGGAACTAGTGGGATCATTTAGAGATGATGAAACACTCTGGCTTTTTCTATTGCCAGAGTTCTTGCACTGTTCATTCTCATCTAAGAGAGCTGATACTTCTCTCTCTCTTTTTTTTTTTTAGTTTGCTATCATTTGGATGGGGCGTCTTGATTTGTTATTCTTTTTTCCCTTGTGGGTATGACTGTGGTGTGTATTGTTTGTGATTGATTGGATTTGTTTCTTGGCGCTTTCAGGGTGCCAAGGCTCTATATAGGTTTCTTGGATATAGATAGGTTTGTTAACTGGCTTTCTCAGATGTTGCTTGTTTTAGCAATGTAATTTTGATTGGTCGTGTATTTCAGGCTACAGTCAGTAGGTAGCACTTAATTGTAAGAGCTGGTTGGTGGGTGCAGGAGCAGAGGCAATGGAGAAGCATGAAAAGCACCCTCCCCCAGCCAGTGTTCACCTTCAGTAGGGGTGAAGCCACTGGAGAAACTCAAGAAGTTGTCTCTTTAAGGCCATGCTCATAAATCCTGGTGGGAAAAGCCTTTGCCAAGTTCACAACAGTGAACTGAGAAAAGGGGCAGGGAGGCGAGAGATTACTCCCCTCGTCCTTGTCCATTCAGAGGCTTTGGTGGGTGCTTCCTTCAGCAACTGGCACCACTCTTGCATTTCCTTTGACCCAGGTAGGACTTTGGCAGGATTTGCTCCCTACTCCTTCGGTGGCAGACCATGCCAAGGATTAGATTTCCAGGTGTGAGATCTGCCTCCCTTCTGCTCCTGAGACCTGGTGGGGCACTATCCCCCATTTATTGGTATATTTTAAATTGAGGAATCCAACCAATTATTCAGTTACATACTGAATACAAAGATCTTGAAGCCTCTGCCTCTCAAAATAAATGGTTTGGGGATTTTAAATTGTATTTTTATTAATCATAATAAGCAAAGTGAAACTAAGTAACATGGAATAGATAGAATAAATATTGTATTTTTGTTTTATTTATTTATTTATTTATTTATTTATTTATTTATTTATTTTTGAGACGGAGTCTTGTTCTCATTGCCCAGGCTGGAGTGCAATGGCGCTATTTCAGCTCACTGCAACTTCTGCCTCCCAGGTTCAAGTGATTCTCCTGCCTCAGCCTCCCAAGTAGCTGGGATTACAGGCTTGCACCACCATGCCTGGCTAATTTTGTATTTTTAGTAGAGACAGGGTTTTGCCACGTTGGCCAGGCTGGTTTCGAACGCCTGATCTCAGGTGATCCACCTGCCTCGGCCTCCCAAAGTTCTGGGATTACAGGTGTGACCCACCGTGCCTGGCTAAATATTGTGTTAAAAGTGAAAGTTTTTGGGAGGCCGAGGCGGGCGGATCACGAGGTCAGGAGATCGAGACCATCCTGGCTAACAGGGTGAAATCCCGTCTCTACTAAAAGTACAAAAGATTAGCTGAGCGTGGTCGTGGGCACCTGTAATCCCAGCTACTCGGGTGGCTGAGGCAGGAGAATGGCGTGAACCCAGGAGACAGAGCTTGCAGTGAGCTGAGATCGCACCACTGCACTCCAGCCTGGGCAACTGTGCAAGACTCCATCTCAAATTAAAAAAAAAAGCGAAAGTTTATCTTCAAAATATTTTTAAACTTTCAATATAGTAAGAGCTTATAATATCAAACTTCATTTACATTTGTGATACATTGTAGTGTGATAAATCATATTGCTTGTTTTGACTCCTTTGGGCTCATTTGTGAAATCAGGGCTTTCTAAGCAAACGAATAATGTTAAAAGAAGATGCTTATGTAAAAGTAAACTATTTTCAACTGTTTTGTAAGTATCCATTTAATGTAAACATGATATATGTAATTATTTCAAGCAGAAAACAGAGTGTTATTATCACTTAAGTGTATTCATTATAAATGACTTAATTTCATTCTGCCATTTAGAACCAAATTTCTACTAGGCAATGATTTATTATCCTAAGGCTGTTTACAAATTGTTTCTTTTCTTTTTTTTGGTTGTGGGGAGAATCAAACCCCAGTGTCCCACATAACAGGTAGGTATACTTACCGCTATGCAAGCACAGAAAAAATGGTTTATTTTAAAATATTTTAAGCATTTAAAAGTTATTTTTCTTTTAAAATGTTTCAGATGTTTAAAAACTTTTAAAAAATGATTTCTTCTAATGTTTTAGTTCATATTTTATTAATTCAGATACTTAGTCTGTTTTCTAAGATTTTATTTGGTTGAAAGAGGCATAAAAATTTTATAGATATATTTAAATCTTTTAGAGTTTCCCTTTTGATTCAATTTATCCACCTTTACGTTTAAAGTCAGGATTCTCTTAGCATTTACGTGTCATCTATAGGGATGGGTATGACTGGTGATGTATGGGTATTGGTGTTTTATGTCTTGGGCTGATGTTCTTACTCTCCTAATATGCCTAATATAGAAATTTTTTATCTTATGTAGTTAATAAAGTTGTAAAATAACAGTTGTTATTGCGTGAATCAATAAGGCCAAATTTAGCTTGTTACTATTGAGAAATTTTCTTCTGAGGGAGAAAGAATGAAAGCTTGAATATCTGGTAATAAAATAAACTTTGTGTTTAATTGAAGTATTTATATTATTTACCTTACCTATGCAGTAATATATATTATCGTGTATTACATTTTATTTCTCAAAAGGATCTGTAGTACCTTCTAGGAGGCTTCTTAATGTCACTCTTCCCCACCCCCTTAAATTATAACTAGCTAGAATAATTTCAGTGCTGTTACTGGACTAAAGGTTATCATTGCTGGCTTCTTATTTAATTAAAGACCTGAAGTAATGCTGAGATGAATGAGGAACATGATAAGCACATAGTAAGTGCTTAATAAATGTCAAAAGTAAATTCATAGTAGGATGAATATAACTCTTCCATTGGAAGTGCTCCATAGAGAAGTGATTTTTATTATACTTCATTTTCCTTATTTCTGTGTTTTATTTCATTGATCACCCCTGCTCTCCTTTTAACAATTTTCTTTAATCCCTGCATGCAGAAACTCTGAGCTGGAAAAATTTGAGTCAGACTCTAATTCCTTGAGGGCATTACTGTATTAGTAGTCAGGATATTTATTCCATGAATATATAATCTCAAAATTATTTTTCTGTCACTTCCATTGTGGATTCATTTAACTTTTATCTTTATGGCAGCTTCTTAGGAATCAGAAGAAATCCAGGAAAATTGCCAGGTGTAGTAGATTTTTCTTTCCAGTGTTTCTTTCAAATGACACTAGACATCTTCATGTGTAGTACAAGTACCTTATAACAGAGTATAATCAGTTCTCCTGTCTTGTCGCTTATAACATTGCTGACGTTCATTCTGCTTATCTCTAATCACAAAATACATTGTTGCTGTTATTTTAAACAAACTGTTATCTGTTAGATCAAATAAGAATAATAAAATATTTTATTTTACCTTCATTTCTTTCTTGTCTGACTCTCCTGTTTCTTTGTGTTGATCCAAATTCCTGACCTCTGTAATTTTCATTTTCTCTGAAATAAGTTTTAACATTTCTTGTGAGGCAAGTTTACTGGCAAAAAAAAAAAAAAAAAAAGAAAAAAATTCCCTAAATTTTTATTTGTCTCAGAAAGTCATTATTTCTCCCTCACTTTTGAAGGATAACTTTGCAGGATATAAAATTCTAGGTTGGTGGGGTTTCTTTCAACACTGAGTAATTCCCTCCTCTGTCTTCTTGCTTACATAGTTTGTAAGAGAAGTCCGATGTAATTCTCATCCTTGTTCCTCTGTAAGTAAATTTCCACCCTTCCCCCACCAGCTTCTTTTAAGATTTTCACTTTGGCAAGGTATAGTTTTTTTTGTTTGTTTCTTTGTTTTATTTATCCAGCTTGATGCTGTCTGCACTTCCTGGATCTATTACTTTTTATCTGTCATTAATTTTGGAATATTCTCAACCATCATTGCTTCAAATATTTTCTCTGTTTCTTCTCTCTTCTCCTCCTTGTATTCTCATTATGCATAAGTTACACCTTGTGTGATTGCCCCACAGTTCTCTAATATTCTGTATTGTCTTTTCATTCTTGTTTTCTCTTTGCATTTACATTTTGAGCATTTCCATTAACTTATCTTTAAGCTCATTGAGTCTTTCCTTGGCCATGTCCAGTCTACTAATTAGCCTAATAAACCCAGTCTTCATTTTTGTTACAGTGGTTGTGATCTAACATTTACTTTTTATTGTATCTTGGTTTCCATGTTTCTCCTTACATTACCCATCTGTTCCTGTATGTGGTGCATTTTTCCAATAAAGCCTTAACATATTATAGTTGTTTTAAATTCCTAATCTGATGATTCCACTATCTCTGCTATATCTGAGTCTAGTTCTGATGTTTGGTTTGTCTCTTCAGATCATGGGGGTTTTGTTTGTTTGTTTTTGCCTTTTAGCAGCCTGGTAACTACTTGTTGAAAGCCTGATATCATATATCAGGTAAAAGGAACTGAAGTAAATAGGTCTTTAGTGTGAGATTTTATGTTTATTTGGCTAGGCATTAGATTGTGTTTATTGTTTGCTTTAGCTGCATGTCAGAGGCTACAGTTTCCTCTAGGTTCTTTGTTTTTGTCTCCTCTATTGTCTTTGTTTTTTTTCTAGGGTCCTTAAAAAGGGCCTGACTCTTAGAGTTATTTTAGCTGTAATCCCCTGGTATTTTATAGGAACTCTGTTGATATGGTGGTAACTTAGGGTAGATGGGGAGATATTCTATAGTCCTCTATTAGGTCTCATCTCTTAAATGAGCCGGAGCTGGGCATTTCCCTTTCTGCCAGGTCAGCTAGGTTCTGGTAAAATAGTTTCTCTTCAACTATTGCAGGCATTGTTAAAGACAATAGAGAGCTCTGGAGTATTTTTAAATGGTTACTTTTCCCCTTCCCCTGCAGGAGAGTTTTTATGTAGTCTTCATAGTGAGAACCTAGTAGCCCTCCTGGAAGTAAAACTCATAAAAATTTGTCCCCTCCCCCTTAAGGTTGAACCTCCTCCTAGTTTTTAACTCTTAAGCTAGTCCACACCCCGCCAGCAGTTCCTCCGTTGCAGTTTGAAGTGTTCTTATGTTAGTACTGGCTTCAGCTGAGGTACCCCGTAAACTGATTTTATATCTGCTTGTCTGTCTCTCTCCATTTTCAGGGAAGCAGTTTGCTCTGTGGCCTCACTTCTCTGATGGATCTAATGAGATTTGTTGACTTTCAGTTTGTTCAGCCTTTTTTGTTTTTGTAAGGTCAGTAGTACCTACTTCCAAGCTCTATATACATCAGACCAGACAACGGAAATTCTCTGTTTCTTATTAGAATGAAAACATAATTTTAGAGCCTGCGTAGTCTCTTAAGCCTTTTCTTTTCCATCTATAAACACAGCTCCCAGTGAACATTTGAACACAGATGACATTTGGAAAGAAATACTTTTTTCATCTCCTTTTTGAAATTATCTTTTTCATTTTTTGGTTTTTCTAAATGCAGAGTGCAATTCTATGCAATCTGGAAGGCAATGAATGAGTCCTTGATGCTTTCTTCCTAAGCCTTGATTTAGCAATTAGAAAATGTTTTTTTTTTTTTAAATCTTGAACTTGTATCTCCCTCAAAAGATGTAGACAGGATGGACAGAGAGGAGAATTCATGTACAATTTTAAGTATCTTCTGTTTGCCAGAGTATCCTGTGAATACAAGAAGGAATAAAGGTAGGAGACCGAAATTATAGTGTTCTATAAGTAGATGTGTAACAGACAGGTAACGATATTCGAGTAGTATGTTAGACAATGATATTCAGTCATGTCCAGAGGCAAATAGAGGTGAGACACTTTGCCATACCTTGGAGGGTTGGGATGAGACCGTGAGAGTTACCTGAAGGAGTTGACATGTGATCTGTATTTTGGAGGATGACTAGAGCTGAGGAGAGCATGCTGAACACGGAGAATTGCCTATAAGATAGATGATTTCATCTATGGTTGCTTTTTTCCTACAGTAAGGATTTGGAGATCAAAGCAAATTAGGCAAGTTAGGTAGTGTTTCTCCAACTCTTACTTGATATATAGTTTTATTACTTGGTTTGCTATGTTGCAAATTCCAGACTTGCTCTATCGTGTTTTTCAAAGCTAAATAAGCAATTTTTGAGTTTTTGAATTGTTTTATATTATCCTGTAGTATAAACCTTGAGGATTAACTGATGTACCTAGTAAGAGCTGTTGACTTCTAGTTTGTCCAGCTTTTTTCTTTTTGTAAGGTCAGTAGTATTTAATTTTTTAATTCTCAGATTATGTCTCAAGTATTTGGCATGGTGGTAGAATTCATTTGGATTAAATTTCATTGGTTTTGTTGTTACTTCAAATGTAAGGATATTTTGTGATTTCATAGATAGTAGGATATTTTCAGAAATGTTAAACCACTCATTTTGCTAATCTTATTTAATCTATTTCTCTTAAAGCAGCAGGTCATAATATATAACTTTACACATATGTTTAGTTTGAACCTCCACATTTTTAGTTTACTCTTATAAGTCTACAGTACCACTACATCCCAGTGAAGGTATAATCAACATAATTTTAACTACTATGTTGAAATGTAAGAATACTATTAGTTTAATAACTAGCATTTTATTACCTAGTTCTAATGTAGTGTCATAGCTTTTGAAATTACCATTACCAGCCAAGATAAAGCTGTTCTAGCATACATCTAATATACTGTTTCTAAAATGAAATGAATACGTATACATAGAAGAAAGAATTTTGGACTCCTTGAAGAAAGCAGGATAAAGAATCTATTTTAGATTACGAATACAGCACCAAAGCAATTGACATCTTAATTTTCTAAAAAAATCATCCTGTGATTTTGTTTCATAAAATTTGACTTTTAATTATGTTTCTGCTAAAATTATTCTCTGAGGTATTTTGCATAGATAACTTAAGACATTTTGGGGTGGAGAAACACTCCTTAAAATGACCATTAGTACCATCTATTTAATATTTGTTTTTATTCCAGGTGTCTGTTTCCTTACTCTTTGCCTTCCTTAACAGAAATAGTATGTTGATTTTCTTTTGCTGCTATAACAAATTACTATAAATTTAGAGGCTTAAAGCAACACAAATTTATTATCTTAACAATTCTGTAGATCAGAAGTCCCATATGAGTTTCACTGGGCTAAAATCAAGGTGTGAACAAGCTGTTTTTAGGATCTAGGGGAGAATTCGTTTACTGCTTATAAGGGTTGCTGGCTGAATTCAGTTCCTTGCAGTTGTAGGACTGAGGTCTCATTTTCTTACTGTTGTAAACTGAAGGTTATTCCACTTTATAAAAGCTACCAAATTTCTTGGCTTGTTTTCTTCCTCCATGTTGAAAACAAGCAATAGCCAGTTGAGTCACTTTGCATCTCTCTGACCCACTGTTCTTCTGTAATCTTCTACTTTTAAAGACATACATCACCCAGATAATCCTAGAAAATCTCGCCATTTCAAGGTTCTAAACTTCAGTTATATCTGTTGGTTCATTTAATATGTCACATAACTTATTCACAGGTTCCAGGAATTAGGACATGGACATCTAGAGGAACTGTGTTTCTTCCTAGCATAAGCAGTGTTACTGACAGGTCCCTGACTTTCTGGATGAGTTTTCCTTTTCTGTTTAGAATACCTCTGACTTTTTCCTCCTCGATTCAGTGAACACAAAAGAGGTGTTGAGATTCAGAGTCACTAAGGTGCCATTAATATATTAAATATAATGCCTATAGGAAAATAATAGGAGAAACAAATTTTAGAAACACTGAAAAAAGAAAATATACTTTCAGAGTATTCTCTTGAAAAAGAGAAAGTTGTGTATATTTTTGTTAATGTATATTAATTGTTCCTAATCCTTAATACAAAGGTTCATAGTTATTCATACAGCAGCAGGAAGTAAACCATTATGGGTAATTAGGAGTCTCTTAATATAGTATCAGAGCATTCCAAGATGAAGAGATATTTACTCAGAGCAATAACTTGCAACAATTTACCAAAATTTATGTCAGTTTTGATAATGGATGACATTGGATCTTAATGTGTTATTTCTTTCCTACTTAGATCATCACGAAGTATGTATATGAGCTCCTGGAAAAGGATTGTAATTTGAAAAAAGTATCTATTCCAGTAAGTCAAATTTTAAAGAAATGTTTATTTCAAATGAAATGTTTATTTCCAAGTAAAATAGTTTTTAATTCAGAAGAAAACTTTTGTTTTGGGTTGACTGTGATAAGTTTAAATGTTAGGGTTTATTGTGTTGATAGCGATAATTTTAAATGCTTATTAGTATACCTCATCTCATTCTGCACAGTAGTTCTTATAAAGAATACTCTTCAGTATAAAGTAAAAACCGATTTCTAGTCTCTTTGAAAATGATGACTCAATTAAAAGGATTACCCTTACCTGTACCCTTTCTCATTTCACTGGAATAATTTATTTTTATTTATTTGTAGTAAACCAGTGCAGTTTTTGTTACATTAGACATTCACTATCTCTTTAAATATTTCTTGGTTTTTAAAAATATGTCTTATTTCTACACATAGTATGTTGTTTCCTCTATACATTCCCAAATTCATTCCTGGTGCTTCCTGTTTCATAACCCTGCTCCTTCCCTTTTTGGCAGAACCTTTTTTTGAATCTTGCACATTTTGACATTTCAGAGTGAAAAAGTTTGAGATTTGTTCTCAGACTCAAATTGTCAAAAAACAAAACGAAACAAAAAACACAAACCCCTGTTATTTTAAATGTAAACCACAAAATATTAAGCTTTAAAATGAAGAGATTGTAATCGTGTGTGAAACGGTGGTTGGACTAGATTGGAGGATCTTTGCCGTCCCTGACAACTTTATGATTTTATGATATATAAGAATCTGGGAGACTTAATGAAAGTAGTTCATTTAAGGCACAACACTTTGCATATAGATAATTTTGTTTGCATGAAATGTTGCACGAGTTTTAAAAATTCTTTGGATAGTGCTATTTTATTATAAATTCGAGGGTTTGAGGATTTCTTAATATTGTCCCCTCTCCAGAACTGATTCCATAGTTCCTTTTTTAAAGGAAACCTTTTTATTTGATTTTCCGTAAGTAACCTCAAGTGCAAGATCACATTATTAGTCATTCACTCATTATTCATTTATTCAACATATATTTATTTAAATGTTTTTTAGGTGATGGACACTGGTCCAAGTGCTTATGATGGATTAGTCAATAAAATATTATTCTGTGTAACAGCTACATCAACCCTTGGTTTATTTGGAAATTTTTCTTCCTTTACAGACAAGATTTTAGTACCTTTCTGGGAATGAATATACCAGTCTTTTTTGAATTTAAACTTACTGTCTTAGTTTTGACTTTAGGCCTAGCATTTTACTTCATTTAAAGTATATATTGAAATTTGGTCTTCTGGAAAGTCAGGGTAGAATTTTGTCACTTTGCCCAGTTTTCCTTTCTTGTTAATTTTATTTCTTTCAGAGTTTCTGAAGAATGATATTTAAAGAGCATTAGGTTAATTTATTGATACAACACAATTAATATTGAGTCTGCTAACTCTATAATACTTCTAGTTCTAGGGAACCCTTAAACTCACTTCAGTCTCCAAATTTCTAGAACAAATCACAAAATAATTGGCTGTATACAGCATGTTATATGTTTAAGTTTCATTATTGATCTCTATAGATGGAAGAGAACTCTGTATTATGGATCTGATTATCCTTTGATTTTAAATTTGGAATATAAAGCTAATAAGCAAGAGAGATTTACTTTATATGAAACTTAAGCATCATGCCCATCTTTGGTTAATAAAGTTTCCCTTATTTTGTAAACTTAAAAACTCTGAATTTTGTCTTAGGAAATTAATATTTCCCTTTAAATTATCACATATTTGGTACTGTTGTGAAACTTCTCTTCACAACTATTTTTCAATAGCTATTAGCTTTCTCCCGAGCTCTCTTAAATCTCAGAGTGAGAGTGGGTTTTTGTATGTGGGTGTCTGTAAATAGTTGTTCTTTTTACTTAAAGAATACCATCAAACCTTTTTTTTCCTGGTGATGAACTCTTTTAGTTTTATAGTTGAAACTATTTTAAAAGGGAAAAAGAACCATTTTTTAAATGACAGCTCTTTGTGGAACCCATGATTTGATAGTAAACATTATGATCATGCCTATGTTTAATCCACATCTCTCATAAATAGGCATAAAGTATTCTCAATTATAGTAAAATATCTCATACTTGTATAGAACTCTGGAGACATGAATTAACAACTTCACTACAAATTTTCACGTAGTTTATTACATGCATCATGTTTCAGCAATTAATGGTGTTCACGAGTATTCCACAATGAATTGGTGACTGCTAAAATTGTTTGGTGCAGTCTTACCAACCAAAAGGTGTCTGAGATTGATTTGTAATAAAGTGAGGTGGTTCGCTGGAATGACCATTATGTGTATTCCTTAATGAAAGCTTAGCTTAATAAATTACCACTGTTTGAAGATAAATGGCCTTGGAACAGCCGTATGTTCAAACTTAATTAGGTTAATGAAGAAGAAATTATTTTATTAATATAGGTATCTTACTATTTAAAATTAGCACTATCTTTATAGAAAGTACATTGTAGTTACCATGTGCACAGTCAGAGTTCTGTGTAAACTGAGGTGAATATTAGCCAATGACCAGCTAAAATACTGCTCTTACCCCTTACTCATTAATATTGTTACATTTTTCATTTTCATTGTTGTTTTTCTTTAATATTCTGATATTCTCATATTTTGAAAGTCAACTTTTCTCAGTATTCAAGTAAAACTTTAATTTATTCATGGCTACCTTAATTTGTAGCCCCTTAAAAATTATTTAGCAGTGTTTTTTTTTAAAATGTGATTCCCTTTTCCCTCTTTTTTCTTTTTTGAGACAGAGTCTCACTCTGTTGCACAAGCTAAGTGCTGTGGTGCAGTCATGGCTTAGTGCAGCCTTGACTTCCTGGCCTCAAGCAATTCTCCAGCCTCAGCTTGCCAAGTAGCTGGGACTACAGGTGCACACCACCACACCTAGCTAATTTTTGATTATTTGTAGAGACAGGGTCTCACTATGTTGCCCAGGTTGGTTTCGAACTCCTGGACTCAAGTGGTCCTTTATCGAGCAGCATTTTAATATAAAAAATACATTTTTATCATCTGAAAATAAGTTTCTTTCAGTTCTAAGTGATTACTGTGGACTTCAAAGTGCCAGTATTCCATTGCTTAAAAAATTGACTGAGTTTCTTGGTAACAGGGGACTTAGTCAAATAGGAAAAAAGAGACAGTGATCAGCACCTACTGGAATATCTGTACTACAGGTTTTTTCATGAAGGTGAATAGATATCCATCTCCATAGCCATTCCAGGATCCATTAAGGCCTCACTGACCTTAAGAGACACTTTTCTTTGTGCGTGTTTAGACATAGTGTTTGGTAATTGAGTGACTAGAAACCCCTGTGGCCTCTTTCTTGTTATACACTGACAGCTCTGCCTTTCAATTTTTTTATTTTGTTCTTATCATCATTACTTTTTTTTTAGGCTTCTTTAACTGAGCAATTCTCCTATTTTTATATAATGTTCCTAGGTAAAAGGGAATTTTTCTTCTTAGGTTTGGTTTTCCTGTGTCTGTCATCCACTTATCTTTCTGTGTGGCTGTAGTCATATTTATTGTCATCATTATACTTTGTTTACTCTGGACATAGCATGCAGGTGAAGCTAATATGATTGTGTTACACTTCATATCTCTCTTCCTGTATTTTTAGCTATTGCTAATAAAATTATAGTTATGTCATTTTAATTCTTTAACATTGTATAGCTCTTGTAAAATTCTCTATAATTATGTACTAGTTTAATCTTCAGTATATGCTTTCTGAACCAGGCAAGTATTATAACCATTTTAGAGGATCCATTATTTAGTTAAATGTCTTTTATCTAAAGGAAGTCACTGGTGAGGCTTGATAAGATTCCTCATTCCAAAAGTTTATTGTTTTTAATTACTGAGTGCCTACAATGTGCTAGGTTTTATTTTAGGTACTGAGACTATATAAGTGGATACAAACGAGAGAACTCTGTGCCTGCCTGGACTTACGTTCTAGTGGAGGGAGCAGGCCGTGAATAAACACATTTGCAAAAATGTAGAGTAAAGCATACAATATGTTAGATCTTGGTATGTGCCGTGGAGGAAAATAAAACAGGGAAGGGGACTATGGAATTCTCGGGACATGTTTGGAATTTTAAAAGTGGTAGTCAGGGAAGGCTTCAATGAAAAGGTGTTATTTCTTCTTTAAGACCTGTGTCCATGCTGCTCTTGCTGAAATAATTGCCATTTTTGCTGTGTTTGCACAAATGCCTAAGCCATCTCTTACTGAAACTAGCCTGATTGTTTTAGAAGTACAGATATTTTATTTTATTTTATTTTATTTTATTTTTCTCTTCCTAAGCGTAATGACTGGGAGTATTTAGAATCCAGGGCTTTTTTTGGGGGGGGGGGGGGCATCTAGAGTTTTTGTATACTTCCTATTTTGATAATTGTATGAACATATACAGTTGACAAAGTGAAGAGCTATTACGTTACACAATATGTGGATTGACCTTCTTTATGTAAGAGTACCAGCCACCAGAATGTCAACTTTCTGCTTGATCTGGCTATTGAAAGGCTTCCATTTCCAGTCACTCGCCAGTGCTGATGTGGTATACCACTCAGTGTGTCATGGCATATGTAACAAAAGGTTGGGAAGTTATCTCTTTCTAAAAGTGTTTTGTGTCTTTCAAATGTAAATCATACATCATATAGTTAACAATCTAAATATTAAGTACAATCAAAATGGATAAAAATATTTACTTTTTATTCTGTAAGTAACTAGTTTATAAAGTAAGTTCATTGGAGTACATAATGTGGCTTTGTAAAAATAATTGTTATATAATCCTGTGTTCACAATCTGAATGAAATTTGGAAGTCCATTTACATAGATCAGGTAAGAATAGAATAGATGGTTAGTTTTTAAATAGTTTCCTCTTCTTCCCCTTAAAAGTTTAGTGGTATTCCTGGCTGATATATGATTTTCCAATACGTCTATCTCCAATTTTAGTTTTCTATTTTTTATTATAGGTGCAATATATTTCTGTTATACAACTATAGACTTATAGTTGTGTGACCGTGGGCAACTTATTTAAACTCCCTAAGCCTCAATTTCTTCATCTATAAATCAATATAATAATAGTACCACCTAAATGGGTTGTTATTGAATGAGATAATGTTTTTACAACAGGTAGCATAGCAGCTAGACTATAGGAGGCACTAAAAAAGTAGTTATTTTTATTTACAATGATAATATAATACTAAATATACAATAATAATGAAGAGAAACATATTACCAATATTTTTTGTATTTTTATATTTAAATTACTATCATGTCTTGTCCCATCCAACTAATATATAATTGTTAACCTCTACTGAATATTTTAATTTTGTGTTAAAATTGTTTTTTACTTCTATAATTCTATAGTAACCATTTAATACTTTGTAACAGCCATTAGTTGTTTTTTCATTTATGTGTATGCCTGATCAGAAGACATTTATTTATTATTTAATTTTATTTAATTACAGGTAGATGCCACTGAGAGTGAACCAAAGAGTTTTATCTTTATGAGTGAGGATGCTTTGACAAATCCACAGAAACTGATGGTTTTAATTCATGGTAGTGGTGTTGTCAGGGCAGGGCAGTGGGCTAGAAGACTTATTATAAATGAAGATCTGGACAGTGGCACACAGATACCGTTTATTAAAAGAGCTGTGGCTGTAAGTACAATTTCCTGGGTTTTTTTTTTTGGCATTTTATAGTACTGTTTTATTATATGTTTTTATGTTTCTTCAAAAAGTATATCCTAAGCATAATCTTATCTTTGGGTTGTTATTATTTATTTTACTTGTATGAAAGATTATTCTGCATTATTTTGCAGTTACAAAGAAACACAAAGTGGCATCTTGAGCATACAAAGATTTAAATAATGTCTTTTGAGTGAATTATTTTTCTAAAATATTTTTAATCCTGTGAAATATGACAGGGTTAATATTTTCTAAAAATATTTTTAATCCTGTGAAATATCAATTATCAAACTATCAAATATTTATCAACATTATTGAAAATAACTTCTGACAAAAATATCATGACTGCTTTTGTAAACCTTTGCCTACCTAATTTGGTAAAGTTAGAAACTAAAGGAGATCTGCTACTTTGAATTAATCTCATATTATTTAAAGGAAGAGTTGGAATAACTAAATTTTTTTGTCGTTTCTTTAAAATGTTTTTTAGAGCCCACAAATAAAATGCTTTAAGCATGAGACATAGACATACAGAATGGCAAAATGTAATGTTTAATGAATACTTTATTCTTATTTGCATTCAAACTTTTTAGAAACTCCTATTTTTAAATTGTGTTCAAGGTTTCTTTTCTTGCAATAGTGAAATGTTTTTCTGACATAATATTGGCATATTTTAATGTTTGACTGCTTTTGTTTTACTATTGCATTCATAAGTTCCATAGTGAACAGCCCAATTTTGCAAAGTGTGAATTTCTTTCACATGAGTAGATTTTTTTTTTAGAAAAACATAAACTGATATCTTGTATCAGTTTTGTAAAAAGTAAAAAGTCTTTTGTAAAAAGACTTTTGTAAAAAGTAAAGGAATATATGTGTCCATGTAGGCTTTATTTGTTTTATTTATAAGAATTATTACGTTTGTAATTAAAATTAGAAGGGATTTCTTTAATACGCTGATGATTACAAAAGTCAAAGGTAACATGTTCTCTATTCTGTTAACTCAGAAATGAGAAATGAAGGCTCAGCCCAGCTCCTAAAAAACATTTTGGTTAATAGATTTTGAAACCCTTAAAATGCTAAAAGTAGAATTTCTTAGGTTAACTATATGTTTTTTTTTCCCACTTTTTGTGGATAGGCAAAGAATGGAAAGATACTACTTTTGATCTGGTTGCTAATTTCGACAGTGTATATTTTAGTAGAATTGAAGTAACAAAAATAAATTGAAGTTTAGACTAAATTAACTCACATAAAATATTATGTTTAAACTGTTTCGGATTTCAGGTTTTAAATAGTGAAATGAACTTTCTCTCTGACACATTTGTTTGTAGTTAGAACAGATCCTGTCTATGTATTTTCGGAAGAACATTATATGTAAAATGTGTTCACAATTTGATGAATATTTGAAAATATAACTTAGTAAAGAAAATCGGATGCTTTCAACATGCAGTGCTAGGTGAAATATTTTATGTAGTTATGTTGTCCCTGCTATAGATCACCTAAGCCTTTCCTATTCTGGAATATTTTATTGTTGTGTAAAGATTTCGCAGGGAAAGTCTATATGGAAAACCATGCCAAACATGTTTGTTTGAACAAACTTTGTGGTGATATCCCAAACAGGAGGGAGGAAGTTTGTCAGTAACATTACAATAGTAAGTCATTTTGTTCTTATAAGTAGGAATAGTGTTTTGGGGATAACAGCATTTCACTGTCTTGATTTTTTTCTTCTTAAAAAAATGGCAATTCATGATTCCTTGAAAAGAAGCAGCTGATTTCTAAGCATGCAGCACACGTAAAAATTTTAGTTTATGTATTTAATTCTCCTTATTTCTTAAAAAAATGAATATGAACATTATTATGGTAATTTTCTTCCTGGTGATTTAGAAACAGATCACTTTTAAATCTGGATAAAGTGATTTTACTACTTTGACTTTACCTTTTCATAGTGTTTTCTTCAAGGGTTGCTCTGTGGATGGGGAGGTGTTGGTTGAGGGAAAGATGATGGTATTTTAAGATGCAGGCAGAGGAAGACTAATAAACAGGGAATAAGAAGCTGTCCCATTCTTACTTTTTTTTTTTTTTAAATTAGGCTAGCTCTGCTTTTGTTTTTATTTGTTTGGACTTTTTCTAAAGTTTTATTTAAAGAAAGATTTCCAAAATTTTCCAGAAGTTAGAACCTCTGGTCTGTTTTTCATGATCTGTGGGTTTTCATATCACTACTGAAGTAAATTCTGATATTTTGGGGGCCACACAATATTATCTTTACTCAGTGTTGTTAATAATATTTCCTTATATTCCCTGCAGATTTTTGGTATAAGACTGAAATTCCTAAAATTGGATTCCTATCATTTTATGGTTAAAACCTTTTTTCAATAGTAGAGCCCTGTCTAACTGGACTGGTTTGTGAACAGTATTAAGTTTAAATATGTGAAGCCACTTAAGTTGAAAGGAGGACATGGTGAATATTGGAACCACTCCCACAACAGCCCCTGAGATTTCTTCACCAAATGCCCCAGGGCTCCACAGGTCATAGTTTGAAAATCATAGGTATTCTAATCCTTGCATTTTAGATACTTCAGGACTTTATTATCAAAAGTGTATTAAGAGTTCATGTTGGAGGAATGGTGCATATCAGATAAATCCCCACAAGTGCTTCTGAGGTTGCCATCGCTAATATTCTTGGTGTTTGACAATCTTCATTGCATAATGTGTTACCTGGAGTAAGAAACACTGTTTCACGTAGCCAAGTACCAATTATTCAGCCTCTGATTGTGCAGCTTTAGAGTTACTCATACTTGTTTCTTCTTTGATGGCCTTTACTCACATACACCTTTTTAGGCATTTCCACTGGTCTCTAAAAAGGGGTAAAAAGCAGGAAACTCTATTCATGCCCAAGAGGCAGTGGTAGGAGCAGATGTTGACGTGGTCCAGGCCCAGAGTGAGCACAGGGTCCTGGCCCGCCATGACCCAGCTTCCATAGCAATGTGGGCCAGGCAGTCCCACACAGCTGAGGGTTTATTTATATTTCTCAGGCTCTAGCTATAAGGGGAAATGTAGAACTTGATGGCAGTTATATTTGTGAAAACAAGGATTGAGAAGTTATAGAAACTATTTGTAATAAAATCAGTAAAAAAGTAAAAGTTTAAATTACAAAAGATACTTTCAAAATACTATCTATAAGTGATCTAGGTATTAGTTTTAATAATTTCTGATTACTTCACTAGGATAGCGTTTTCCCTAATTTCTCATAGATGGATTATTCAGAAGAATCTGCTATTTCCATAATTACTTACTTTGATTATAATATTCTTGCTATTATTTCTGAGTTTTAAAAATTAATGCTATTTTTATTAATGTAATTTATACAGTTTGGCTTCCATAACATGGTGGACTGAGCTTATTAATATGAACTTCTCCCAATAAACACACATAAAAATAATGAATAAAATGTAACAAAAATACTAAATACCTAGTTGTATATGAGTGTTCAAAAGACAGAGAAGGAGGAGAGTGGAGGCAGAGGAAGATGGCTAAATAGAAGCCTTCACCAAATGTCCTCACTGCAAGGACATCAAGTTAAACAACATCCACATACAAAAAAGCACCTTCATAAAAACCGAAAATCCGGTGAGCAGTCACAGTACCTGGTTTTAACATTATGTCACTGAAAAAGGCACTGAAGAGGGTAAGAAAGACACTCTTGAATCGCCGATGCCACCCCTTCCCTGTGTCCTGGCAGCAGCAGCATGGTGTGGAGAGAGAATCTGTGCATTTGGGGGAGGGAGAGCACAGTGACTGTGGGACTCTGCATTGGAACTCAGTGCTACCCTGTCACAGCAGAAGGCAACACCAGGCAGATCTCAGTTGGCATCCATGGAGGGAGCATTTAGACTAGCCCTACCCAGAGAGGAATCACCCATCCTAGCAATTGAAACCTGAGTTCCAGCAAGCCTCACAGCACGAGCCAAAGTGCTCTGGGGTGCTAAATAAACTTGAAAGGCAGTGTAGGCCATAAGGACTGCAATTCTTGGGCAAGTACTGGTGCTGTGCTGTGCTTGCTGTGCTGTGCTGTGCTGTGCTGTGCTTAGAGGCAGTAGACTTAGCAAGCAATCTACTGAGATACCAGCCAGGGCAGCTAGGAGAGTCCTTGTGCCACCCCTCCCCCAACCCAGGCAACACAGCTCGCAGCCCAAGAGAAACTCCTTCCCTCTGCTTGAGGTGCTTGAGGAGAAAAGAGGGAAAGGTAAAGAAGACTTTGTCTTGCAACTTGGATACCAGATGAGCCACCGTAGGATAGGACACTGGGCAGAGTCCTGAGGCTCCTATTCCAGACACTAGATTCCAGACGACATTTCTAGATGCATCCTGGGCTAGGAGGAACTCGCTGCCTTGGAGGGAAGGACCCAGTCATTGCAGGATTCATCACCTGACTAAAGAGCCCATGGGCCCTAACTAACCACCAGTGATACCAGGGAGTATGTCATGTGTCTTGGGTGAGACTGAGATGTGCGGCTTCAGGTGAGAGCCAGTACATTCCCAGCTGTGGTGGCAATGGTGAAAGATTCCTTCTGTTTGAGAAAAGCAGGGGGAAAAATAAAGGGGACTTTGTCTTGCATCTTAGGTACCAGCTCGGCCATAGTGGGATAGAGCCCCAACAACCTTCTTAGGGTCCTTGATTCTAGGCCTTGACTCTTGGGCAGTATTTCTGGACCTACTGTGGGCTAGAAGGGAGCCCACTGCCCTTACAGGAGAGTCCTAGGACTGGTAGCATTTACAAGTGGACTGAAGAGCCCTTGGATACTGAGTGAATATTGGCAGTAGCCAGACTGTACTTGCCACAGGTGTGGGGTAGTTGTGGCCATTGGAAGAAACTGCTGCTTGTGGAAAGGGGAGGGGAGAGTGGGAAGGACTTTGTCTTGTGTCTCGGGTGCTTAGCCACAGCAAAATAGAAAACTGGGTAGGTTCCTAGAGTATCTGACTCTATGCCCTGGCTTCCTGATAGTGTCTCTGGAGCTGCCCAGGGCTGAGGGGAACTCACTGTTCTGAAGGGAGGGATACAAGCCTGACTGGTTGTAGAACCGTAGTACCTTGAGTGGACACAGGTGGTAGTTAGGCAGTGGTTACTGCAGGCCGTAGGTGAGATGTAGTACCATACTGGCTTCAGGTCTGACCCAGTGCAGTGCCACTGGTGGCAGCCACAGGGTACTTGTGTCACCCTTCCCCCAGCTCAGGCAGCTCTGCACAAAGGGAAGAGACTCTGGGGGAAAGTAAGACAAGAGTTTCTGCCTGGCAATCCAGAGAATTCTTCCAGATCTTATCCAAAACCAACAAGGCAGTACCTCTACCAGTATGCCAGAGCCATAGCATACTAGGCTTCTGGTGACCCCTAATGCAGATATGGCTGCAGGGACCAAAAACATATAACACAATACCCAAGTGCCTTCGGATACCTGGAAAGCCTTCCCAGGAAGTAGGTGTGCCAACAAGCCCAGATTGCAAAGACTGCAATAAATACTTAACTCATCAATGCCCAGATACCGACAAACATCCGCAAGCATCAAGACTATCCAGGAAAACATGACCTCACCAGGTGAACTAAACAATGCACCAGAGACCAATCCTGGAGAAACAGAGATATATGACCTTTCAGACAGAGAATTCAAGATAGCTATGTTAAGGACACTTAAATAAACTCAAGCTAACACAGAGAAGGAATTCAGAATTCTATCAGATAAATTTAACAAAGAGATTGAAATAATAAAAAAGAACCTAGCAGAAATTCTGGAGTTGAAAATGCAGTTGAAAGACTGAAGAATGTGTGTTTTTTAATAGCTGAATTGATCAAGAAGAAGAAAGAATTGGTGAGCTTCAAGACAAGCTATTTATAAGAGACAAAATAATAAAGAATGAAACATGCCTAGAAGACTCTAGAAAAATGCCTCAAAAGGGCAAATCTAAGAGTTATTGACCATAAAGAAGTGGTAGAGAGAAGTAGAGGTAGAAAGTTTTTTCAAAAGGAAAGTAACAGAGAACTTCTGAGACCTAGAGAGAGATATCAATATCTATAACTTTCTAAGAAAGTTATGGAACTCCAAGCAGATTTAACCCAAAGAAGAATACATCAAGACATTTAATAAATTCCCAAAGGTCAAGGATAAAGAAATGATTCTAAAAGCAGCAAGAGAAAATAAACAAATAATATACGATGGAGCTCCAATACTTCTGGCAGGACACTTTTCAGTTGAAACCTTGCAGGCCAGGGGAGAGTGGCATGATATATTTAAAGTGTTGATGGTAAAAATCCTTTTACCCTAGAATACTATATCTGGGGAAAATATTCTTCAAACACAAAGGAGAGAGAAATAACAACTTTCCCAGACAAACAAAAGCTGAGTGATTTTATCCACACCAGACGTGTTCTACAAGAAATGCTAAAGGAAGTCAGGTAATGTGATTCTTCCAGTTTGGTTCTTTTTGCTCATAACAGCTCTGGCTACTGTCAGTGTTTTGTGGTTCCATATAAATTTCATGATTCTTTTTTCTATTTCTGTGAAGAATGTCATTGGTATTTTGATAGGGATTGCACTGAATTTGTAGATTGCTTTGGATACTATGTACATTTTAACAATACTGTTTCTTCTTCCCTCTACTCATCCTTTTATTACAAAGGTGGCAACTTCCAGGGTCTTACCTATATCCAGGGCTCTTAGTTTTAGTTCCCACCTCTTAGTCCCAAAGGTATAGATCATGTGTGTGTGATACAGATCATGTGTGACCTTGGGTTCATATCTTACCAGCTATCCCTTGAAGTTGCAACACCTTCCAGGGATTTACCACTGTGTTGTAAGTTATCTCTTATATTTAGGAAATCTTTTAGGCATTTAGGAAATCTTTTTCTTTTTCTTTTAATTTTTGTATGTACCTACGTGTATATATTTATGGGGTACATGAGATATTTTGATGCAGGCATACAATAAGCAATAATTACATCAGGCGTGAGCCACTTCACTTGACTTCACATTATATCATAGAGCTATAGTAACCAAAATAGCATGGTGATGGCATAAAAACAGACACATCAACCAATGGAATAGAATAGAGAACCCAGAAATAAATACATACATCTACAGTGAACTTATTTTTGATAAAGATGCCAAGAATATACATTGGAGAAAGGAAAGTCTGTCAATAAATTGTGCTGGGAAAACTGGCTATCCATATGCAGAAGAATGAAACTAGACCCCTATCTCTCACCATATACAAAAATCAAATCAAAATAGATTAAAAAATTTAAGACCTCAAACTATGAAACTACTACAAGAAAACATTAAAGAAACTCTCCAGGAAATTGGACTGGGAAAAGATTTCTTGATTAATACCCCATAAGCGCAGGCAACCAAAGCAGAAATGGACAAACGGGATCGCCTCAAATCAAAAAGTTCCCGTGCAACAAAATAAACAATCAAGTGGAGAGACAACCCACAGAAGGGGAAATAATATTTGCAAACTATCCATTGGACAAAGGACTAATAACCAGAATATATAAGGAGCTCAAACAACTCAATAGGAAAAAGAATCTAATAATCCAATTAAAAAATGTGTAAAAGATCCTAATAGACTTTTCTCAAAAGGAGACATGCAAGTGTCAAGCAGGCATATGATAAGGTGCCCAACGTCGTTGATCATCAGAGAAATGCAAATCAAAACTACAATGACATGTCATCTCACTCCAGTTAAAATGGCTTTTATTTTTATTTTATTTATATACTATTAGGACTTATTTTATTTTATTTTATTTTATTTTTTTTTTTTTTTGAGACAGAGTCTCACTCTGTCACCCAGGCTGGAGTGCTGTGGAATGATTTAATCTCGCTGCAGCCTCCACCTCCTGGGTTCAAGTGATTCTTCTGCCTCAGCCTCCCGAGTAGCTGGGATTACAGGCATGCACCACCATGCTGGGCTAATTTTTTGTATTTTTAGTAGAGACAGGGTTTGACCCTGTTGGCCAGGCTAGTCTCGAACTTCTGACCTCGTGATCTGTCCACCTTGGCCTCCCAAAGTGCTGGGATTACAGCGTGAGCCACTGTGCCTGGCCTATTTTATTTGTTTTATTTTTGAGACCGAGTCTTGCTCTGTCACCCAGGCTGCAGTGCAGTGGCACAAGCTCAGCTCACTACAACCTTCACCTCCCATGTTCAAGCGATTCTCATGCCTCAGCCTCCCGAGTCGTTGGGATTACAGGTATGCACCACCACGCCTGGCTAATTTTTGAATTTTTTGTAGAGACGGGGTTTCACCATCTTGGCCAGGCTGGTCTCAAACTCCTGACCTCAAGTGATCCACCCACCAAAATGACTTTTATTTAAAAGTTAGGCAGTAACAAATGCTGGTGAGGATGTGGAGAAAAGGAAACCTTTGTACACTGTTGGTAGAAAGGTAAATTAGTACAATGACTATGGAGAACAGTTTGAAGGTTCCTCAAAAAATGAAAAAAATAGATTTGTGTATGATATCTAGCAATCCCATTGCTAGGTATATACCCGAAAGGATGGAAATCAGTTTATCAAAGAGATATCTGCACTCCCATGTTCATTGCAGCACTCTTCACAATAGCCAAGATTTGGAAACAACCTAAGTGTCCATCAGCAGATGAATGGATAAGGAAAATGTGGTACATATATGCAATGGAATACTATTCAGCCATAGAAAAGAGTGAGATCCTGTCATTTGCAACAACATAGATGGAACTGGAGGTCGTTATGTTAAATGAAATAATCCAGGCACAGAAAGACAGACTTCACATGTTCTCACTTATTTGAGAACAAATTCAAATTTATTCTTAGTAAATAAAACTGAGAATTTATTGAGAATAAATTCTCAAATAAATAACAGCTAATAATTGAAAGTTTAACTCAGGGAGATAGAGAGTGGAATGATGGTTACCTGAGGCTGGGAATGATAATGGGTTGTAGGGGAGGGAGGATAGTTAATGGGTACAAAGCTATAGTGAGATAGACTGAGTAAGATCTTGTATTTGGAGCACAGTAGAGTGATTGCAGTCAGCAATGATTGATTGTACATTTAAAAAGAACTGAAAGAGTATAATTGGATTGTAACACACAGGATAAATGCTTGAGGTGATGGACACCCCGTTTACCTTGATGTAATTATTATTACTATTATTATTATTATTTTTATTATTAGAGACTCTCGCTCTGTTGCCAGGCGGGAGTGCAGTGGCGTGATCTCGGCTCACTGCAACCTCCGCCTCCCTGGTTCAAGCGATTCTCCTGCCTCAGCCTCCCAAGTAGCTGGGACTACAGGCGTGTGCCACCACGCCCAGCTAATTTTTGTATTTTTAGTAGAGATGGGGTTTCACCGTGTTGGCCAGGATGGTCTTGATCTCTTGACCTTGTCATCTGCCCGTCTCGGCCTCCCAAAGTGCTGGGATTACAGGCATACAATAAGTAATAATTACATCGGGTGTGGGCCGGGAGAAGTGGCTCACGCCTGATGTAATTATTACTTATTGTATGCCTGCATCAAAATATCTCACGTACCCAGTAAATATATACACCTAGGTACGTACAAAAATTAAAAGAAAAAGAAAAGGATTTCCTAAATGCCTGAGTGTAAGAGATAACTTACAACACAGTGGTAAATCCCTGGAAGGTGTTGCAGCTTCAGGGGTTAGCTAGTAAGATATGAACCCAAGGCCACACATGATCTGTATCACATACACATGATCTATATCTTTGGGACTGAGAGGTGGGAGCTAAAACTAAGAGTCCTGGATATAGGTAAGACCCTGGAAGTTACCACCTTTGCAATAAAAGGATGAGTAGAGGGAAGAATCAGTTCACTGCTTAGAGGTGAAAGGTTTCCAGCCAGGCTTTGTGGCTAGTGCCTGTAATGCCAGCTACTTAAGAGGCTTAGGTGGGAAGATCACTTTAGCACAAGAGTTTGAAGATGCAGTGAGCTGGAGAAAGGATTCCCTATTTAATAAATGGTGCTGGGAAAACTGGCTAGCCGTATGTAGAAAGCTGAAACTGGACCCGTTCCTTACACCTTATACAAAAATTAATTCAAGATGGATTAAAGACTTAAACGTTAGACCTAAAACCATAAAAACCCTAGAAGAAAACCTAGGCATTACCATTCAGGACATAGGCATGGGCAAGGACTTCATGTCTAAAACACCAAAAGCAATGGCAACAAAAGCCAAAATTGACAAATGGGATCTAATTAAACTAAAGAGCTTCTGCACAGCAAAAGAAACTACCATCAGAGTGAACAGGCAGCCTACAAAATGGGAGAAAATTTTCACAACCTACTCATCTGACAAAGGGCTAATATCCAGAATCTACAGTGAACTCAAACAAATTTACAAGAAAAAAACAACCCCATCAAAAAGTGGGTGAAGGACATGAACAGATACTTCTCAAAAGAAGACATTTATGCAGCCAAAAAACACATGAAAAAATGCTCATCATCACTGGCCATCAGAGAAATGCAAATCAAAACCACAATGAGATACCATCTCAAACCAGTTAGAATGGCAATCATTAAAAAGTCAGGAAACAACAGGTGCTGGAGAGGATGTGGAGAAATAGGAACACTTTTACACTGTTGTTGGGACTGTAAACTAGTTCAACCCTTGTGGAAGTCAGTGTGGCGATTCCTCAGGGATCTAGAACTAGAAATACCATTTGACCCAGCCATCCCATTACTGGGTATATACCCAAAGGACTGTAAATCATGCTGCTATAAGGACACATGCACACATATGTTTATTGCGGCACTATTCACAATAGCAAAGACTTGGAACCCAAATGTCCGACAATGATAGACTGGATTAAGAAAATGTGGCACATATACACCATGGAATACTATGCAGCCATAAAAAATGATGAGTTCATGTCCTTTGTAGGGACGTGGATGAAATTGGAAATCATCATTCTCAGTAAACTATCGCAAGAACAAAAAACCAAACACTGCATATTCTCACTCATAGGTGGGAATTGAACAATGAGAACACATGGACACAGGAAGGGGAACATCGCACTCTGGGGACTGTTGTGGGGTGGGGGGAGGGGGGAGGGATAGCATTAGGAGATATACCTAATGCTAAATGACGAGTTAATGGGTGCAGCACACCAGCATGGCACATGTATACATACGTAACTAACCTGCACATTGTGCACATGTACCCTAAAACTTAAAGTATAATAATAATAATAATAATAAAAAGAAGATACAGTGAGCCAAGATTGTGTGACTGCACCTCACCTGGGTGACAGAGTGAGA
This sequence comes from Homo sapiens, assembly GCF_000001405.40. Classification (NCBI taxonomy): domain Eukaryota; kingdom Metazoa; phylum Chordata; class Mammalia; order Primates; family Hominidae; genus Homo; species Homo sapiens. The sequence goes on along the minus strand of NC_000005.10, from coordinate 93,947,451 downwards.
CCTCATCTCTAAAATAAAAAATAAAAGATAATTATTAAAAGGAGGTTTCTTTGCTAAAGGTACCAGGTAGGGTAAATAAACAACTTATCTTGGGAAATAGGAGACCCAGACCCTAACCCAGAAGTGGATTTGGATTTGCAGTTTGAATTTAGGTGACACACTTAATGTGAAAATCGTAAACACTGTGATTAATATAAAAATGAATTCTGGACCAATGAAACCTTTGGGGCACCTGGCAGAAGCAAGCGTAATACTGCCATATAGGAACACTTTACAACCTAGAATAAATCCCTACTGAAGATGAATTCAGTCAGAAACTACAGATTATATGAAGAAATGATTCATCACAAGAAAAGTCAGATCATTAAACTATCAAAAGAGAATTAGTAAATTGAAAGCTAGAGTTAAGGAAGACAGTATGCAGAATATAGCACAGAGGAAATGAGAAAAAATATGACATTAAAAAGTCATGGAAAATAGAATAACATATAATACTCTTCTATCAGATGTTTCAAAGAAGCAACAGAAAAAAATAGGAGAAAAGCATGTATTAGTGGCTGAATGTTTTTGAGAGTAAAAGCATAAATCATGTTGTTGAAGAAGTGTGGCATATCTAAGGCAAGATAAATGAAAATAAATGTACATTTAAATATATTAGAATAAAACTGTGATTCATACATGTAATTTTAAAAATCAAGTAAAACCAAGACATAGTATCAAAATAAGTGTTATCTTTTCCTAATCCATCGCTACCTGTTAGTCCTGTTCCTTAGATGTAATCATTTTCAATACATTTTGGTTTTATTTATACTCATTGTATCCATATTTTAAAATTATAGTTCTGTCTTTTGATTTATCATTCACTTTCTGTTATGGTAGAATCAGGAATCAAGCTTTACAGTACTACTACAACCATAATATTGCTAATGGCTGAGCCAGGTAGATAATATGATTGCTTTTCATTTTTGATACAATATCTTTGTTTTCATGGAATTAATAATTTTCTAGTTTCTAATTTTTTATGTATTTTTAATTCAGATCTTCATTCGTCTCTTAATTTTTGACATGATTTAACTTATCAGATAATCTCATAGTTTCATGTTCTTCCTCTGGAGTACTCTCTTTTGGAACCCTGTGGACTCTGTTTCAGTCTTGACTGGTCACTTTCTAAGCCTGCTTACCTGTGTATTATCCTGGGTTTCACTTTAGTTTCTCTCTTGTCTTCAATATCAATGTCTTGTCTTCCTGTATTGTTAGATACAGGAAGCTCCTGTTTCCTGTATCTAATGATCTGTGTTTTCTTGATATATGCCCTCATTTTGTTGGACCCATCAAGTAGAAGATAAATTTTTGAACCCTTGCATTTCTGAAAAATGCCTTCAGTCTACTTGTTCACTTTATTTTAAAGATTCAAAAGACATAGAATTCCAGGTAGAAAATACTTTTTATTGAGATTTGAAGGATTTGTTTCATTGTCTTCTAGTTTCCAGTGTTTTAATTTGAAAGTCTTGAAACCATTTTGGCCTTGAATCCTTTTGTTCCACTCTATGTAAGCTTCTCCTTCTCCCTGGTGTTAAGAAGTGAATCTCACTGCTTTTAAGAAATTTCCTGAGTCTTGGTATTTTGTTTCATTGTTATTTGTTTCATTGTTTGGCACTTGGTGATGTCTTTCCATTTATATTCACTCATGATCTTTAGTTCTGAGAAACTTTTTTTGTATTGTTTGTTGATAATTTTACACTTCTCTATTTAGCTCTTATGTGGTTTTGAGTTACTGGAATGAGTATCTTATCCATTCTTTCTTATTTTTATTCTATATTTCCAGTCATTTCTGGGAGATTGCCTACTTTTTCTTTTAACCATTCCATAGAATTTTTAAAGTTTTTCAATCATATTTTGAAATGGATCTGTTTTTTAAAATCATTATGCAGATTTCTGATTAGTACGCCTGATTTGAGCTTTGTGTCTCTCTTCTACGCTTTAATGTCCCATAGTCTAGTACTTCCATAGATTACATTTCTTTTTTTTTTTTTTTTTGAGATGGAATCTTGCTCTGTCGCCCAGGCTGCAGTGCAGTGGCGCAATCTCAGCTCACTGCAACCTCCACCTCCCAGGTTCAAGCAATTCTTCCTGCCTCAGACTCCCAAGTAGCTGGGATTACAGGCACCTGCCACCACACCTGGCTAATTTTTGTGTGGCCAGGCTGATCTCGAACTCCTGACCTCAGGTGATCCTCCCACCTCAGCCTCTCAAAGTCTTGGGATTATAGGCGTGAGCCGCCACACGTGGCCTATAGATTACATTTCTGCAAAGGAAAAATCTCTTGTCTCTTACAGTGTTGGCCACACATGTCAGATTATGACCTGGTTTTTGGTTTTCTGGTGTCTGTTTTTTAGAGAGTGGGGTAACTGCTCCTTACTTGAACTTACAACTAAAGCCCCTGTTTTTAGTGTTATGGCCTACCCTTACATTCCAAGGTTTTCCAAGATAACTGGTGCCCCAATTTCTGAGTATTTCTGGACTTCTATGGGTGAGTTGGCTTACTTTTAAGTCATTTTATCCTTCTGGAGGCACTTAAGTTTGAATTTTTGCTGTAATGTCAAGCCAGTACCTACTCCTCCATTAACTTAGTCTTCTACAAATATATACAGAGGTGACATCTGTATCCTCCATTTTCTCTTCTACCATTTATTTTGTCCTGATGTTTGAATACCACCCCTCTTTCTTCTTTTTCATCTCTTTCTGTCTTTTGTTCTTTTGTTCTTTCATTCTTCTCTTCTTCCCATTCTTTCCCTCCTTTTCTCCCTCCTCCCTATCTCCTCACCCCTCCCCTCCCCTCCCCTCTCCTGCCCTCTCCTCTCCTCTTTTCTTTTCATGAGGCAGAGTGTCACCCAGGCTGGAGTTGAGTGGCATGATCGTGACTCACTGCAGCCTTGACCTCCTGGGCTCAAGTGATCCTCCCACCTCATCCTTCTGGGTAGTTGAGAGTATAGGCACACTTTTATTTATTTATTTTTTTGGCGAGATGGGGTCCTACTATGTTGGCGAGGCTGGTCTCAAACTCCTGAGCTCAAGCAATCCTTCTGCGTCAGCCTTCCAAAGTGCTGGAATTACAGGTGTGAGCCACCATGTCTGGCTTTTCTTTTTCTTCAATGAGATTTTAGTGACATTTGTGGCAAGAATAGAGATAATTAAATAATTCAATGTAGCATTTTAATTAAATATTTTTTTAACCTGGCCGTTCCGGTGACAGGTAGTTCACTTTACAACTTGTATCTTTTTAAAACAAATAATGTTAAAGTAAATTTATATATAACCAAATTCTTTGTAAACCTCAAAGATGACCTCCTTTTGTAGCAATATTCATCACACTAGAAAATTTTAGGATTTTCTACTAGAAATTATTTAAATTATAATGAAACTAAAGACTACCTAAACTGTTACTTGACTGCAATATGAACTGAATGCTTTGAAAGTTGAGTTAGAGTTTTTTAGTTTCTAAATCATGTCTCTTTTCGTAAGCTATGGCTTAATTTTCTATTCTGGCCATTAATGTTTTGATTCTTTTCATTTCATTTTGATTTTTCCCCGTTTTTTGATGAATAAATTTGAAAAGCTGATTGAATACAGGATTAAGATCTTTTTTCACAGCATGGAGCCATTATAGATGGTTATCTAGAATATGGTGTGAAATTTTTCAGTAATTTCAGTAATAAACTTTTAGTTAACACGTTCTTAACTACAGCCCTCAACTCCAGTCTTCAAACTAAATACTGCAAGATCTTTCTATTTCAGCATAAGTATTTGACAAACTTGGTGACAGGAAGATTTTAACAGGGTTATAATGGATACCTATGCCTAGTAGATAATAATACGAAAATAAAAGTACTATATTAATATAGGACATGCTTATTTTTAAGAAGAGTAATGCCATCTAGCTGCTTATGAAAAATTAATATTTATGTAGTCTAAACAGAGTGTGGAGTATGGCAAAAGATTCTTGTTTAAGGGCTCAGAGAAAAAATATGAAAATTACTTGGCACTTTTAAATATACCTTTGTTCAAATGACTTACAGACTTTGATGCTTTTTTTGATAGTCATTGAAAGTATTTGTGAAAATTAAAGAGATACTTATTAAAACAAGCTACCATTTTTCAACATATCAGATTGGCAAATTATAAATTACTTGTTAATAAATTGATAATATCATATTTAAATATTAGTGAAAATGTAAATTGGAGTAATCATTTTAGATGGCAGGTTAGTAATATCTTCCAAAATTTAACATGTACACTAATCTTTGACCTTAAATTTCATTCGTAAGAATTTACACCAGAGCAGTGCATGAAGTATACATAGGGATGCTCATAACAGCAGTTTATAATAACACAAAACATTCTAACCAACTAAACATCCACCAGTAGGGAACATTTTATTTTATGATGGCATATTCATATCATGGAAGACTATGTAGTTATTAAAAATAACAAGTTGTATGTGTATATATGTGTGTTCATAAATCTGGAATGATGTCTAAGAGTTACCAGATAAAAACAGAAAAATGAGCTAATTTGTTTAAAAAGTACACTTACACATGTACACATCTACAGCTACATACATACATGGATACACATTAATGTTCCTGGAAGTTTATGCAAGAAACCACGAAGTTTCTTCTTTTAGATTTCATTTTCAGTTTTTCTCTTTATTTTTGTTTTATTTTTTCTTTGAGTAGGTTTTACTTTAATATTTAAAAAGATATTACTTTTATAATTAATATATTTTAAATAGTCATGAAATATGATTATTGTGATCTTGTAGTTATTGACTTAACTATTTCTAAGTGAACTTAACATGTAATAAATGTTTGAGTATAAAACTGCAAGCAGCTCCTTTGAATGATTATTGGGTTTTTTTTTCCCTTAAAGAGTGGTTGAATTTAAGCCACTGAAATTTATATTTCAAAAAAAGTTTTTTTAATAAACACAAATTTTTTTCTTATTTGAAATGTAAGACTTCTAAATTATAAGTTGAAACCAAGATCACTAATTCTAAATTTTAAAAGTAAACTTTGAGAGAAAATATAAATTAATGAAAATATGTTTTTACATTAGAGACTTCATAAAAGATTGTTGAAGCCAAAAATTCCAGAAAAGGTTAAAAGCTTAGCACATTACTGAATTGACAAGGTATACGAGGCCACCCCAGCCCCATGCCAGCAAAGAAAACAATGAGATGACAGCTCTAGTGTTTGGAGAGAGGTTGTTAACGACAGCTTATTCCTTTATGATTTCAACTCTTGACAGAAGACAGGTCTGCTTGTTGCATCATGGCAGATATATCATTACCTTCTGGCCCTGTCATGACTGAATGGGGTAGAGCGGGGAGAAACTATGTTCAGTTTTGAAAATCCAATTACCTTCTGGAATTTTGGTCACTGTTTTTGAGAGAGATATGATAAGCCATTCTGTAATAGCTGTTTGCATCTAGATTGTCTCTAGTACTGAACTAATTAACTAATAAAGGATATGCTTAAGTTCTTTCTATGGTCAAGTGAAGAGTAATCTGTGAGAGTATAGAGCACTTTGATATTCTGACATCATCCTAAGAAAAATATTACAAGGTCTCTTATGCCTAATATCTATCTATTCCTCTACCTGTGTCTGCACCTGGTTTCAAATAATTGTCACAGCTAACCTAGCTGTTTTCACTAAAAAGAGGAAAGACACTGAATTTTAAAACAATTAGATATTATTTTTACATGAAAAATATTGGTTAAAATTATAATTTGACCTTTGTATTTTTCAATGACATGCATATTTGAATTCTGTATTTTCTTGGCTACCTAAGAAGTGACTCTGGAGACTTAGAAAGAGAAAGAAAGGGTGTAGGTTTTTGAAAGTATGTCAAAAGGCTTGGGGTTTGTGTATGATCAGAATTTCAGTGGAGGTTGAGATGAGTTTAAATGCATAGAAGGCGAACATAAAAATCTTGTTTAATTTCTGTCATGTTGTTCTTTTTTGAGTCACTCTGATGTCTTTTTCAAATCTGCTTTTCTCTTGAGCTTTGTGCTACTATATCCACGATCTGGATTTTTTTTTTCTTCCTTTTATTTTGCTTTAAATGTCGATCCCTTTTCTGTGGTCCTTCCTTTAATCAGCTGAAGCAATCTGAATTGCTGCATCAGAGCTGTTTTGGGAGTGAGAGAGTGTGTAACATTGTGAAGGGTGAGATTTTCTGGGTAGAAGGTAACACCTCCTGCAGTTATAATCAATGCTTTGGACACTTTCAAGGAACGGGGAAGCCGTGACTTGCTCCAGGGTTAAACTTTTAGTATAACTTCCCTAGAGAAAAGTGTCATCAATAACTGGAATAATTAGTTGACAATTCTTGAGTAGCCTAGGTTTAAATTCAAAACATTAAAGATAGGTCAGGATTGCATTTCTCACTATACCTGTGGTTTCTGGTGTTTTTAGCCTTTATATTTTTATATTAAACATTATTTTAAAAACTCTTTTATTTCCATTAATTATCAGCTTATCCCCTGAGTTTCTTTAATTTGAGAAGAACTGAAGTAGAAAGAATGTTAGCTTTTGGTAGTAGGAAATAGTCTAAACTTGAAATAACTGAGACACTAAGCTATAAAGTAGGTAATTTGTTTATGAAAATATAGTTTACACTGTAGGCTTAAATTAACAAGCCTTAGATTAAATGTATTATATTTACAAAATCAGTAAAATAAGATATTTTAAAGAAAATAATGTCATACATGTGAACTTAAGAGTAAATAATAGCGTCCATAGGAATTGCTCAGTATGCTTCTGATACTATTTTTTTCTGATATTCTGATATTGTTTGATTTTATTCAACTGTTTGATGTAAATAGAAGGAATTTAAAAAATATTAATTTCACTATAAATTGCCTATTTCAATACATATTAGAAATTCTAACTAATACCTAATTATAAGTTAAAGATTTAATATGAAAAAGACATATCTACTAATTATTTATTTACAATGTGACATCCTTAAATTAAGACAGAATTTCAACAATGGTTCCTGGATAGTAACATAACAGTGTTTTAACTTTTTATCCAGAATGTATACTCTTTTGTTTTTCTAGACAGAAAACAAATCATGACTAAAATTTGTAGTGAAGTGTAAGAATTAGGTGGAATACAATTGGTATACTTTGCCTATTTAGAATAATGTACTTTCATATTTTAAAATGAATACGCTATTACCAGTTTACTCCAAATGTAAATATAACTTGTAACCTTGTACTAATAAGTATGCATTCAGATGTCAACAATCTTAAAATGTGTTTTGTTGCTTTGTGTGTATAATTTATATTGGAAAGCTGGTAACATGTTTATGAAATGGATATTCAGGAATGAGTATGCCTCAGAAAGATTGAACCTTTTGGAAGAAGACTAGTTAATAATGAAGAGCACAGATAGTGTGTTAGGTATACACTCTGAGTTTAAAAAAAAAACGGATACAGTTTCAAGGCCATTCACATTTGACTTTATAAGATCATAAGGTTTAATCCATATTAGGTTAGGACTGCCATGCAGAAATGGTATAACATAGCAGACTATTACATTTTGTTACCTAGAGTAGAACTTACGATGAATGTATGTGCTATAACTTAAATTCTGAATGAAAATAAGTTATTTCACAATTTATTATTTTATAAATGAAAACTACAGAATAAAATATTAATAGCACTGAAGAAAATTAATATTTGTAGGAAGGTCTCATTTGGCTTTTTATTTCTGCAGTAATACAGTGGTAATGATAAATGATATGAATATTTCTCCAGAAGAAACTTATTTTAAAAATTTGGGAAAATACTGTTAAGTAGGCAATACAGCTTTGCTTTTCCTTTTGATAATGAAAACCATTCCTTTTGTAATAAGTTTCAGTTTTCCCATATTTCATAGTGGTACTCAGGCTTAGCAATTTTAAAATAATCCTTTTAAATTCTTATCTTCATGGTTATATATGTAGATTGAAAACTTAGTTTAGAAATAAAGGACACAACTTAAGATATGAAATTATATCTTTATGCATTTATGTATTTCCATTATGGTGCAGTGTGAACATAGGGTGTTAAATAACAATAATAAGGATCAATTTATTTCTTACTTATTAAAATACTTATTTGGAAACATTCATGATTACACACATATACACAGATGTACATGCCTACATGCATGGAAATATGTGTATATGTTAAAATTCCCAATTGGCAACTTTGTAGGTTTGATTTAAAAAAAAATTATTTGAAAGACTTGCCAATTCTATTGAGGAATAAATACTTGCTTATTCATACCATGAGCTGCATATTTGAATAAAATTATCTTTTCTTACAATGAATTGGTCTTGAAAATATTTAAGAGAACATTTATCCAGAGAAGCAGATGCCAAGAATATTTTTAAACTTTCTTAAGGAAAGTTTAATGTACTTCTTAGTTTGCATTTTCTGACAGTAAGAAATTGTCTTTTCATTAAACTTTTCAGGCACAATTACTTGGTATTGTAATGGCTTAAAAAGTATTGCTTTTTTGAACTGTGTGTGTTGTTTGTGATCAAAACTTAAAGAAGTCAAATACTTCTGTCAGAGCAAACTTAAGGTATTGGTAATTGCCTTTTTTCCTGGAAATTAACAAATTATAACATCAAAGCTTGTATAGCAAGGTATGTAGTAGGTCATTTGCTGCTTGCAGGCATGCTCTCTCTCTCCAGGATGCATTTGTTTAGTTTCTCTCACTTTCTGCCTGTGGCACTGTACGGTGAAATTCAGACTTGCTCTTCTTTCCCTCCATGGAATCTCTTGGGTGGAGGATAACTTATACAAAATTAATAAATGCTGTTGCTTTTTCATGCTTGCTTATCCAAGGCAATTTGCAGTGTTCACTTTGGACAAAAAAATAAGGTTGTGTAGGAAGCACTAAACAATATATTAAGTTTAAAGCTATGAGTCGGTTTTAAAAAGAAAATGTATTTTGAGATAGTCAATACTATATAAACAATTAAAATAGTGACCCAATAATTTTTCTCAGTGCTATTCTGTTTATTATTTTGGTGTAATAAAATCAGAAAATTTAATCTTGAAATGAAAAACTGGCATAACTTTTTTTTGTGATTAAATTAAAGGAATTAGTTCATTTAACCAGAGAGGCAGTTTGCTTATTTGAATTTGCCTATTAGGTATTTAATTTTTACTCTTTGAGTAAATTATTTGCTTAAGCATTTTGTTGTAACACATTTCAGAAACAATTTTCTTAGGTGAGAGAAAAATTGGCATGAATGGTGTTATTCTGTTGTATTTTTTGTGATGCTCAAATCTGTATAAATATCACGGAGCAGTGGAATTTAAGATTACTTTTGAAAAGAGACTACATTTGGGCCTCTGTTTCCATGGGTTTTGCATCTGTGGGTGCCACAACTATGGATTCTTCCAACCATAGGTTCAAAATACTCAAAAAAAAATTTTTTTAAATGAAAGGTTTCTTCTGTACTAAATATATACAGACTTTTTTCCTTGTCATTATTCCCTAAACAATATAGTATAACAACTGTTTACATTGTTTTGGGTATTATAAGTAAGGTAGAGATGATTTAAAGTATACAGAAGGATGTATGTAGGCTATGAGCAAATACTACACCATTTTATATAAGGCACTTGAGCATCCATTGGTTTTGATATCTGTAGAGGGTCATGGAAACAATTCCCCATGGATATTGAGGGATAACTGCATACACACAAACACACACACAATTATATGTATACCCCATGGATATTGAGGGATGACACACTCTCTTTTTTTTTTTGAGATGGAGTCTCCCTCTGTCACCAGGCTGGAGTGCAGTGGCGCAATCTCGGCTCACTGCAACCTCTGCCTCCTGGGTTCAGGCGATTCTCCTGCCTCAGCCTCCCGAATAGCTGGGACTACAGGTGCATGCCACCACGCCCAGCTAATTTTTTTTTGTATTTTTTTTTTTTAATAGAGATGGGGTTTCACCATGTTGGCCAGAATGGTCTCAATGTCTTAACCTCATGATCCACCCACCTTGGCCTCCCAAAGTGCTGGGATTACAGGTGTGAACCACCGCGGCCAGCCTGCACTCTCTCTCTCTTTCTCTCTAACCCTCCTCCTCCCCCCACCCACACAGACACAGACACACATACACGCAATTGGATATTCCCTTTGTTTTTTAATCCCTGAGAACCTTTTATGTTATATTTGCTTATATTAAACCTTTATAATTGGCCGGGCGCGGTGGCTCACGCCTGTAATCCCAGCACTTTGGGAGGCAGGGGCGGGCGGATCATGAGGTCAGGAGATCGAGACCATCCTGGCTGACACAGTGAAACCCTGCCTCTACTAAAAATACAAAAAATTAACCCGGGAGGCGGAGCTTGCAGTGAGCCAAGATCGCGCCACTGCACTCCAGCCTGGGTGACAGAGCGAGACTCCGTCTCAAAAAAAAAAAAAAAAAACCTTTATAATTTAAAAAATGTATCAGTTGAGTGGTTAAAACTATTAATGAATTGACATTTCGGGATTAAAAACAAACACAACAACCAGTGATCACTTGTTCTGTATAATTTTGATTAAAACATGGTCAATACTGGGTATATTAAAATTTTTGTCTCCCAAAGTGACATTTCTCTTTTGCAGCTTCTGAAAACAGAAGGCATAGGTAGAATTATGGTCATAAAAAGGTTTAAAAGAAAGAATATAATTAGGATCCAAAGTATTCATCTTTCTTTTATAGTATGCAATATATAGTAATCATATATTAATTACCATTTGGCAGTGGCCATACTCAACAATTATACTTTTTTGTTTACTTCCAAATAACATTAATTATTATTTGCAAATTAATTTTTACCGCTGAAAAATTGCTATTGATAACTGTATTCAGACACTTTCTGAGAATAAAATTTACTGGTTGATGGTATAACAGACTTTTTCTTGAGACATCCTTATCCCTTACTGAGCATTGCTCCTCCCTTTACTTTGGATTATAAGAATCCAAAGGCAGAGAACAAAATGAATTTCATAAACCTTTTCATAAAACTCTTCAAGTTCTGCATAGACTTCCATAATCTCTCACTCTGTATTCTAGTAATCACCAATTTTGAATGGGCAAAATTTTTTCTTAAGAGAGGATATACCCACTTAGAAGTATTAATAAAGAGAAAATTTCAATTAGAATAATGTGTAATATTCTGTAGTTTTGAGAAAGAACAAAATGAGTTTTCATCTTGCCTTCTTATTGTGAGAACAAAGATTTTAATCGGTTTAAATTTAACTATTTGTTAAATATTCAGTTTAACTCTTTGTTACTACTTCTAGACATACTTTTAGTATACCATGTTCAAGCATGATAAAAATACTCAAAGTCTATTCACTTTTTATTACTAACAGAAGTATCAATTTAAAGAATTATTATTCAAATGGAATTCTATTCAAATGAAGATTTAATGGAATAGCCCTTGATTTTCCTGTTTGAATTTGCCAACATTTTCCCTTTCATTCTTTTCTTTTTCTGCCGTATTAAAGCTAATAGACTTGTAAAAAAACACAAAATAACGGCATCATAAAAAAATTCTAAATCATTTTGAACTCAGATTCTGTTGTCTTTGAATGGAGTTTTACATAAGAATAAAATGAACTTTTATTTCTTATGAGATGTGAAATATTATATTTGGTGAAATTTTTAGATAACTGGTACTTTGTGTGCATTATGAAGATTCTCTTTGGACATAATTAACAGTAGAACATATGCATTGAGTTTCTTAGTACACTGCCGTTTACCTTGAACAATGGTGGTTATCATTAATTCATATTTTGGCCCCTGCCCACCTCTCCAACCTCATACATCACCATCAATATCTCTCTATTCCCCTACATTAAACCCTTCAGCAATACTTAAAATGTGCATGCCCATAAGCATGTTATGCTTCTTCTATGCTTTGTACATGCTGTTACCTCTACCAACACCAGCACCATCACTACATTTACCATCATTATTGGCCCCCAAAATCTACCTTCAACTCTGTTTGCCCAAAATTCCCTTCATATGCTTAGATACCATCTCATCAAGGAAGCTTTTCCTGCTCCAGTTGACTGGGTTAGGTCCCCTCTGTGTTTTCCTGTAGTACTGTTATCTTTTTTTAAATTTTCCACTAAAAATATCGTTTTAATAGGTTTTTGGGGAACAGGTGGTGTTTGGTTACATGATTGCGTTTTGTAGTGGAATTTTTTATATTTTGGTGCACCCAATACTCAAGCAGTGTACATCGTACCCAATGTGTAGTCTTTTATCCCTCACCCGCCTCCCACCCTTTCCCCCAAGCCCCAAGTCCCCAAAGTCCATTGTATCATTCTTATGCCTTTGCGTCCTCCTAGCTTAGCTCCCACTTATGAGTGAGAACATACGTTGTTTGGTTTTCCATTCCTGAGTCACTTCACTTAGAATAATGGTCTCCAGTTCCATCCAGGTTGCTGCAAATGCCATTATTTTGTTCCTTTTTATGGTTGTCACTCCAGTTTTTTTATACAGTAAGGAAGGACCATTTATTATGCTATGAACAAGAAGTCCAGAGCAGGTTAATTCAAAGGTGCAACAATATCATCAAATATTCCACTCTTTCCCCCTGAGTATGGCTGTCATTGACATGTTGGCTTTCTCCTCCTGGTTACAAAGTGGCTGCAGGATAGCAGGGATCATATTCTGACAGGCCAAAGCACAATATTAAAAGAGGGGCTGTCTTTACTTGTCTCTTAAGAGTGAAGAAACCTTTGCAGAGGGCCTCCAGTAGGCTTCCCTTCATACATCATTGGCCAGATCACACACATGCCCATATCTAACCCAACTACAGGCAAAGAGATTAGGCCCACAATGATTACCTAAGACCACTTAGGATGTACACTGGGGAGGACCTAGAAATAGGGTCATTCCTTCACTTGCATGGAAGGAGGGGAACAAAATAAGACCTCTGCTAATAAAAAAGAATGGGAAATGGTTGTTGTGTAAGCAACTACCTGTGTTAGTAATGTTTTTAGTCTTCTTTTTCAAAATCGTCTCAGTTATCCTTCATGTATTTTCTTCGTCGAAATTTGAGAATATCTTTATCATTCTCTTTTATAGTCCATTGAAATAAAGAAGAATTTATAGGTGATTTGTGTGATCTGTGTATGGGGGAAAGTATTTTTACAATCTTATGTTTTTCAACCATGTACATGGTTAAATCTTCATTATTAAGTTTTATTTAGGTCCTCAAAGGAGTTTAAAATAGTTCCTCATAAAACTCTACATATTCTTTGTTAGGTTACTTCCTAGGAATTTTATAGTTTTATGGCTGTTGTTAAGGGGATCATATTTTCTCTCCAGTTTGCCCTCTATCTTCCTTTTTTTTGTTTGTTTGAGACAGAGTCTTGCTCTGTACCCAGGCTGTAATGCAGTGGCGTGATCTCGGCTCACTGCAACCTCCGCCTGCCAGGTTCAAGTGATTCTCCTGCATCAGCCTCCTGAGGAGCTGGGACTACAGGTGCAAGCCACCACTCCTGGCTAATTTTTATATTTTTTTGTTTGTTTTTTATGCCATGCATGTTTCTTTTTTTATTATTATTATACTTTAAGCTCTGGGATACATGTGCGGAACATGCAGGTTTGTTACATAGGTATACACATGCCATGGTGGTTTGCTGCACCCATCAACCTGTCATCTGCATTAGGTATTTCTCCTAATGCTATCCCTCCCCTAGCCCCCCACCCCCTAACGGGACCCAGTGTGTGATATTCCCCTCCTTGTGTCCATGTGTTCTTATTGTTCAACTGCCACTTATGAGTGAGAACATGCGGTGTTTGGTTTTCTGTTCCTGTGTTAGTTTGCTGAGAATGATGGTTTCCAGCTTCATTCATGTCCCTGCAAAGGACATGAACTCATCCTTTTTTATGGCTGCATAGTACTCCATGGTGTATATGTGCTACATTTTCTTTATTCAGTCTATCACTGATGGGCATTTGGGTTGGTTCCAAGTCTTTGCTATTGTGAATAGTGCTGCAATAAACATAGGTGTGCATGTATCTTTCTAGTAGAATGATTTATAATCCTTTAGGTATATACCCAGTCATGGGATAGCTGGGTAAAATGGTATTCCTGGTTCTAGATCCTTGAGGAATCGCCACACTGTCTTCCACAATGGTTGAATTAATTTACATTTCCACCAACAGTTTAAAAGTGTTCCTATTTCTCTACATCCTCTCCAGTATCTGTTGTTTCCTGACTTTTTAATGATTGCCATTCTAACTGGCATGAAATGGTATCTCATTGTGGTTTTGATTTGCATTTCTTTAATGACCAGTGATGATGAGCTTTTTGTCATATGTTTGTTGTCCGCATAAATGTCTTCTTTTGATAAGTGTCTGTTCATATCCTTTGCTGACTCTTTGATGGAATTGTTTGTTTTTTTCTTGTAAATTTGTTTAAGTTCCTTGTAGATTCTGGATATTAGCCCTTTGTCAGATGAATACTTAACACATATCACATTTTGTTCACATATTTTGTTTACTTCTCTGTGTTTCCAACTAAAGGATAAAACCCTTAAAACCAGAGAGCATCTGATTTAGCATTGAATCTTCAGCTTACATATAGGGCAGGGCACATAGTGATTGTTGAAAAATTGTTGTTGAATAAAAGCTTGTTAAACAAACTCTAGACCAGTATTTACTTCTCATCTTCATTATCTTCCATGAAAAACAGTTCCAATTATGTAAGTGGGATGCTTTGGAAAACACGATTTGCTTGTGGAAAATCAGTTTAAATTCAACTTTATTAGTATAAATATATTTCATAAACTGAAGAAATGGCTCTATGTATGCTTGCATAGATATATACTTAATGCATATTTGTCTACTTATAGATAAAGCTCTGACTACTTATCTTCAAATAATTTTTAAACAGTGTTCATCATCATCAACATTATGTTTATTGGTGCTTTAGTTAATTTGCATTTCTATGGCACCAAACACCACAGTGCTAAGTGCAGTACATCTGAGCACTTTCTAATTGCTTTCCGTCTATCTAACAAGATATCTGTTTTAGTGCACATCGCTTCCCTTCCTGGGCACACACATGATGTTTAAAGGGAAAAAAATGTTTTTTAGTAGTAGGTTATTTTAACAACTGACTCACAAAAATTCCTGAAAATATGACAGCAAATTCTCATGAACCAATATGAGATAGCTCCAGCACACCATTGTTGTTAATAAGTATGTACATAGTAGAAGCGTTCATGTGGCTAAAAACTCCAACTATCTCAATTCCACCAATGGTAAAATGGTAATCCTAATTTTAGTGGTAATTATAATCTAATTATTGTATAAATTGAATTCTTAATTCTAATTATGAATTCAAAATGTGCTTTATTTATACAGTTGAATATTTTACTGCAATAAGAATGAACAAACATATAATTATATGCAACAATATGGATGAACCTTCCAAATTTACTATTGAATTAAAGGAGCCAGTCACAAAGAGTACAAACTATATAATTTCACTTAGATAAAGTTCAAAAACAAGCAAAACTTACCTATGGTATTAGAATTCAGGATAGAGTTTATACTTAAAGGAGTGGGTGGCTTTATGATAGGGGCTTCTCAGGTTCTGGTAGTATTTTTTTTTTTAATCTGACTGCTGGTTACATGTGTCTGTTCACTTTGTGAAAATTTATTTAGCTGTACACTTAGTACTTTTGTACTTTGTGTACTTTTCTGTATGTGTGTAATACTTAAATAAAAATTAACTAGAAAAAATATTGGCTGAATTGGAAGATGTATTTGGGAACATGGCAATTAGTATATTTGAGGGATAACTTACCTAATTAAGCCAATTTGAGATACAGCCAAAGACCATTCTATGTTTTAACAAAGAATTGGGTTTTTCTTTCTTTTTCCTTTTTGAGGTGGAGTTTTGCTCTTGTTGCCCAGGCTGGAATACAATGGCGCAATCTTGGCTCACTGCAATCTCCGCCTCCTGGGTTCAAGTGATTTTCTTGCCTTAGCCTCCCGAGTAGCTGGGATTACAGGCATGCACCACCATGCTCGGCTAATTTTGTATTTTTAGTAGAGACGGGGTTTCATCATGTTGTCAGGCTGGTCTCAAACTGCTGACCTCAGATGATCTGCCCACCTCGTCCTCCCAAAGTGCTGGGATTACAGGTGTGAGTCACTGCGCCCGGTGGGGTTTTCTTAAGGAATGAGATCATGTCCTTTGCAGGGACATGGATGAAGATGGAAGCCATCATCCTCAGCAAACTAACACAGAAACAGAAAACCAAACACCACATGTTCTTACTCATAAGTGGGAGTTGAACAGTGAGAACACATGGACACAGGGAGGGGAACAACACACACCTGGGCCAGTCAGCATGGGTGGCAAGGGGAGGGAGAGCATTGGGACAAATAGCTAATGCATGCAGGGCTTAAAACCTAGATGACAGGTTGATAGGTGCAGCAAACCACCATGGCACACATATACCTATGTAACAAACCTACACGTTCTGCACTTGTATCCCAGAACTTAAAGTAAAATAAAAATAAAAAGAGTATTTTCATGGAAATGTCAACAATTTTTAACAACAGTTTTGCCTTTCAGGAAAATTCAACAGAACTATGCTTATATTTACCTTTGAAATTTATTTTAAATAAATATTAGAAATATTTAAAACAAGAAGAGGGTTTTTCTTATACTTTTGTGCTTCAATTGAAAGGCTTGCATTCCTTGAACTCATCTGGTGCTCTTCTTACATCACCTCTGCTCTTGTCTTTTCTTCTATCTGAAAGACTTCTCCCTAATCTCTGCCTATTGAAATTTTTAAATATTCTTTTCATATGTAAGTCATTCTTGAATTGTTTTCAATATGATTTCTGTAAGAGTATTTTTTATCTACTTGTGTATCTTTACCATATAAGAATTGAAGATTAGTGTGGACAGTTAGATGTACTTTTCTGGGCTCAGGAGTATTATACACGAGAGTGCAACTCTTACTGCTGGATAAGTGGGGCACTGTTGTTTCAGGCTTCCACTACTGCATCAAATACAACTTCCTGTTTCATATCTTATCAGTTATTTCTATTGTCCTTACTGTAATTATCCAAGACAGACTCTCGTATAAATGCTTTGTCTTCATCTGCGTATTATCAAGCATATTTATAATCGCCTTTGAAATGATTTTGAATTCCATGAAAATGCAGTAGTGGGAAATTTCACATCCCCTTTCCAGTAAGAGATCTTGGATACATACACTTTATGAGTAACTGGTGGTCAGCTGTGATTCTAGAGATAAAGTATTGATATGTTTCTAGACCTCTGAATTTGAGACTAATTAAAAAGTCCAAAATCAATTTGAATGTAGATTGCGCTGAAGTGAGTGTCATTTCTTGTCTGGTCATGTAAGCATCATAACCCTGCTGATTAGTGAAGATCAGGTTGAGACTGCAGCTGTCTCTGACAATGTGATGTTTTTACTTGCAATACTTGCTAGTCTGTTTATGAACACTCTTCAACTGATATACTCATGCCTAGGTTAAGAATGTATGTCAAGTGACATAACTGCTGACTACCAGTTTGAATAGAATAATTTTGAATTTATGTAGTTGATAAATTCATTTCTTTTCTGTTTGATTTTGTCTTGGGAATGCTTCTGAGAATTTGTACCTAAAAGAGTTTATTTCTGAAAGGGTCCAGTTTAAGTTTTATTTCCTCCAGTTTTACAACAGGTTTAACTTTACATTTATTTTTTTTTCTGAGTTGTAAGAAAAATGAAATTTTATGTTGCTTTACTTTTTTTGTGAGTAAATTTCTTTTAGCAATGTTTTTTACTTTTCTCTAGCATGAATAAGCCAATAATTATACTTTCCTAAAGCAACTTGCTGCCCTTATACACTCTATGATTCTGTTGTTGGCACACTTGTTTTTTCTAGTCTCTTGCATGCAGAATTTTAGATTTTTACAGTATAAAATTATAGGCAAGTAGCCAGCTGTCACATTCTTGAGGTCAGATACAACTACCATATATGAGATACACTGTTTTGGCTTCATACTACTTGCCAGATTGCTAAGCAGATGTTCTAGGCTATAATTCAGGAAACTGGGACCTCTTGAAACATTCCCTGAGAGTCGCTTTTGACATCTCTGAATCATTTATTTAAAGGTAATTAGTTCTAGTAAAAATGAAAATGCATTGATATGAAAAGAACAGAATTATTTTACAGTGTTTGGGAGTTGTAACCATGATTAGAAATTTGATTCTGGATATGTATCTAATGGTGGAAAAGTATTTAACATAGGAATACATTACAATTAAGCATTTTCCTACCTTTTGTTTTTTTTAATTTGAAGACTAATATCAAAAAAAGTACTTTTTTTTTTGTAGACTTTAACAGTTACCAGTTGACTTCGTGGTACATTGAAGTATTTAACAGACTTTCCAATTTAATACAGAAAATATGTTAAAGAAGGCTGTAAGAGTATTATTTCTTCTCTAATATATGTGCACGTGCTGGTACTTTTCCCATATAGCCCATCAACAGTTTTTATTGGTAGTGTATTTTTTGATAATTAATACAAAACTCCCTTATCTAAATTTGGAACCTTCATAAAATACTATTCTAAATCTGTAGTTTTCTTGTCCTATTATTAAAATGTCAGTGGCACAAAAGAGAAAAATTTTAACTAGATTACCTAACTCTTACGATCTAATTTAAAGTAGATTACTTAACTCTTACGATCTAAAAGCTGGGGAAAACTTTTTAAAAATAAGTCTGTTATGATGTGTTCATATAGATCTCTTTGCCTGTGCTTAGATAAAAAAGGAGCCACATAACTTGTGTTTATATCAGTTGTGTTTCATTTGTAATAAGCATTGTGCTTTGCAGAGAAGTGCTTTACACAAAACAGTATAAGATTCAATATCTTGTTATTTGGAAAATTTTTAGGCTACCATATTTTAAGGAAGGTGAGAGTAAGTAGTAGGAATAAACATCTAAATCTCATTTATATTTGCCTATGGATGAATTTGAATTTAAAGTTAACATTGGTCCGTTAGACATTCAGGGTACTCATAACAAATACTTCAATCAAACTAATGAAATCTCAGTGTGAAAATCGAACTCTAAAACTGCCTCGGTTCTTTCTCAATTCTTTTATTTTTCCCATTTCATATTTTGGATGAATAGCATTGCAATGAGATTGGTACAAAAGACCAACCTCAGCAGTTCTTCCTGAGTTGTAGAGAAGTAATCAAAGATGTTAGCTTACAAAAGTTATCCTAGTTTCTAATCCTAAGTGGATATATAACCTTAACTTTCCATAACTTCCAGTTCCTGCTGGACTAAAAGTTGTATTCCAAATATGAAAAAAAAAAAGGAATTGGTAATGTTGATTTTAGAATTGAAACTGAAGCTGAGCTACGATGTCTACAGACAGAAAATTAATGATTTTTATAGATAAGCCCTTATTTGGATATTTGATAATTGGATATCAGTAATCTGTCTCCCTCTTCTCTTCTTTTTTTCTTCCCTTTTCTCTCCCTCTCCCCTCCTCTTTTTTACATGTATATACTCATAAATTAGCAAGTCATAATACTAGGGTATCAAATTACTGCAGTTTGTCAATTCTCTAATAAGATGCACATTTTCTTAATATTTTAACACCTCAAATTGGATTCAGCTGTCTTTTCTCCACCTAAATTCGGAACCAATTGAGAGAACAAGAGTCAGATGATAAAGATCAATGTGTCATCTTTATTACTAGTAAATAATAGATTGGAAAATAGGTCTGATGTATCAGTTAGCCCATTTGACTGCTGATGCATCTCCACAGAGAGCAAGACCTATAAGCAAGCCTCACCATATGAAGTTTACGGTACTGAGGAGCAGAGAAGAATATGTACTTTTTATGGCTGTCCGGGGTGAGGGAGGAGGAGCAAGAGGCTTAGCCACAAACAGCAGTTCATCAATCACATGGGTCATCCCTATGCTGGGGAAGAATGAGCAAGGTTAGAATCATTAGTCCACATGGAGACTAGCTGAGGGAGGTTAAATGTTTCCTCCTAAAACAGTGAAGCTACAGTCTATAATCCAGATCTCACTCCAAAGCCAAGCCCTTTCCTAGTTCTTTTTCCAAATTTTCCTAATTCACCAGGCACGCTTTAAAATACAGAATCTCAGACTCTTCACTAAGAGCATACTCCTTTTTGTATTTTCTCCTTTCTGTCTTTGAGCTCTTTTTTGCCTCATATTTCTACTTACATATTTACTTGCTGCCAACACTTCCTGGTTCCTCTTAGTTTATTTGTTTCTTAGAGAGGATTTTTTTTTTTTTTCTGGCACATTCCAAGCAGTTTTTTCATTTTGGGATGAGCCTTTTTCTCTCAATGACCTAAATTCCAACACAGTTGAATCTCCTGCATCATTTTCTTCCTCTGTCTTTGCTTACATCCTATTCAGTTCTCTTGAGATGAGTTTGACCTCAGTGTTTTCTTTATATGTCACCTCCTACATTTATTCTGCAGTATAGTTTCTCTCCTGGCCAATCATGGCCCTGCTTGGGCTAATAGAATTCACTTGCATTAGAAACTTGTTAGTACTAAAAAAAAAAAAAAAATCTTCTTTCAAATCACATGGTATTAACGTCCTCATTTGGTCCACATATCCTGCCTTAGGATTGATTTCTTTCTTGGAGAATTAGCATTCAAGAAACCCACATTTGCATTTTATCGCATCCACCATAGCTCATCTGGAGTGGAACTATCATTCCATGGTGAATTTTGCAGAAAAAGAGTTTTACTACATGAGGCATCTAGATAAATGCACAAGAATGAGGGTGAAAGGACATATTCTTTTTCATTTCCTTCAGAATGAAAACTAAAGTATGCCACATTTGCCAGTGTATAAGGCATATTAAAATTATACTTAAGAATTGGAAATATAGGCCGGGCACGGTGGCTCATGCCTATAATCCCAGCACTTTGGGAGGCCGAGGCGGGCAGATCACCTGAGGTCAGGAGTTCGAGACCAGCCTGACCAACATGGAGAAACCCATCTCTACTGAAAAAAAAATACAAAATTAGCTGGGCATGGTGGCACATGCCTGTAATCCCAGCTACTCGGGAGACTGAGGCAGGAGAATCACTTGAAACCGGGAGGCAGAGGTTGCGGTGAGCCGAGATCGCGCCATTGTACTCCAGCCTGGGCAACAAGAGCAAAACTCTGTCTCAAAAAAAAAAAAAGAATTGGAA
Source organism: Homo sapiens (assembly GCF_000001405.40). Lineage (NCBI taxonomy): Eukaryota > Metazoa > Chordata > Mammalia > Primates > Hominidae > Homo > Homo sapiens. Next base: position 93,926,124 of record NC_000005.10, on the reverse strand, counting down.
ATATAGTAGTATCTGAGGCAAGAAAAAATTATTCCCCATTCATATCATAGAGTACACAGGCCTAGCCTAGCAAATGGATGATATCTTCAATGTATTGCATTTGGTATTTTTGTACTGTGATTTAAATCTTAATATTGTAAAGGTACACTTATTGATAAATTTGGTGGCTCCACTCAGATCAAAACTGATTGTTTAACAGAATGGAGGAAAGTAAAGATACCTGGGAAATGAGAAAAGCTGCCCTTTAGTAGTGAAGCCCCTCATTAGTGAAATAGACCTCTTCCTCAAATTTTACTTTGTCTTGATTTGAGATTTTTTTCTTATTAACTGCGTCAGAGATAGGATTTTCTTCTTAGGTGGTAAGATATGTTGAGCTTTTTCAACATATCTCCCCATGGATAAGGGGGATAAGTAGTCCTCCCCTTATCCCTGTTTTTGCTTTCCATGGTTTCAGTTACCTGTCATCGACCATAGTCCAAAAATACCAGGTTGAAAATTCCAGAAATAATCAGAAGTTTTACATTGCACACCTTTCTGAGTATTATGAGGAAATCTTGTGCCATCCTACTTTGTTTTACTCAGGATATGAATCATCCCTTTGTCCCACATACCCAGGACCCTAAGCTAATCTGTCTTAGCATGTCATGGAGAGTGTGAACACATTATGTAAGACACTAATACTGGGCAAATAATGGGCTTTCTTCTCTGCCCAATCAAATGATTCATTCTGACATGTTTTGTTTACCACAACTTTAATTTGGGTAGTTTAAATAAAAGTGTAAGTTTCTCATTCTCAAGAATCTTTAAGACAGTTTCTTAACTATCATAGTCTCGTACAATGCTGTGTGTAAATGACATATTAAGGAAGAAGTGGCAAATTACTAGGTCATGTAGGGTTTTCTTAATATTAGATGTTTTCTTTGATGTAATTGTTCGTCATCATTCTTATAACCAATAGATACAAAATTAATAGATTAAGACATTACATTTTATAACAATTTAAACTGTATTATTCTATGGGGGGAAATGCTAAGTGTTCTTTTTTTTAATGACCATACCTTTTGAAAATTTTGAAAATTTTCAGTTATTGCTAATGTAAGATTGATCACCTTAATGAGGTGGTAGTTAGTCAGGAGAAACATTCAGAGCGATTTTACATTTGACAGTATCCAAGGTCTACATTTATTTTATACTCCTTGAGAGCACAGAATAGAGTCTGTGCATGAGTGATGATTAAGTTATTTCTTTCAGTAAGCTAAAGTGGACTAAGAAAAAGCAGAGGTCTTCTCAGAAGCCTATATTATGTAATACTTTAACAATGTTGCATGCCCAGCTATTTTTGAATTACATATTCCCTCCCCCTGACCCTCCAGCTAAATCCTCCGGGTAGTTACTGAACAAGTCATTCAACACTTTAGAGTTTTGTGGATCTACTCTTATTTGTTTCTTATTTGCTGTTTGTTTCCTATTCACTACTTGGTTCTCCTGGCTCTTGGTTTTCTTTCTCTATATCTTCTGCCATCCTGAAAACATTTGTTGGTAATATATATTGGCAAATGAGACAATTATTGGTTATGGGATACCCTAGCTCTTTTGGTGATATTAAGAGCTTTTTCAGTGGTTACAAATTGGCACTCTCTCTGCCATTCTCTGTCTTACAAGTAGGAATCCAAATGACCCATATACCAGTCTTCATTAAGAATATTCACTTCCATTTATCTGGTTATCCATTCAGTATACATTTCCTGAGGGATTGCAGGAAGCAGTGGCATATGGTAGTTAAAACTTGGGCATTAAATCATGGATTTAATACCAGTTTCTGTATGAAACATGCCAGTTATTTAACCTTTTTTTCTTTTGCTTCCTTGCTCCCTTCTTCACACCCTTTTGTTTTTTCACTTTTTCCCTTAAGGGTTTGTTAGTGGTTTCAAAAATGATCTATGAAAGCATGTTAATTTTTCATCGTGTAGCTACAAGTAGAATAATCGAGGTTCTCTGAAGACCTCACCTCATGTCCAGTCTATCTTCATAGTGTTCTATCTAGTTTTGTGCTTTCAAATATAATTTGAAGGCTTAATTATATAATTAAGCCTCCTAGAAAACACAAATTGGATAATGTCCCTTCATTGCTCAAAAACTTTCCACTCTTCTTTCTCTGTCCCTCTCTTCCCATTTTATTAACCACTGGCATATAAGTTTCTGTATGTCTTCTTTTGGATACATATTATATATATGAACTTCTATAACATGTTTCACTTAAAGGGTGTGCATCCCTTCATTCCAGTAGAGTATTCTTTCTTTGGTATGTTTGTTTTTGAGACAAGGTCTCACTCTCTTGCCCAGGCTGAAATGCAGTGGTGTGATCATAGCCCATTGTAACCTTGAACTCCTGGGCTCAAGCAATCCTCCCACCTCAGCTCCTGAGTAGCTGAGACCACTTGTATCCAACACCACGCCTGGCTGATTTTTTAATTTGTAGTAGAGATGAAGTCTCACTTTGTTGTCCAGGTTGGTCTTGAGCTCCTGAGCTCAAACAGTGCCTCTCAGAGTTCTGTGATTACAGGCATGAGCCACTGCGCCCAGCCATATAACTGTGTTATTTATTTACTTATTTTTCCCTTTTAAAAAGTTATTTGGAAAATGCTGAAAAACACAAAAAGAAAAATTACCCACAATTCCTGCAGTTGAAAAAATAATAAAAAAATACAGTTGACTCTTTAAAAATGCAGGAGTTAAGGGGTTATATGCAGATATTCAACTGCTCTGCAAAGTTGGAAATCTGCATATAACTTTTGACTCCCCCCAAATTTACTAGTAGCCTGCTGTTTTCCAGAATCCTTACTGATAACGTAAACAGTTGATTCACACGTTTTGTATAGTATTATATACTGTATTTTATAATAAATAAGTCATGGAAAAGAAAATGTTATTAGGAAAATCATAAGGAAGAAAATATAAATTGACTGATCTACTTTAAGTGGAAATGGATCATCATAAAGGTCTTAATCCTTGTCTTCATGTTGAATAGGCTGAGGAGGAGAAAGAGGAGGGCTTGGTCTTGCTGTCTCAGTGGTGGCAGAGGCAAAAGAGGTGCAGGAGATAGAAAGGAAGCCAGACGAGGCAGTATATTTCTTGTAACTTTGTGGAAATACATGGTAATTTCTGACTTTTTTGCTTTTTAATTTCTCTAAAAATGTTTCTATACGGTACCAATTCTTTTTCTACCATTTGGTTTAATTTCAGTGCCCATATCATTGAAGGATCCATGTCATAAAAGAAGTCAAAAACCAGTCTTGAATAATTGGAAAGCTTCCGCCACGTTGTCTAATGTCAACTTATTTTCTGGCACTGTATCTTCTATGTCTTTTTCCTTATCGTCTGGCACTGGTTTGGAAACATTCATCTCCCAAGTTGGTTGTTTCTTTCCTTCCTCCCTCCCTCCCTCCCTCCCTCCCTCCCTTCCTCCCTCCCTCCCTCCCTCCCTTTCTTTCTTTTCCCCTCCCCTCCCCTCCCCTCCCTTCCCCTCCCCTCCCCTTCCCTTCCCTTCGTTCTTTCCTTCTTTCCTGGGATTACAGGCACCCGCCATCACGCCTGGCTAATTTTTAAAAAAATATTTTTAGTAGAGATGGGGTTTCACCATGTTGGCCAGTCTGGTTTCGAACTCCTGACCTCAAGTGATCTGCCTGCCTCGGCCTCCCAAAGTGCTAGGATTATAGGCATGCGCCACCACACCTGGCACCAAGTTGTTTTCTGTTGATTCTTCTGGTGTAGTGTCTATTAGCTCTTGAATATCCCAAGATCCTTATCTTGAAACCCTTCACTGCCTCTTCAATTTTTTTCCCCCATATCCACAATCTCCTTTATTATTTCCCTAATTATTCTTTCATGAGTCCTGTGAAGTTATGCACAACATCTGGACACAGGTTTCTCCAGCAGGAATTCATTGCTTCAGGCTTGATGGCTTTCATGGCTTTTTCTGTAACAATGATGGCATCTTCATTGGTGTAATCTTTCCAGAAATTCATAATCTTTCATCAGGGTTCTCTTCTATGGCATTGACAATGCTTTCTATAAAGTACCATGTGTAATTATCTTTAAAAGTCCTTATGAACCCCTATCTAGAGACTGAATTAGAGATGTTTTATTTGGGGGCAAGTAGACCACCTCGACATCTTCAGTGTTGAACTCTTGGGGGTCTGGATGGCTAGGGATATTGTCCGATAACAAAGGAACTTTCAAAGGCAGTCCCTTACTAGCAAGGTACTTTCTGACTTAAGGGACAAAGCATTGATGGAACCAATCTGGAAAAAGTGTTTTCATTTTCCAGGACTTCTTGTTGTACAACCAAAAAACAGGCGGCTGGTGTTTATCTTTTTCCTTCAACGATTAGCAGCTTTATAGATGAGAACAGTCCTGATCATAAACCTGAATGCATGTGCACAAAACAGTAGAGTTAGCCTATGCCTTCCTGCCTTAAATTCTGGTGCTCACTTCTCTTCCTTACTAATAAATGTCTTTTGTGGCATTTTTTTTTTCCAGAATTGGGCACTTTTGTCTGCATTAAAAAACCAGTTTAGGCAGATATCCTTTCTTCTCAATGATTTTCTTAATGGCGTCTGAGAACATGTCCGTTGCCTCTTGGTTGGCAGAAGTTGCTTCTCCTCTTATCTTGACATTTCTAAAGCCAGACCTCTTTCTAAAATTATCAAACCACTCTTTACTGGCACTAAATTCTCCAGCTTTAGATCCTTCACCTTCCTTTAAGTTTCCATGTAATGACTTTGCCTTTTCTCAAATCATATAAGAATCTATAGGTATGTCTTTCTTATAGCAATCCTGCAGTCACATAAAAGCTGCATTTTCAATATGAGATGAAAAGGAATTTTGCAAACAGTGAAGGGCTTTGCACCTGCTGGCACAGCTGTAGCTACAGCTTCACGAATTTCCTTTTTTTTTTTTTTTTTTTTAACATGGTCTTTACACTGAACTCATTTATCTTGAAATGGCGGGCAACCACAACTGCAGCCCTCAATGTATGGTATATATCAAGCAATTTAACTTTTTCTTGTAATGTCATGACTTTTTTTTGCTTCTTGGGAGCACTTCCAGCATCACTAGTGGCACTTCATGAGTCTCATGGTGTTATTCAGAGTTTCCGGTATTACACTAAACACAATGAAAAATATGCAAGAACAGTGAGAAATCACTTTTTACTGGGATATGCAATTTACTGAAGAGACAACTGCTCGCACAGATTAGTATTACATGACATTTTAAGGGGACATTCACAACACTTGAGCACACAATAGCAAAGGAGATGGCTACGAAATTATTACAGCACTGCAGTATGAACTGCAGTGAATTTTATGCAGTTACGATTTTATACTGCATCTTTACATTTGTTTACATTTCTCTCAACTGTGAATGGTACCATGTATGGTGTGTAAGTGCTTGTGTGCATAAGTTTTGATAAATTTTAATTTTCTATAATATATTTGTGAATATTATATGGTATTAAATGATCAAATAGACTGGTATCTACATATATTTTATGCATTCATGACATGCCTAACTTCTTAATTTTTTTGATGTTTCTAGGCCATGCAATTCATCTGTAAGTTTTCTGAAATTGTCACAAGTCCCCCCAAATTTTTTGAATATATTTATTCAAAATATTCTGCATATAAGTGGACCCACACAGTTCAAACCCATATTGTTCAAGGGTCAATGGTATGTTTATCTTATTCTGTCACACAAAATTATGGTCTGTGTTAACACTGCTAAACCTGTGTCCTCATCTGAAAAGGGAAGATGGCAGCAGTATGAGCTCTATGGCTCGTTATGAAGTTATGTGAAATAATCCATGTAAATATTTTAAGACACACCTGGCACAGAGTCAGCACTTAGTCTTTATTATTACTCTAACTACGCAAACAATGTGCCAGTACCTATGATCCAGGCACGAGCCCTAAAGCTATAGTATATAGTGGTTTATACTACTGTGTACTATAGTGGTTTATTTTATTCTTCAATAAAACAACAGAGAATCCTGTGGATTTTTAATTTTAATTGACCTGATGTATTACAGATCGTATACTATAATTCCTATATAGAAATATATTTTTTTCTATAGAGTCTCAAGAAAAAAATAAAGCAAATGTACACTTTATGGAGATTTAGGTGTGTGAAAAATAAGCTCATAATCAATTTGTGAAAACATTCAATACAAGCCTTGTACCTTTGTCTAGAAAAGAGTTGTCTAAGTAAGGATGTTTCATTAAACTTTTATTCAACTTTCTAAAATAAAGTTCATTTGAAAGAGACATGAGTTTTTACTTTCCCCCTCCCACTTGCTTATAGTAAAAAGGAGGAAAAGGATGAGAAGTATTTATATATGTCATCTTTATATTCCAGCAGTTTGAGATACCTAATAGAAATTGGAGTGCTCTGAGCTGGGTAAATTCAAAAAGATTGGCGAAGACTAGAAATTATACTAATGTTCAAATTAATAACCTAAACTTACAAAGCTAACGACCATTTGGGCTATAAATGATTGCCAATCACAATTGCCTAAGATATGTTACCGTGCTCTCCAATTTTCATCTTAAGAATTACAATTCCCTTCATGGTCTATGTACCTTATTCTACAATGAAATAAAACTTATATTACCACTTTATACAATCAAAAAAATCTTTGCTAATCTACTTTACCAAAATATTCTAAAATAATACACTATTTAAAAAATTGATTCTTCTCTCTTCTAGAAACTTGACAGTAAATTTAATTAAATAAATTATTTTTAGTGTCATTTACAGGTAAGTCAAATTATTAAAGAGATAATTACCAAATCTTTATAAAAGTTTTGAAATCTTTATATAAATATATAAAAATATATTAGACCCTAAGTTCAAGTCCTCCTTTCTTATCCCAACAATATATGTGATTGAATTCGTACACAGTTGAAGTAAATTTATATCTAAAACATTGCTGCTTCCCCAGACTTTGTTTTCTCCCTAACTTTGCTGACACTGGAATTACCTGTGGAATCTTTGAAAAATGCTAATGCCTGATACCTACCACCAAACACTGAGATTAAATTTGGAGTGCTTAATGTTTTACGGGTGATTGTAATGTACATCAGAGTTTGGGAACCACTGCCCACTGTTCAAGTTTCACTTTTGACTAATTACATCAGAATTTCTGGGGGAAGGGAGCTGACGAGGGAATAAGTGTATTTTAAAGCATCCCAGGTGATGGCAATGTGCAGCCAAGGTTAAGAATCACTGTTTCATAGAATCAGGGAAGAAGTCAGAGAAATTGGGAAAGAAAATAAACTTTAGTACTTAGTGACCAAATACAGGAAGCAATACGGGACTCTGAGAACACAGAGTTTGAAATTTGGGGCTAGGCGCAGTGGCTCATGCCTGTAATCCCAGCATTTTGGGAGGCCGAGACGGGCAGATCGCCCAAGGTCAGGAGTTTGAAGCCAGCCTGGCCAACATGGTGAAAACCCATATCTACTAAAAATACAAAAATTAGCTGGGCATGATGGCGGGTGCTTGTAATCCCAGCTACTCGGGAGGCTGAGGCAGGAGAATCACTTGAACCCGGGAGGCAGAGGTTACAGTGAGCTGAGATCTCACCATTGCACGACAGAGCAAGACTCCATCTCAAAAAAAAAAAAAAAAAAAAAGAAATTTGGAAGTAACCTAATATTTAGTCTTTCCCACTTACTTTATGAATGTAAAGTTAAGTTACTTCTTCATGTCCTACATCTAATAAGTGGACATCACTTCTTCCCACACATGTGTTTACACATGCGTATACACAATTTCTCCCCACTACTTCCTTTCTGTAATTGTAATATTTTTTGTTGGACAAGAGCAGGACACTTGTACTATCACTGACAAAAGTTGGAAAGGTAGATTATTGTATTGAGTATACACTGGTGAGTTTAGTTGTTGATTGGTTCAGTTTGAGAAAACAGGTATTTAAAAAGGAGATTATTTTTATATAAACTTAGGAATAAAGAAATGGTATTCAGGTATGAAATTAGGACCACATTGAGAGTCATTAACAAAAAGGGACAAGTTAAAACTATAAATGTGGCTTAAGAAAGAATAGAGGACATCAGAGGGTTGAGGGCTGAGTCTTGAAAAGCAACCACATTTTGGGGCTGGTACAGGGAAATGGGACAAGGAAATACATTATAAATGTTGAAAGAACCACTGTTTTGTTTTGTTTCTGAGACAGGGTTTGACTCTGTTATTCAGGCTTGAGTGCAGTGGTGCAATCACAGCCCACTGCTACCTCAAACATTTCGGTGAAGGGTATCCTCCCTCCCCATTCCCCCAGTAGCTGGGACTACAGGTGAGTGCTGCCATGTGTGGCTAATTTTTTTAATTTTTTGTAGAGATGAGGTCTTATTTTGTTTCCCAGGCTGGTCTCGAACTCCTGGACTCAAGCAATCCTCCCGCCTTTGCCTTCCAAAGTGCTGGGATTACAGGTGTGAACCACTGCACCTGGCCCACTGTTTTTTATGTTGCAGGAAAGAACAATATAATTTTTTTTTCTTTGCAGTAATGACACAGAGTATACATAACAATCATGCAAACATTTGATGATTGAATAAATGAAGCAAAACATTATATGAGGTGTTTTTATTTTTTGAAGAAAAAGAACTGGAGTACAAGAAAACACACTGGATTTGGGATAAATTGATCTGGCTTCTAGTTTCTCCTTTGTCTCCTACTAGCTATGTGAATTGTGATAAATAACTTGATCTTCCTGAATCCATTTTCTCATTTGTAAAATGGGGATAATGCCCCTTTACAGAGTTAGTCAGAGGGTTAAATGAGATGAACTGTACTGCACTGTAGCAATATCATCAACATTATTAGTGGGGAATTCAGTAGGGGTTAAAATTTGGAGTTAGACCAAACCCAAGTTCAAATGCTAGCCCTAGCCACTGTGCCCTAGAGCTGGTTACTTAACTTCTCTGAGGTGTATTAGGAAATGAAGATAATACGCATACATTTGTCATTATTTTGTTGAGATTAATGAGGATTAAATGAGATACTATAAGAAGGGAAAGAATATGTTTGTAAGCTGCAGTTATTTATTCATGTTACAAATGGAATAGTCCAAATGCTTATGGCTCTATTTTCTTTTTATGATAACATCCCCATGCTTTCTTTTCCTCTTTATACTTTTCTTTGTAAAATTTCATTTGCTGCTACCTGTCCTTGTTATTACCTGTATCTATCTTGGAAGACCTCTGCCATGAATATTTCGAAAAGTGAAGGCTTTCCTTGAATTTAATGTTCCTTTAGGATCTGCTCAGAGTAGAGAGTTCATACAAAGCACCCATTGTATGGAATGTTTCCTCTAGTTTGCTGTTACTAACTGAGGTCAGGAAAGTACATAGTTTAGGGGGTTCTGAGGGAAGGGGGCTAATAATTTACATAAGCTATCTAATGCTCAGAGCTGGAAGAAGCCAAGACAGAGACTCTCGAAATTACAAACTGATGGAACAAAATGTGACTATTAATGCTGACCCAATATGTATTTCTACTTTTGCCTCACACCACACTTGAAATAGGTCATATTTTTAAAGCATAAATGCCATCAGTTGAAAATACTATTTAAATTGTCTTATTAAACTTGGTAGAGCATAGATAATACATAATATTAGTCACTGTTTTAATACATTGTAAATATACATTTCATACTTTAAATTTAAATGTATGCTTGATGATAGCAGCTTTGCTTTTTATTTGGCATAAAACTAAATGCCAAAATGCATTTAAATAGTAATTCTTAGTTTCTGTTTCTCACTTAGTTATTGCCCTGATAAAATTCTTCGGGTTGACAGTTTGCTTCTGTCTGTTTTTCATGCTTATGTGCTATCAGTTTTTCTCACAATTCACAATGATAGAAGGAGAGTGTGTTTATATAATAACATTTAATGCTCTTACTTGCAAGAGCGAATTAAATTATTTTTAATGATATATGTCATTACCTATAGTGAAGACTGATGAAACGTTTCTTTTCTGCAAAATAGGGATAACACCCATACTTCAGCTTTACTGTGATATGGAAAGCATCCAGCTCAACATCCTGTACTTGGAAACCTTGAATACATTGAGAATACTGGTAAAGAGATATGTGTATTGGAAACAAATATTAAATGAAAATATAATCCAGCCATGGTAGAACTCTTTCTCATCACACTAGCTTTCCTAATCTTTCTTCTGGAATGCTTCTATATAGAATCCTTTTATGATCTTGCTACCCAACATGAAGTATCTTTCTTCCATATCATCTTCATTCTCTTTTAAAGTCCATACTTGGCAAACCTAATATACACGTATTAATTGAGGATTTGAGGGAGGGAGTAGAGAGTTAATAAAATCATAAAGATAGCTCATTCTTCAAGATGATAACCATTGCCTATATTAGTGGTTCTCAGATATTTGGGTTTCATATGTTTGTGTGAAAGTTATTATATTATCTTCAGTTTTATTTCATTTCTTCATGATCCATGACAACTTCTTTTAAGTTTTATGAACCTGTGTTTTGGACCCAGTTAACCACATCTTTGTGATTATCTGCTTCAACCAAGAATTTGATCATGAATAGATGAATTATATGATGAAATAAAAGTCTTTGTTCAGCATAGAGTAAAACCTTGATTATCTGGTATGCTCTAGGATCCTATACTGCATTATTCTCAGAAGTAAGTGAAAGCAAGGGCACAGAATACCTGTTTATGCCTGTAGTTAGAAAAATGCAACTTGTCTTTGATGGTCTTTACTAGAAATATTTTTGAGTCCACAAGATGGCAGTATTACCTCATAAAGGTAAACAAGCCAATGAAGAGCCCAATTGCTTGGTTTGCCAGTACAAATAAAGGAAACTTTGAATGCAACTGAAAAACTTGTGGTCATTGATAGAGTGTGGAAGACAGTGTAATGGATGATAGCAGAACACCAAAGTAGAAAGTTACTAATTCTGTAAACGATTTAGTAAAAAGAGTAACCATGTCATGTGATACGGAATCTTTCTACTTTTTTCCTCTACCTTTTACATTTATGGGAAAGAGGTGAATATCAAGAAAACAAATTTCATAAGGATCCCTTGGCCTCTACCATATTCAGTCTAGTATTTCGTTCCATTCACGTTTATAGCATAAAAATAATGGGTTAATTACTCAATGTTCGGTAATGATGACCCTGATTATCGAAGCAGCATTATATGAGGGAGGGTAACACGTTGTAGGAAAGATTTTCACGAGTTCTTCTGAACAACCCTCAGTTATTCACAAGTTATTCTTAATAACCCTCAGTTATTCAGAATACCACCTGCTCTGCTGTATCAATGAGTTTTTATACAGATCTAGATTAGGTAAAAAATTATGAAATTTATTTTATTCCGGATTTGGGATATAAATTAATTTAGTATTTTACAGATAAAAGGAGTTATGATTTCTTATTCTGCTTCTATGTATTTCTGATAAGATACTGTATCTTATTCTAATAGTTTAATTATTTAAGTGCTTTACTTAGACCATCCAAATGTAATTTTCAGATAAATTAAGTAATTTCAAATTCAGTCTTTGTTCACTCTCTCACTATTTAATCAAGCACTCACAAAAACAATTTATTTTGAATAAGATAGTACTATTTTGGATGCCATATTTCACATTTTAACTGCATATAACTTAAGAAATATTAATTCTCACTGACACTTTCAACATTGTTAAACTTTATAAACATTTACATTACAGCATAGATTACTATAACTTAAGGGAAAATTTAGAATCTTATTTTCCAGTTTTCCTATTCACCTCACAACATTATTTTCATATGGAGTACTCATAGCTCTATATTAGCCATGGTTACAGAATTCAAAGTGTTACTAACAAGGAAAATCTACAGATTCCCAAACCCTCCTTGATCATTATTTATGCCTTTTAAGACAGCTAATAAGATGTAGCAGATTTTTCAGAGTTTAGTTTGTCTACTGTGACTTTCTTTGTTCACTATCTTGAGTAGGAAGAGTAGTCTAAATCTGCGGGATTGTAATAGGAATCTTCCATGGAAGGATGTTCTAGGTCACAGAAAGGAGAATATTTTATCTAGACTGATCTTGAGGGTGTAGTTTGATATTTCACACTCTAAAACCAAGCTCTGTCTATTGTATTATTAATTAAACTCATTTTGCATTAAATTGGTGTGATTAAAATTATTCAATGTTATAATAGTTTAATCACTATAATAATTTCAAGGAATATTCTTTCACATTTAGCTTTAGCATAAAATTTGTAGAAGTTTATATTGGACCAGCAACCATAAATTTTAGTTTGTTACATAGGCTTAAAAGTGAATATTAAAAAACTGATATAAACTAACCCAAAGAAAATTACTTAAACACAAAAGTTGTCTGGGAATTTTATTATGCCATCTTAGTCTGCTATTTGAGAGTTCTGAACTTAGGATATGGTTAGTGCTCAAATAATCTAGACTTTTTTTTATCCTTTTCTAAGGAAGTAAGCAATAGGACAGCAAAACTGACTGGAAATCAGTTTTTCATTCGGCTCATGCTCCAAGCTGTTCTCTTGTATAGATGCTATCGTTATTGGCTCTAGTATCCGAGGAGGACAAAGTAATGAAGGAAAGTGACAAGGTCATAGAGGTAGAAAAGGGGACGCTTGCAAGAATAGAGAAGTAGGAGGTTATATGAGTCTTAGCTGAACATGACCCCTTGCTCCCTGTCCTTGATGCTGATAGTTCTGTGAAGACAGTTCACAGCACTGGGAGAGTAAGAGCATCAAAACTGACTTTTCTCCTGGCCGACAGAAAATCTTGTTGATTAGTTTAAACACAGAAGGAGGCTTTTCCAGCCCCTTTGACTATAGAAACTCTACATATGGGACCCTTTTAGGAAGATTAAGTGTGGGGAATCAGAGCAATATGCCACATCTGCTCTCACCAGCCTTAGAATTAGGGCAAGGACTTAGCACCAGAAGTACAGAGAAAAAGGAGACTATGGGGAAAATAATAAACGTAAAGATGTTATTGAAAAGAATAACCTAAAAGCAAACTCCAGAGGGAGAAGAAATTATCTCTGAAAGAACTTTGATACAGTTAGTTATGACAGTTGTTTATTAACTTAAATTTTCCAAAGTAATATGTATGCTAAATTTTTTTTTAAAAAAATGGTCTTCCTTTACATGAAAAATAAATGCATAGAAGATCTTAGAGGTGTGGCAGATTACCTTTGGAAAACACAGCTATATTCTAAGATGTTGTGTTCAGTAAGGAATATGAAGAAGAAAAAGAAATATGAAGAATTATTTGCTTGTCTTTATTCTTGTGAGGCACTTGAAAGTATACTATGAAATTTTAAATTTTTTAGCAAGTATGGTATTTGGGCAATAAAATGCATTTAATATTTCTTAGAAAATATTTAGGATTTTTAAGTTTTTTTTGTTTATCATGGGAATATGCCTTTTTTGGGACCAAAATAAAATTTCCATAATTTTAATGTGTGATTTTACACTGTCAGGTTATAAATATGGTGTTTTTGAAGTGTTATTATATTTGCTTTGCAGAACTTTTTAGGTAAGTGGATGGAAACTAGCTATACAGTGGAGATTTAGATCATAATGAAATAAAAACTCAAAATGGACACGTTGAATCAGACAGAGGTTTAATATCTTTTAAAAGGGTTCAATCAGTTTTCAAAATCCAAATTACACTAATGACATAGCCTAGAAATACAAAGATATTCACAGTACTAAATACCTTTCATTTTGTGTTGGAACCTTATTCTGAACATTTTGGGAGCAAGCAAATTATGATAAAATATCAAAATTGATGAGTTTACTGCAGAGTGTGAAGAACCAGAGTAAATTAGAATTCTGCTCACTAAGTGCCTCAGAGCTTATTCCAACTGACTCATCAAATGAAAAATTCATCAATTAATCCTCTGACAATAACGATATATACACAAAAATCAATCTAGAATTGATTTTTTTAGTCTGAACATGAAAACTAAGCTCTGACTTATACATAATGTGAAATTTCTCTTCATTTCGACTTTATTATTGAGTATAACAGCTGAAGTGTTCATATAATTATTTGTTCTGTGTCAACTACAAAAGTGTGATTGTTTGAGAAAGAGTATATGTGCTGTGGAGATGTTCTGAAGCACAATCCGAGTGAGCTAATAAAGTTGTCAGATGCATGTAAGAATACAGCTGATAGGAATCCCTAGAAGGCAGCCAATAGAGAGGGACACTGATCACTAAGCCCTGATGGGAGACCACCCAGGACAGTTAACAGTGAGCTGAGTACTGAGGAAGATCAAAGAAAGAGAAGTGTAACATACAATCACTCAGATCTCAGACACGGATTAAAAAGAACATTGTAGGAGTGTGATTTCTATGAAATGTGTTTGTGTGTATGTGTGTGTGTGTGTGTGTGTGTGTGGTGACTAATGCCACAAACAACATGAACTGTAGAAAGGTGAACCTTTTCCTATTTTGTCTCATCTACTTGCTAGATATAAATGCTTTAGAATGCACTAAGCATTGAAATGATCTTCTTGCTTTAATTCAATAATTCTGTGTACTTCTTCATAGATTTCCAAAGAAGCCTTCTTTCAAGCTTTTTTCTAGTTGTTAAGTTTCTTTCTTCCATGTAACATATGTGAATATCTCAAGAGAATAATCCAAGACAAATATTAGTGGGTTTTGGTTTCGATTAAAGAAATCTTGACAAAATGTATTCCGATATATTACTACAAAGGAAAACAATCGCAAGGGTCTAATTGAAATTTACAGTATTCTGAGTCTTTTTACCTACAAATTTAGTGGTTTCAAAACCTATATTATTGCTGCTAGATTCTTAATTTCCATAATATAGATTCTACTTTGAATTTTTTCAGACTGTATTAGAAAGTTCTCTGTATTCCTAAAGAGAACTTAATATTGCTCTAAATGCTGTAAGTCAGCACACTGTAACAAAAAGAAACGTACTCTTCCAGTATACAGTAATGTTAAACAACAATGAGAGGATTCAGGGGAAATGTTAAGCTAGAGAACGCTGTCAGTATTACTTATCTTACATGTAGTAAATTTTGATGACTCTCTTCT
The DNA here is from genome assembly GCF_000001405.40 of Homo sapiens. Classification (NCBI taxonomy): domain Eukaryota; kingdom Metazoa; phylum Chordata; class Mammalia; order Primates; family Hominidae; genus Homo; species Homo sapiens. Next base: position 93,910,963 of record NC_000005.10, on the reverse strand, counting down.
GAATGTGAATTCTTGTAGGAAATGAACATTAAACTGTTTTTATGTTTTATAGATGTTCAAAAAAAAGCTGAATACATATGATTCTGAAGCTATTAGAATTTTTTCCCCTGTCACAATAGCAGTAAGAAAATTGCAATATAAATGTCTTCTTGAGTGCATAGCATATGAAATAATGTGTTTTTTCCCTGTAGTTTAAAATGTTAACTGTATTTTAGGTCTCATTCTTTGTATATGCCTTGACAATTATGATTGCTTGATTAAAGAAAGAGCTTTTGTGCTAGTTATGTGTCACAATACCACATATATTATATCTGAACAGTATTTATCATGTTCTATTTCGGATCAGGTCAGATATGTCTTGTGAAGAACTAAAGTAGTATAGTATGTATTGTTAAAATCTTTTGTTACTAAAATATTTATGGCATGTTTCTTGCTGTCTTTTTTAAGCAATGTGGAAAATGCTTATTTTACCTAAGTAGTTTACCCAATAAAATACTCTACATATTTGTTTAAAGCACCTTAAATAGTTTAGATTTTTTTCTGAACATTTTTAGAATCATACTGTAAAAGGACATATGTTACTGCATTTAAAAAAATGTTCATCTATACTTTTTTCAGCATTTTGGTCTTTATATTCTTTTGTATCAGATGTGTTTTTCAAGGCTTTAAGAAGATCATATAGTTATATAATTGCCCCCCCATGGAAATATACTTTATCAGAGAATAGGTAATAAAGAGTAATGTGTAAATAAGTATATCAGTACATGTAAGTTTATTTTCTGCCCTGTATGTCTACTACAAAGTTGTATTTTGTTTTGTCATTTAATTTTATTGTGATAAATATATAATAAATGAATGAAGTCAGTGATATATATATATATGGCTAGTATAGAATAGATGCACCTGTATTAGCAGACAGCTATGTCAATGTAGTTACAAATGTTTGAATATATTTAAAAGTAAGGAAGTTAGATTTTTTTATAATTCCTATAGTTAATACTTATTCTGTTTATGTGCAATCTTTTTCATCACAATAAATTTGTATAGCTAAGAATTAGTCATTTTGTTAATAATAGATAATTATCTTTCTCTGCAAAAATTTTTAAAACCCTCTTTAAGACTTAAAATATTGTTATATACAATTATATAATATCCAGTAGAAAAAGAATTACATTGGTTTTGTTCTTTATTCTATATTTTAATTTAAGTAGGGGGGCTTTCATATTTTCAACAAAAAAACTGAAAATTTTAATAGGAAAAGGAAACCTTAATTTTTTTCAAGAGGATTATTTTAGGCTTTTGAAAATAGTAAATTAGTTTTATATTATACCTCCTATAGTTTTTACTTACCAATTCTATTTTTAAATGTTAGACTATAACTAATTTATGGGCAGCAGGGGGCAGAGGTGATCATGGGGAAATAAAAAGGTTTGTTTTAGGATAGAGCATGAGAGCTTGATTTTAGGGAACATGAGTTTAATGCTCTGTAGATATAATACGTTTGTAGAGATCAATAACATTTTTTTTTCATTTTTCAAGATTGTCCATTTTTACCTTTGTTAATTCTGGTTCATTCATAAAATAAAAATAATTGACAAGTTAATCATACATCTCAATTCAATTTCATTTATTCAGCGGTGCTATTACTTAAGAGTTAACTGTTTTGTACATACTTTGACATTAATTATCTCTTAAAATTACTAACTGTTATTCTCCACTGAAGTGGCACATTAGGAAAGGGAAACTTATTCATATGTCCATTAAATATTTTCCATAGCAAATAACTTCTTGTGATATGTCATTAAGTAATGATTTTTCTTAATATTCAATTATTTTGCTATATAATTAAAATATATTTGAAAATTTATAGGTATACTTCTTATTCACAATTTCTCTATCAGTGTGGCTTTCTTTTATGAAGGCCTTTCAAAAAGCTTTTGTTATTTTGTCAGAAAAAAATTTCAGATTCTGAAGTTTGAAATGTAAGACGTCTCGTTCATTCTAGCAGCATTCTTAGAAGATAAATTCCCAACTTCTTCACTCCTAATTTCTTTATACAATAGCTCTTACATTTTTTTTAAACATGGAGGAAAGTTTGGTTTTTAGAAGGACAATTCTGTAAAGTTTGAAAATGATGCTTTTAAGTGAAATAACACCTCACATTCATTAGAATTCTCCTACTTTTGTTTTAATAATCTCTTTACCTAAAAATGGAATTTATTAGGTAACATACCCTCACCTTATTAGTTTTCAGTTGAAAGTAACCTTTGTAGAAATTGTAAAAAAAAACTTTATCATTACATTCTAATAGAATAGAGTGTAGTAAAGTTAACGTGAGTATTATCTAATATTTTTAGACAGTACCTCAAAGCAATATACTTAGAAAAATAGCTAAATTTACTTCAGGGATCAATAAAGCAAAAAATACTTTTGTATTAGACTTCATTGTATTATCTAATACTTTTTAGGCAATACCTCAAATCAATATACTTAGAAAAATAGCTAAATTTGCTTCAGGGATGAATAAAGTACAAGATACTTTTGTATGAGACTTCACTGTTTTAAGTTATCAAATATAAGTTTATTTTTTAAATGTTTATATCTCAGACTTTTAATAAAACTAATATATTTTGTGTGTGTCATTTAAAATATATTTTAAAGTTATTTTAGTGATATTTCATTATAGCTTAATATATTTTATTTGGAAAATGATTGTAAAAATAATTAGACTAAGTTCTCTGTCTAGATAATAGCCTAATTTTCTATTTTCTTATGCAATTTAAAAGTCCTTTATTTTCTTTTTCATTTATTTATATTCATCAGAACATGTATTGAATGCTTGCTGTATGCATAGGGTTCTTTTAGAATCCACATAAGTGGTTTTAAATTTTGGTTCATGTAAATATGATAATGCATTTTAACTCTTCTGTTGAGGGGATGGTAATAGCAAAATATACCATTTCTGGAATATTGATATGATATGCTATATCAAGATAAATTGTCAAATTTTTGCCTTCTCAAAAAGTATTTTCAATGTTGTTATGTCTTTCGAAAGCTTATCCTACTAAAGAAATTTTTGAGTATAAATAAAATATTAAAACAGAAGCAAATTTCAGCATGCATTTAAAATTGGCCATGATACATGTCTTCCTAAGCATTCCATTTAGAAGAAATATAATTAAAAGAAAATGTAAACTGCTATATGTCCCCATGACAATCAGCAAGTTTTAATGTTACTTGTAAAAATATGAAAAGAGAATTTTTAAAATAACAGTTTAACACAATTACGACTTTACTGGTGACTCGAGATGTCCAAACTATATATAATATTCTGGTATAAATGACAGTATTTTATCTAGGGAATATTAAATGATTCATTTTTATGATTTTGACATTGTGAGAGTATGAATTCCATCTTTGTAAACCAAAAGCTCCAATTGCCATTGTTGCCCTATTAGATGATGACCTCAGAAAAAAAATACAGTATTTTAGGCATTATGCTACTACAGTTGAGTCTGAGTATTACATTTGGGGGAAGGTGCTCTGAGTATAAACACTGACATCTGAAAATAAGAATCCTTGAGCATAATTGATTGAAATGGTGTAAAATTTTCTCTTTTATCCTGAAGGCTTTTTTAAAAGTGTGCAGATTTCTTGGATTTTATTTCTGTAACTCATAATGTCTTAAAATTGTCATAATGTCTTATGAGTTACAGAAACAAAATTAATCATTCACTGGAGTATCTCTTATTAGGATTATTTTCACAGCAGGGACTTATACAGAAGACCCCTACTTTATTACTCTGACTCTTTGGCTGACTCTCAGAATCATTGGCAGAGTCAACGTCAAGCAGCAGATTGTGTGCCTTTACCATACACAGTAGCATCCCAAACCATACTTTAAATTTGAGGTTACCCTTACATGTGTGCATGCATGCTCATATATCTATATAAAATACGTAGACAGCAAGAGAGTAAGCACCTAAAATCTTTTGAAATAAAGTGTTACTATTTGCTAATACTAATGTCAAGGGCAGCAAGGGAGAATTATGCAGCATAAGTACTTGGGGAGACAAGGTAGAGCACTTCACAGGTCTTCTTTTCTTGTGTACTGAAGATTCATTTTTCCTCAAAAATTTTGCTCCGATTCCTGGCTTACTAAAAATGCTTTAATCAATTAGCAAACTTAGCAGAGTCTTTTTGGGGTTAGCAGAAAGTAGGGTACCAGATTATCTTTTCAGTTATTGCATGTCTAATGTAAGTAAGTCTTAATGCACTGAACATGTAAATAATTGTAAGACTTTATTTACATGTTAGCTTAACATTAGCATATACTAAGAATTTTTTTCTGTCATTTTGAAAATTTTGCCTCTTAGGCAAAATTAGGATAAAAACAAATGTTTTATTTGTGACACTCAATATTTGTGACACTCAATATTTTTACAAATTGCTGTACATTTTTCCACTTTTTTTTGAGGCAGAGAAGGCAGTAGTTATTATCCCCATTATACAGATGTGGAAATTCAGACCTCGAGTATTTTAAGGGATTTGCCCAAGATGTCATAAATAGTAAATGGCCAAGATGAAAGTTTAAACCAAATTTTCTGAATTCAAATTTAGTTCATACTCTTTCAACCATCTCATAGCCTCTCCTTTTTATGCTGGCAATTAAAAAAAAATCACTGATGGTTTATTTGTCAAAAATATGAAGGAGAAACAGAAATGCAAAATGTATGTCAAAAGCCAAGTGGAATACTTCATTTTAGTTATGATTTTGTAATCTATGTTTTTGATTTTAGTGACAAACATATATCTGTCTTTTAAGAGAGCAAATATGAAATGTAAAACAGAAAAGACTTGCCATGTCAGCTCATTGCTACGTTGGTTGATTATCTTTATAGTAAATATTCTAGTATTGCCTTTTTACTAGTTTATTTTAATGTAAATAATATCAAAATGAAACAGTGTTATCAAAGGCCTTTTTAATCCAGGTGACTGAAGTAGCATTAAGGCATAGCATTTGACAAAATTAAAATATTTTTTTAAAGTGCTGTTCTGAAGTAAATCAAGAAAATAGTATTAACATATATGATATGGATTCTTAGGTTATTTGCAAAGAATGTTACTTGCATTTATCAGAAGATAACCAATAATTCTATTGAAATCTAGAAGGAAGCAATTGAATTTGTTTAAACAGAATAACTTAAAGAAGTAATGGTATGGATTTTTAGGTACTACTAGGCGAAGAGATTGAGGTTTAAATAATGTTAACATAATAACTGAGTTAGAAGGAATAGAAGAGAACCCCTTGTATGCAAACAGAGACAATCACCAAGTCTAGAGCCCAGGTGTTATTGGTATCTCATATTTGTTTAATGACTCTTATTTTAACAGTACAGCTAACTAGATTAGGCTTATTTTAAAATTACAGTTTTTATCGTTATAAACCCTGAAGAGATTTTAAGCAATGCTTAGATTTTTTTCCGAAAAAGTTACTTTATTCTTATATTAACGTTATCACCTCACCCTCTTCCAATTAATAGTTACAGAAAATGTCTTTGCATATAGGAAATATTATAGACATTGCCAATTTGTCTCTGTAAACCACACTGCCGTACTAGAATTAATAGAGACTGGGAATCATAACAATTTATTTGTTTAACTACTTGTCATTTTTCATGGCTGTCTTCTAATTCCTATCTAAGTTTTCTACATCTATTTTAAATGATGGAGCCATTGTGTAATACATACACACACACAAAGTTGGGGAATAAAGAAACTGTCTACTGTATTCACCATATCTTCTTACTCCTAAATAAATGTGTACTTGATTTAAGCTGTTTAAGCAATATTTGTCTTCCCATAGACTTGGGACAGAGACAATTCGTAGGACAGAGCTTGGGTAAAGATTTCAGAGCAAAAGTGCAAAATGGCATGAAATTAAATGTAGAGCAAGAATTGAGGAGACAAATACTGTTTTGTTCCTCTGTAGTCTTTATTATCTTACCTGGTATATTTGCTTTTTTAGGCCTATGCTTCTAATTTGTGCCTCACTCATTTGAGACATTGACTCCTTAATAGAAAAATTTTGTCAAGGGTGTAATAATTTACCTGCATAAATGAGATTTTCCTCTTAATATCCAGAGATTAGACATATTTTTAAGAGTTCAGAATCTCTTATAAGAGTTCAAAATCTCCTAATATAAAAGGTGTTATATTTTGCAACTTCAGGTCTCCCATTTCTAAATGGGATTGAGGTAAAAGGTAAATTTAGATTAGAATAGATTTATTTGTGGCCAATTAAATCTTTTTGTAAATGTCTGCAATGTGCAATGCATTTGTAAATGTCCACACTATACATGATTTATGATCCATGTATTTTAAGGAGGTAAGAGTAAAATGTAAGATCATCATTTATACACAAAGAGATAGGATTTTAAATTTAAGCAATCTCATTTAATTGTTAAAATTTCATAAATTTGAGGCTGTTTCTTAACTCTAGCTATGTTTTCCATAGGCCTTAAAGGAAACAACTCTAAGATGTTACACAGAACTCTGAAATATTCCGTAATAAAGAGCATCACATGAGAAAGATATAACTTTTAACTTTTTTCTAGGAGAGGCTTATTTCTAATCTAATCTAGTCTACTTAAAAGATATCAGGTATAGTCAGCTGTTAATTGAAAGCTAGAATTTGTTGCCTATCAGGCAACAATTTTGGAGCATAGTTATTACTTGCATAGTGCATTATGCGAAGGAATAAACAATTCAACTTACCATTAGCCCTGACGTGAATGAATGTGATGCTTAGCAACTGCTATTCCCTTTAGTCTATACAGTAGTACAGTAGTCTGACTGTCACCTATGTTTTTTCTTTCCTTCCTTTCAAATACTTCTCTGCCATGAGTTAGAATTTCTTTTTAAATCTGTTTCTGCCTGTACCTCCCGAAACTTCTGATAATTCGTTTTAGAAACACTCATTACAAAGCCAGCCAGGTGAAAACACAGGCTAAGACTAAGGGTGAATTATGCTTGAGAAAGGAAACTGTTAAATATTCTTCACTATTTTTTATTCTCACTTTTTGAAATCAGTGAACTAATCATATCAAATGTTTACTGATTTACCAACTCATGTGAAGTCATTGCTTTTAAAAATCTGCTTTGTGGCTAGGACTATCTGCTATGTGGCTAGGACTATCTGCTATGTGGCTAGGACTATACACACACACACACACACACACACACACACACACAGATATATAGAATTTTCAATTTAACAGTTGATGGTTGATTTGTTCACTTGTATGTTATGCTCCTTTGAATCATTATACTGTATACCATAATTAGTTCTCATTCATTCTGTATAGCTTTTGGTAGAAAACCAACAACTGAAATGTTATTGACCACCATATTTACTGAAAAATACATGGCAGAGAAACTAGCTAATTTTAGCAGGTCCAGTTTGTGAGAGTATGTATAATTTGGTTTTCTGTCCTGCATGAGTTTTGTGTTTTTACATGTATATGACTTTAGCTCTTATAAACTGTTAAATCATTTTAAATACTTAAGAATTATTTTACTTTGTTGTTGTTATTGCTGATGTCTGAAAATATTAAAAGAGAGTTTTGGGTAATATTAGCAGTTTTAGTAGAAAAGCTTTTTTTATCCAGTAATCATATAACAATAACTCACCCCCAATTGTATATAGTCAAAATACAGGAGATCCAAGTAAAATATCCCAATCCTTTGTGCACTAGTTCACAAAATAGGAAATTACTCAAATGTCCAAATACGTTTGCTGGTGTATAAAGAAACATTTAAGCATGTGGGAACACCTCTCTATGTCAAAATTGCCAGGAGGTGCTTTGGACATAACGCTGACCATGTTACAATTTATAAAATGCTCTTTAGCCCAACTTGAATTCTCAACATGTACTAAAAAGAGAATTCACCCCTACTAAATGGCCTATAGTAATAATAGGGACAGGTGTACAACAAAAGCTCTTGCTTGGCCAGCACTTGTGTGGGAGCAGCCCTTTAACTGTCCTTTTGAAGACCCCATGTTTGAGATTGAATATGGTGGAGTGACATCTGCAAGATTGGGCAGGTGGTGAAACTGATATTTCTAGTTGCATGACAAATAATGGCTCTTCTTAATAGCTTGGGTGGACACCAGATTGAGGTGTCTTTGTGGAAATGAAGAAAAGAGTAGCTAATCATACATTTGGAGAGAATTTTATGAGCCACATCTAAAAGAAAAATTATCTTTTCACGAAATGACATCTGATACTCTTAACTAATCTGCTACTCTCCCGATGCTGCTTTCTTCACCCAACTTTCTCTCAACAGACTTTGCAGAATATATTTAGATTTCAAACTCCTAGCCTTCTATTCTTTTTATGGCCTATGTAGGCTGTCAACAAACCTCTTGTACACAAATTCTGCTCTAATTTGATATGGGAAAGCATGTAACCATGGAAACGTTCTTTGTACCCTATCTCAAGCCCTGGCTGCTTTATTTACCCTTTATAGAGTAGAACAAATAATCTACATACTTACTATTCACTTTTTTACTGATTCCCAGCTAGATAGCAAATATATGTCTAAAATATTTCTTTACAAAGGTAACATTTTTAAGCAGACACCTGTTACTAGTGTGACTTTATTTGGATTAAAAACTGAGTAACATTTAGGGTAGCCTTCCTATTTTACTGTAGTAATTATGCATATGGTTTATAGGAATGATTTTGATGGTGATTTATTTATAATTTTCCTTTATTTGTATAAAATAGAAATACGTTAAAAACCAACAAAGTAACATTTTATTGAACCCCTAATACATATTATTATAGTATGATAATATATACATGACTCTTATATATCTTATCTACTACCTACTACACTTGAAGTTCTGCAGATTGCCATTTTTCCTTTCCATCAAATAATTCTAGATAAGCTGCTTTTCTAGATATGTTCTAGGTTCACATATATTAGGAGTTAAAACACTTAACTAGTTTTGTTAATTTTACCTGTTTTTTGTTATCCTGAGTATCATTTAACTTCCAGGAACTGTCATCTTTCATATGTTCATCCCAATCTTGTTAACCGTCAAAAGTCCTGCTCGTTGGGAACTATTAGGCATGTATACCTATTTATAGAAATGTAAAATGTGCCTAAGGTTGTAAGCTATTCCCTTGTACATTGATCATGTTAGAATTAAAGAGAACCTACTCATCTTCCAACTACCAGTCCAGTGACTGTCTCCTATATTCTTTATATTATACATATTCATGCTTGAGCAAGTAACAAAAGAACTAGACAGTCTAGTCATAGACTAGACTTTGAACTTCTGGAGGATTATTGCAATTGAAAACTTTATAAACATCTTTCAAAGTTTTTGAGGTAGTATTGAATTTTTTGTAAGTGAATATTTATGAATATAATATAGGCCCTTATGGTATAATTGGCATAACAACTGGACAAATAATGACTATTAGTGGAGTTTATTAGCTTGAAGAAAATTAGGTCATACACTGATTTTCATGAGCTACGCTTCTGTTCAGCCATATGCTGATTTTGCTGTCTACCTGTGCACTCCTTCCTTCTATGTATGCATTCTCAGGTTTCCCTGAAGAAGATGGATGTTTTCCCTTATTTCCTCCTCTACTTTGTAGATTCAATCTTGCCATTATCTCAGGTTTCCAAAATCTCACCTTTTCTTTTTGACTGCACATTATTTTAAAAAATTTTGTTCATGCTTATTACAAACTCAGAACTTAAAAGGGAATAATTATTGTCTGTTTTCAAATGTGGTTGCGGATTTCTAAAAGGTTGGCTAGCAGTTATTATGCCTTTACCTCTCAATGAGCACAGCCCAGTTCTCTTATATTAGGTTAGAGGAAGAATGGAGAAGGAACCAGACCTACTAAAGCTATAAGGTGAGGAGAGAAGTTAAACCAGACAGAATGCCAGAAAGTTTGGAATATGACATAAACCTAAGAGTAGTTCTCAGACCAGTGGGTGCTGTCGGTTTCGGTTTATGTGACTAATCCTACCATTACCATTGTGAGATTTCTTCCTAAAGTAAGGCAACTAATCCTAGAATTTCACAATTAAAACCAACTGTTAAATACTTTAATTTAATTTTATATACTATTGCTCAATTTTGCTTCTTGAGTTTTACTGGTTTATTTTAGTTTTATGGCTGATAAACTTATGTGAATATTGTTTGTCTGTACTTCTCCACTGAAAAAAATGCTTAAAGTTATTGTACTCTAAAACCACTAGATACTGTACCATTTATTTATCTTATAGTAGAATCACATATTACCTTTTTTTTTTTTTTTTTTTGAGACAGCGTCTCACTCTGTCGCCCAGGCTGGAGTGCAGTGGCATGATCTTGACTCACTGCAACCTCTGCCTCATGGGTTCAAGCGATTCTCTTTAAGCCTCAGCCTCCTGAGTAGCTGGGACCACAGGTGCGCACCACCAAGCCTGGCTAATTTTTGTATTTTTCGTAGAGACGGGGTTTCACCGTGTTGGTCAGGCTGGTCTCGAACTCCTGACCTTGTGATCCACCCACCTCAGCCTCCCAAAGTGCTGGGATTACAGGCGTGAGCCACCCCTCCCAGCCCATGTATCACATTCTTATCTTTAAGTGTGGAATTTACTTTGTTTACTTTTTATTTTTACCTTAATACTTTATTAGATATTATCTGAGCAAAGAGCCTTCCTCAAATTAAAAAAGACCCAAAATAGTATTTTTTGTTTTTCAAAATAATACTCTTTGAAAAAGTATTTATGTTACTTTCAAGCCTAATGCCATGTTCTACACATAGTAGCAATTCAGAAACTACTTGATTAATTGATTTATGGATTCCTGAAAGAGTTGTCCATATTAGTTTGATTTTTTTAATCACTAAGTATATGTCATCAGCTACCTAGCATTCATTGAAGTAATCACATTATGCCTTTGTCAATATTTCTATTATCACTTGAATGGTTTCTTTCTGTTAGAGCCAATTAGTGTATCTAAACAACATTTATTGAATATAGAAAAATGTTTGTGCTAATATTTACTTTTTTCCCAAACTAGTTTTGTTGTTTTCAAGTACTCCATAGGCACCAAAAAGTACAAGTAAAGAATTATATGCATGTCATTAAAACTATTACTACTGGCATAATCTACTATGTGACATTTAACCGGCTTCTTCTGTTTAACCTAGTAATAATCATGTGATTAAACTATCCTAATCACCCATCAATAGGGACATAGTTTAATCCATGTGCTTACAGTCTAACTGTTAAAGAACATTGTCCTAATCTCTTAAGTAACTTTATAGATATTTCTAAAGTTGATCGGGAGACTCCTGTTCCCCTCTTATGTCCTTCACTTTTTGCCACTGTTTTCAAATGCAAACTAAAAGCAAAAAATCTTGTTCTGCCTATAATAGCCACTTTTAAATTCAACTCAGGAAAATGACTACATAATCAAAATTTTTTTTAAGCCTAAACCCTTGCTGCTTTTTTCTTCCATTAATATATAGGGAAACTTGATCACCAGAACGAAAAAGAACTTTTACAGACAAGGGTTTCCTATTTTAGTGATCTTATTTTAGGATCTTCTTAGAAGACCACCTGAAACACATCATGCATACTGCTCTAAGCTGTCATTTTAGCAATGTGACAGAGTTTGTAGGTAGATGAGCTGCTCTTTAGCTAATGGATACCAAATGTTTCTAATTTCACCTTTTAAAATATATCTGACCCCTAGGGGTGACATATGGTCATTACAGAGTTAATGCCAGAAGTGCCATCTATATATATGTGCTATGGAATCATGATTTTTGTCACTTGAGAATTCAAAAGCAGCAGCAAATCATTATAATTAAAATTAGGAACTATTTACCATAAGCTAAAACTAATAAACATTATGTAGCATGTTATATTGGTCAATGGTGTGAGCTCTAGAGTCCAACTAGACTCTGATCCCATTTCTACCATTTATTTACTGTGTTAACAGCTGTAAGATAAGGATATGAACAATATCTGTCTGCAGGGTTTTAGGAATGATTAAGTGAGATGATACATGTGAAGTGCTTTATGTACATGTCACATGGTAAGCAATCAGTAAGTGCTAGCTATTGTTATTATTTACAAATTTTTATTCTTGAGCCATGTATTAAACTTTCTAACGGCTGTGCAGATTATATAATTTCTCACTGGCTTTCAGACCTGCCTTAAGCCAATCATATCATTTTTTGTGTATGTATGTTGTTAAAATTACTTGAGAATAGTTCCCATATTGACTCAGAAGAAAGGTGACCAAATGAATATCTTTTACTTAGCAATTTGGTTGATTTCGAGCTTTCTTACTGTACATAACATGGACAATTGGTCGTTTTCACTCTGTATGTCACTAAAGAGGTTTATCACTGCTAAGAGCTGCCACTACCCAAAATTAAGTTAAGCCTCAGAAAAGTGAGAAGGAAGGTTGAGAATGAAAGAGAATAGGGGTAAGAGTACATCAAACAAAAGAAGATACAGAAAGAAAGGTGCATGTGAGGAGCAGGAGAGTACCATATGTGTATGTCACTTGTGCTATGGGTAATGGAAACAGTCATGCTTAAGGTTTGGCTCTGAGAATTGTTAAATAATTTACACAGACAAAACAAAACAAAACAAAACAAAAAGATAGTAAGGAAAATCCAGGAAGATCATGCATAAAAGACAATGATGAAGAAAATAAAAGTATCTAAAAGAACATACTTCAGTTGAAAGAATATACTCAGATTATAAGAAATCGTATGTCTCATTTTGGACATACTAGTATTCATCTTATGATGAGAATCCTTAAAATTGTCAGGGGTAGGAGATGGGTGTTCATCTTTGGAGGACATAGATTCCAAAGCAGTATTTCAGATCACGGAAGCTTCCTAATTGCTAGAATGACCTGGGAGTTGCAAATTAACTTTTATCTGGGAACATGGTACAGCAATGGATTAAGAAATGGGGAAGAGATGGTTTCTTACAATCTGAAGTTACAACGATGGAGATTCTAAACATCTCTGGTACCCTCTGAGACCTTCCTAAGCCAATCATATGCCTTATACATTTTGTATTGTCCTTTTTTTTTTGACCCTATAATTAAGATGTTCGAATTCCTAGGGTTAGTAAGCAAGTCTGAAAAGTGATAGTATACACAGAAAAGCAAGTAGTCTCTCCCCCAAATATTTTTAGCATGAGGATTTGGTAGTACCTCAATAAAGGATCTCTACAGAATTACTATTCCTTTGAATAAAATTGAAGCCAATATTGTATTATAATATATAATTAATCTTATTTTCCTCTATGCCAGTTTGCCATCCTTACAATGGATTTTCAAAACTACTTTTTAAGCTTAAAACTGTGTACAATTAAAGTACTTTAGCAAATGACCACAGTCTCTTTTGTCCTTTTTGCTAATTTATTGGGAGCATCAATTATTCTTTTTAACAGGGAAAGAGGTAGAAGTAAGAAACTCAAAAGTACAATTATATTTTCTCCTACAAACTTTCCAAAAATTTTTATGTTTTTAGTCCTCTTTGCTTATATAAGAGGACTTTATAAATTATACCATGTTGAGATCCCACCCCTTATCTATAAATAGCTTAAGGAAACACATTTTAATGCAAAGTAACTTTGATTAATAAATAAGTCTTTATGTTGTAGCTTCTACTTTGGAGTAAGCTCTGGGTCACAAAAAGCATGGCAGGAGTAGTTTAATGAAAATTATAACTTTTTGTTTGTTTTGATCCGGGATATTTTGGACACTCCTGCCTAGTGATATTTGGGAGGAAATCAAGTGATTTCATTTGAGTTATATGGCTTGCTTTTATACACTAAATTATCCTACTGTTTATATGCCAACCTATACTTTCCCTTTATGTATTAGGAACTTGATGTAAGATGGAAAAAGCTTTAAAGTATGCAAGCGCTGATAGACTGAAAATCTGATGCTCTAATCACTTCTTGGAATTTTATTTAATTAATATTGTGCGGAATATGGAAGTTTATACTTTCTAAGGAAAATGTTAATGTATTTTTTAATCATTTATTGTATTGTTCAATTTAAGAGGGAAAAAATGAGCATATGTCGCAGTAGTTGCAAAAACTTGCAAACAGTATTAACCCTTGGGCTCACGTGTCATTTTGTATTGGGAACCATAAAATAGTTGGGATTTTACTTTTGAAGAAAATGTTAAAATGTAAACTCATTTTAGTCATTGAAATGCTAGTTAATTCCATTTTCCTTCCTTTTAACATGAATTACCTTTTTTGAAATTATTAGTATTCCTATTAGACTTAGCATTCATCTAACATGTTTCAGGTTGTCTTTTGTCCACAATGCTTAGTACCAGAAGTGTTTTGGTTTTTGGATTTTTTCAGATTTTGCAGTATTTGCATATACATAATGAGTTTTCTTGGGGATGGGACCCAAGTCTAAACACAAAATTCATTTACATTTCACATACACCTTATACACATGGCCTGAAAGTAACTTTATACAGTGTTTTTAGTAATTTTGTACATGAAATAAAGTTTGGACCCATCACATGAAGTCAGGTGTGGAAATCTGCACTTGGGGAATTGTGCAGTCCACAAAAGTCTGTCATGTCAGTACTCAAAAAGTTTAGGATTTTGGAGCATTACGGATTTCAGATTTTTGGATTAGGGATGCTCAATCTGTAGTATCTCTTTTGCTTCCAACTTGATAGTTATGACAATGGATTTTTTATTTGAAGGTGAGTACAACTATTTTTAGGGCAGCCATAATTATGTCTTTTCTAGTCACCTATTTAAATAAATTTCTTAGACATAGATTTCTTATTGAATAGTATTGATATATTATGGCTTATTCTTGAAGTATTTTAAACACTTTTTCTTTATGAAAATATTGAGAAAAGTTTTGATGAATTCTATTTTGTGTTTGCTAATTATATTTTGTAACCACTTATAAGTGTTTTTTCTACTTGATATAAATATTTAAAACTCTACTATTTGTTATTTTATTTTGTTAATTTTAAAATAAAAACTATGTCCTATTAAAATTAAGGGTGGTTTATGTATTTTAAATTTTATGATTATATATTGTTAATAGAATGATTTAAATATTTGCATCAAATTTAATGGAAACTAGTTCTTTCTCCATATTTCATAGAGAGAGAAATGTAATTGCCTACACTTTAGAGATTTATCATATTACTTTGTTCAATGATTTCTGTGACCACTAATTAGATATTTTAATGAATGATATATGTTCCTGATTTGAGTTTTGCATAAAAGCACATTATGATGTGATATAAAAATTTAACTTAAAAAGTCACTTAGTTTATGGATTTTGTGCTATCATGTCTTTGTATTTCCATTAAAGTATACAAAGTATGAATTCTAATGTAAATATTAAAACAAATGTTATGCCTTTGGAGTCGGAGTACTTGTGGCAATAAATCTAATTGAAAATATATACAAATTAAAATATCTAAGTAGTTAACAGGTAAAGTGAAAGATTTACAGTAATTGATAGAGCAAATCACATTTCTATAATTCAATGTTCAAGTTCTTTTCAAATGCTTACTGCTTTTCCTTATTTTACCCTTCTATTGATATCCACTTGGAAGACTCGGAAAGCAGAAAACATCTCTTACATATCCATGATCAAAAATGAACGCCTGATGGCCTGAAGGTTGAAATAATTATCTCTGGTGGCCGTGCAGATCTCAATGTTGAAGCTAAGAACCACAGGGCAGCTGAATTAAAGCATGAAAACTGGCATGAGCACAGACAACTGCTTGAGGCTCTTTATTACTGTTTGATACAGCAGCCCTTTGTTGAGAATCTTGTTTTTTTGGTTGGAAAGCAACTGTGTGTGTCTAATCTCGCATTTGCCTTTATTATCAATTCCCTTCCTGTGATATTTACAAAACTAAGCAACATCACATGTATTTATCCCGATTTCTGAATTAGTGTTTCTGAAGCTTTCTGCTAATCTGCAGATAGGTGGCACCGTTCATACAGATTGGAAAAGCAGTGCTTTCCCTGTTCACACTATTCCATGCTGTAAATTAACCTGTCACTTTATTATTTGACAAGATCTTCATTTTTATTCATCAGGACTTGGGCCAGGATGGGTGCATTTACGGCCATTTGCTTTGCACGGCTCTCAGCTGAGTTTGTAGGTATTGTAAGTGAGATCCATTATCCCTGTTACAAGTGCACACAATGCAGATGCTGATCTGCGATGATGATGAGAAACCAAAGTCAGTAAAGACCACATAAGCCACCCTTGATGAAAAGATAAATGAATGCATAAATAACATTGTGCTCTGCTCTGTTTGCTGAGATCAAGGATAGATTTTGAAGGTTTTGAGAGATCAGACGTACAGAACCTGGAGAAATTCATCCTCCTTCACTTTGCATTCAGCAGGCATTTCACTGTGTACAGAGAAGCTGAGAGACATTTTAATACATTACTGGAAGCTCAGAAATGTTTGGGCAATTCTCTCTTTTTTTTTTAATATTAAAAAAACACAAAGAAATGGCAGAGGCATTGGGGTTAATAAGAATTAAACATGGTGCTAAGAAAGCCCTGCTTGCTTTAGACAGTTCCTAACTTAGTTCTTTATGTAAATACACTCACATCTATTGTGTTCTAATTATAAATGTAATTATAGAGATAAATTAGTAAATTATGTTTGTAATTGTATTCATAAAGATTAATGACATTTAAACAGACATATGCATGACAACGTAAGATATGTATTTAAAGGATGTACTTCAACTTTACACAACAGATGTATTTTAAAATAGTCTATAAAAATAATTTAGCTAATTGAGTACATTTTTTAAAAATTGGCAGCACAGCAGCATGGATGTGAATCTGCACAGAGTGTATACTATTAAGTGTTTGTCTATACATTGCCCTGCAACACATATTTTGAAAAAAGTTTAGCTGCTGAGTGCCTATTAGAAGTAAGAGTCTTGGAGAATAGCTCTGATGGTAATGTCTGTAAGTTTTACAGGGATAATGTGCTACACTGTGATTAAAAGAGGACAGTTGACTGAAAATGGCCCAAACTATATGATACAATTTTTGTGATTTTCTGGTTTAGAAGATTTTCTCCTTCTTGTGTAAAAAAATAATTTTATACAGCCACCTTTGGCTAAATGGCATCTCGTTATTGAAATATGTTATATAAAGAAAATAGGACCAGACAATGGATATGACATAATGTTATATTTCTTTAATAAGTATTCATTACATACTTTGTTTTAGTCCTAGTGCCTACCTAATTATTATAATCACTTACTACATTGTTTAAAAGAGCATTTTGAATAACTGAATGATAGTTCTGTAGTGGCAAATAGCATGTGAAATTCATTCTACTTTTTTATTTTGTTCTATATGTGTGGTAGATAATAACATGGCATTCATTTAACCATTACTGGACACCCGTTGACTAGTCGTATTTTCTGTCAAAAGACTGTTTGCAGTTAATGTTAGCAAACCCACCACAGTCTGCCAGTGTAAGCAGATTATCAGTAATTGTATGTGTGTATGCATTTTGGGGGAGGGTAGGGGGCAACATTTTCTTCAGGTCTGAATAAGATATAGATTCCTGCTGGCTGTTTTGTATTTCATCATAAAGCCTGTGAGGAGGCCGCTCCCCATTGAGTGGCTGTGGCCCATGAAGTTGCTGGCGTGCTGTGCAGTGTTTTGATCTCGGCAGTGGCAGTTATGTTCCTGATAAATTTGTAACCCCCAGGAACACCTGCAAATCAGGCTGGATTTAAATTAAAATTAGGTTTTATGGCATTTTTTAATCAGACAGAAGGTGGTGATAAAAAGAACCATGTATTTTCATGGAAGAAAGGTAGTAATATTTCAATTTAATCGGAACTGTTGCACCAATAATGGAATCCAGATTGATCTGGGCTTGAAATGATGCAAAGATTAAAACCATATTTTTTAAAGGTGTAAATTTTTTGAGACTTAAAACAATGAATATGATTTTAGATCATCCAGGGTTTTTAGACAGAGGAAGTATGCTAAGTAATCTGCTAAGGACTCTTAAGAGCCAAATTTCTATCAGTTTCTCAAGAGACATTTTGTGGGACTAAGTCTTTAATTCATAAAGTTAATTCAGTAAATTTTGCAACAGTTGTATATTGCTGAGCAGTGAAACAAACCCAAAGAGATTTTGCAAGTGTTGAGAGGGAAAGGGATGAGGTAACAATCTATTTCAAATAGGAAATTCAAGTCACTCAACTAAGTATGGTTGAATATCACATATTTTAAATAGACTAGCTGACACAGTGGTGTGTGGTTTTCCCCCCCCCAGAGGTAGTATAGAACTTCTAATTGGCATGTTAAGAACAGATATAGTAAAAATTAGTTGAAACTACTTTTAAGGAGTCATAGTTTATGCTAAGAAGAATCTTATAAAAAGAAATTGTATTAAAGTGTTGTTTGCAAGTGAATTAAAAGTGAAATTGTAGTTTTACTTTTGTGTGAAAAGTATTCTTTTTGTATTCTCTTTTGTATGCATCCATAGAGTGAACTCTGCATCTCATATAGGGCTTCTATTTAATAGTGCTTGCCAAGTCTTTATCACTATAGATCTAAAGCAGTTCGGAGCATTGTTTGATTTGAAGCAGTTCCCTGTGTATAATTGCACTTTGAGTCTTTGCCTCTCTTTGGCTGAAAACCTAGCTTATTGCAGCTAAGAGAATCTCACACAAAAAATGCAAGTTGTCCTTGTGCATAAAAGCAGATTCTGCACTTCAACACCTTTTCAAATTAATATTTGTGATGGGTCTATTCTCTGCCTCTGAGTTTCTGTTCTCTTGCTTTGTTCCTGTGTTTGATGTAATGTAAGCAAGGACAAAAAGGAGAGCTGGGAGAGTGTGTGAAAATGGTAGTTAAGTGGGCTTAAGGGGTGCTTCAGCACTTTCTGAAAGGATTCATGAGTGAATAGGCCTTCAGAGTGCTTAGCTGTAGTGCTGTAAATAGACAGGTCCAGCACAAAGCTGCAGATGAAATGAGCACATGCATATCACCCCTTGTGACATCTGGCCAACCCTGGAATATAATTTCACTTCTTCAGCCTCAACCAAACATTTCCCGAATGCTCTGGCGGTTAAAATCTTTTGTTTGGTTAATTGCAATGAGTATAATATACAAGTCTCTTGGAGGTCTGCTGTGGACGATTGGACAATTGAAAGATTTAATGAGATACTGCCAGTTACTCATAATAAGGTTTCTTTTCTGCTTGGTAGTTTCTGAGGTTTTGTGATAACATAAAACTCCTTAATGTTCCAGCAAAAAGACAAAATGAGAATTGGAGTATACATTTGTCTGGTGATATCTTTTTGCTTATTTCAATCAAGAAAAGTGTTGTAGTTTTTTTGATGATGTTGCTGCTGTTATGAGTTGTATATTATTGTTGAGGTTCTAGTTTTTTAAATTTTGGAGCCTGGAAGATGGTCTTTATGATTATGTGAATGAAAATTTGGAATTCTTCTTAAAACACCACTGTGCACATAATTGAAATAATATATTTTTACAAGGGACAGTATGCTTTGTGAAGTATTATTGAGGGAGGAGGGGGCAATTATAAGTGCCAATTTTGAAGTTCCCCAGGTAAGAGAATTCAAAATGACGTCCATGTATAGATTACTTGTAGATTTTCTTAGAATGGGCTCATACAGGAATGAAGGCTAAACAAAGACAGCAAGATATGTGAAGTTAAACAGTGGGCAAAAAGGACTATGTGCTTCCTTTTCACGGTAAATCTTATAAGTATTCAACCAAACTCTACTCCATAAAGTCGTCTGAAGAAAAACTCACTCTCTCCTAATCCCAGTCTTAAAACAAAAGACAAGGTCCATTATTACTTCAACAGCATAGAGAAAAGGAAATGAGAAGGGGACAAGGGTTGCTACAGTTTGACATGGGGCAATTAATCTTCCAGTAAGCGTTGTCAGGCAGAAATGAACACAAATGGATCACTCACATTAACCAGAGGAGTGTAGGTAGGGATTTTAACAAGCATTTACGAGAGTCCATTTTCTCACTAATGAAGAGGGGAATAAACGAACCAGTGTAAGCTAGCATTATGTACTTAAAGTTGTGTCCTTTTGGCTAAAGACGCCTCTTCACATTCTTGACATTTCTAGTAGAGCCTGTATGATCTAAGCCAGGGCTGGAAGGGTTGAAATTCTAAGGTTGGCTTAGAACTATGCATGGCTTACTTCAGAGCCCTGTGTCACTGTGTTCATTAGTTTAAAATCCCCATTAACCCTTCCCTTCCACATAACAACTATCTTCAATATTATTTCACATCAGAACTGAGATGGGCATACAGCTTTTTTTCTACTTTAAACATTTCTAAAAAGGAAATTTAAAATAGAATTTTAAAATTAGGATTACCTAATCATTGTGTGTTTTTAAAAGACCACATGTCAAAATTGTCTATTCATTAATTTTTGCCCATGATAGATTATTAATGAAAAGAACATTATTAAGTGCACATGAAAGTAATTCTGTTGCTGCTGGCTGATACTAGATGAACATATTTTTATAATTTACGTGGTAAATAATGTATTTGATGTTTAAATTGCTTAAGAGATAGAAAAACATGATCATTAGGAAGCTAGTTTCCTGGCTAAATAGCACAGATTTAATAATTATCCCATTTGTTTTTAAACTAAAAATATTTCTATATCTAAAAACAACTGATAGTTGGGGAGATTTTTTTCCTGCACTTTACTTTCAGCACCATCATGATACTGTAAAGCAGAGGCATGAAACATTTTGAACTTCAAATATGATAGATAGTACTTTGTTTATATAATTTTATCACTCTTGTCATTCAAGAAGATTCTATGAAAGATTTGAACTCATAGTGTGACATACAATTTTAAGAAGTGTAAGACAATTATCTTATTATTGGTTTGCAGGACTATGACTTGTTGACTGTCTCATACTATAACTTATTTGCTATTACTGTATCTTGTCTCTTTGAAAGAAAAGTAAGTTCATATTAAAGTTGGCAAATGGATATTTTAACAAAGTTTTTACCACCATATTTCAGGTTTTTATGACTTTTTTCCTGAATATGCATATTATAATGTAAAAACCTTAAGCCATTTTGAATTTTTATATGTTTCATGTATACCAAAGGGTCACAGATGGTGGAAAGATTTGTTACCATGAGGTAGTGTAGCATTTTGTGATTATAAAATTAATCTGTCTCTAAATCTGTTTAAAGAGTTTTTGCCATCTAATGAGCAATATAAATTATTAATATTTTCATGTTCTTGGGGACATTCACAGCCATAATTTTACCAACACAGCTGTTTGACCCAGTGACATCATGTTTTGCATATTTTTGCATTTTAATGAGCTAGTCATTTAAAAGGTTACAAAGAAACCATAACTCATAAGTAATTAAATTATTTAGCAGAAGAAGTATGAGAAGATCTTCTGACATAGGTCATTGTGGGAAGAGAAATTCATAGCTATACTCATTTGCACCTGTTAGGAGATATATGTGTATTGAAGTGTTTCCTTTAGATTATGAAATGATGTTACTTGTTAAAATATGTGAATGTATACAACACAACATGCACACACGCACAAACACACATCCTCAAACATTACATTTTCATTGTTACAGAGTAAGTTTAAATACCACTCTTAACACAAACACAAACTTAACTTACCATTTAAAGTTAATCATCCTTGAAAATCTAGTTAGCCTGGTTTTAGGAGCATTTTATCATTACCCTTTTCTCCTTTTTTCCTTTTCACATTTCCCTTTTTTTGAAAAATAAAATGGTCTCATGTAGACATTTTAGGAATTTGTATATGATTTGGATTTAAAATTTTCTACTGAATGAAAATATCTTAAAATGAAAAGTGACTGTCAGTATAGGATACAGGTAGACTCTTAAGTATAACTAGCATAGTGCTTGGTAGATAGTAGTTGCTTATTAAATGTTTGTTGTATGAAATCGGTATTTAATGAATTATTGACTGAATGAATAGAATTCTTCGTTATGTCCTCATACTTGCAGGTGGACTCTAGCACCACAAGCACTGATATATTCTTGAAAAAACAATGAAAACAATTTAAACACATGATATTTTAATTGAAAGAAAAAAGAGAAAGGTGGTATATTTAATATAGAATAATTTGGGTACTGTAATCGTTAAACAGCTTTTATGATTAGCTTAAAAACTTAAGCATATGTTTGTATGATATATGATTGGGTCAAAGTGATAATATTTTGAAAGCCCATGTGGCTACCAGAAATGTTTTAGAACTACTATATTTACACAACTTTATAATAGATTTTCACAAGAAGTTAGGAGAACATTGGACTTCCATTCAGCATTTTAAAACGCACAGGCATAACTAGCATGAGGAATAGTAAAGTTAATGAGATGAATCTGCCCATCCAAGTCTTCTTTAGACCATGTAATAAAGAGGTATCTTTTCGATTTCCTAAATTCATTTAGGGATTTTGATATATCATTGACTGGGCAACAGTTTTAACTTGTTACTTCTTTTTAGTTTAATGTATAAACGTGTGGGTATACCTTTGTGTCATTTTATGAGAATGAGAAGCAAAGAATATAAAAGATTTCACAAAACTATGGTATTAAATCATATTTCTGTCCTCAAAAATGAATGGTAAATGTATTAATGGTACTATTGTAGATTTATAGAATCTTTCCATAAGTAAATTGTGAATAGCAGAGAAATTTGCAAGATTTAAGCAACATAATGTTCTAAAACCCAGGAAAAGTTAGAAATGGAGTGGGTGATAATATGGGTAAGTGCAAAGCACATGTTTTAAAATAAATAGTGCTTGGATGACCTGACATGTCAGAACTGGAGACAAGGGTGTGTGTTTGTCAATATATCCTTCATGTTTTACAGACTCCTAAGGGAACAAGGGAAGATACAATTTCACCTTTTGTGTGCCAAAACATTTTAATTATATCTTCTTCCAACTACAGCGGTTCAGTAACCAAGGAGCTGACATTGATGCATGTGTTGATAAAGCTGCAAACATTCAAAATGAGATTAACAAAGATTTTGAGCAAAGGGTGACAGCTAATTTTGCACAGTATTCTGCATCTAATTCAGGCCAACATAATAATAGAATATTTTATAACTGTTTTGTTATTCAGAAGGACTTTTATGATACATTTATGTTTATGGGTATCTTTGTATCATACTCAAGAATTTATCTGTTGTATGGCTTAAAACTATCTGCATCTGTGTTATAACCCTCACACAATATTAGGGGGGATAATCTCTCTTATTGTAAGTTTTTTGTTTGTTTGTTTGTTTTTGTAAATTATTCTTCATCCTTGGAACTCTTTGCCTTACCTGAATTAATCTAACTGGAGAAGGTATACAGATGCCGAACACGTATTTTCTAATATTGCTTAGTATCTACTAATAAAATGGTCAAGAAAAGTTATATTCAGTTTATTTAATTAATAAAACTGTAGTTTCTTTATGTTCTTGAGCTCCTTTGAGCACATTTCAGTGTATTTCTTTTCTCTTCTATTCTCTATTTGAAGGCAGCTGACAGTCTTCTTTCACTTTTCTTTTTGTTTGTGAAATTTTCTTTTCTTTTTTTTTTTTTTATCCACTCACTTCTCCATCTGCTTTCACTTTTGTTTGCTTGGGCCGTCTCTCATCCCAACTTGATAATGAGGAATGCAGTGTGACCCTGACCTCTATCAGCCCATGCATGACCTTCTGACTCTACCATATAACCTTTGACCTTCTCTTTGACAGCTTGATTAATTACCCTGTGTTATGATTTATGAGTAAGTGCTATGTAAAAATAATAGACAACAGGTGGTCCTCTGAAAACTTTTTGTGGCATGTTTTCTTTTACTGACTAACTTGATGAGCTATTTGAAGTTGGAAACTTTATTTGAAGTTGGAAACTTAACTGGGATAATCTATGTTGGTCCATATTATGGTATTTTTATACCATGGAACACACACAGCATTAGATTTCATGAAGCTACAAGTTAAAGTATGGTTATGAGAACATTTTACAAAATATTAGTAGAGTACTGTTTCCTAAATGCACATTGAGAAGAAACACAAAACGGAGTCAAGTGACATTTCACGCGTTTCAGTCCCAGGTCACGTCTTGAGAAAATTGCTAAAATAATGGAGGGGGCATTTTTCAAGCAGAGCTGCAGTTCCAACAGCTATGTTTACTTTAACGCTTCACTAGTGACTTCTGATTGGTTGTCATGACCTCATCTCACTGTTGCACCTAGGATGTTGCAACAGTGACATATACATACCCTTCTTGGAAACAGATGAGAATAAATACAACATACATCTTTCAGAAAAGATGAATGGACAGTGGTTTGTCTATGGGTAAATGTCGTTTATAGATAAAGCACTTTGGGTTTCAATTCCCTTGAGGATGAGCACCTATCTTCTTTCAAACCAAGCAGATAGAATGCTGAACTTGAGAAATATGATTGATAAATTTGTGTAAAATGATCTCTTACAGAGCCTTGCCTGAAGACCAAAGCAGATAGTTCCATAGGTCAAAGGATTCCACTCTAACCCCTGACCTCTCTGGTCACATGTGGCTTGCAGTATTGTCAGGTTAATATGCAGAGCCAAGTACTTTCAGCTGATTTTTTATTTAGCCAACCAAAAGATAGTTGAAAAGATGTAGAATTTGCCTGTTTTCCATTTTTCTTATAATTGGTAATGAGTAGGTAAATTAACGTGGATAAGTCTTCAGTTTTATCAGATTTCATTTGGGGTCAGAAGTCTGGTTTTGGTCGTGCATTTTAATGTTTTATCTATTTACAGAATCTTCTTGATAAGTGCGTTTTTGTACTGATATAATTTGTCTATCAAAGTTTTCCTTTTTGGTTCTTTGTGTTTGTCATCACCTGTTTGTTTTAGATCTCTCTGACCTAAGCCATCATTTGTTGGTTGAATGATAAATGATTTATTATTTATTAGTAAGTGCATCTACAGACTTCAAAGTAAAGAAGGCCTAAAGACCTGTGTATTCTATTTAAATCACAAGTACTTTTGCTGAATAAAATGCTATGTCTAGGAATGAACTTTTAAGGGTTTCTGATTAAGATCCCATAGTTAATACCTTGTAAACACAGGTCTGAAAATGAAAGTAGAATTATAGCAACAAAAGTATAAAAATGGAATGAGATGAATTAAAGATATAAAGCTTACTTTTACCAATATATATCCTCTTGATCACCTTAATTTCTACTAGACTGTGATCAAACATGAGTTAATTAACAACTTTATGTATGCTTTGTCTTTTGAAATGTTGGATATTGGAATTGATTTGGTAAATCATTATAAAGGATGCCAGAAGTTTTATTTATTTAGTTGTAGAATGCTAGATAATTGATTTGATCATTTTATCTTTTCAAAGATAAGAGAAAGGGTTTCGATGTATATTTGAAGTGACCTAACTTTTTATCGTATAAGAAATGTAGCATACTTAAGGAATAATTAAATATAAAAGAAGTACTTCAACATAAAATGTTTAAGAGTCTAAGCATAAGTTATGGAGCCTTCCTTAGTAGAGTAGCAACCCACAGTTCTTTTAAGATATTATACTTGATGCCTGATATTATAGTGTAGTTTCATAAAACTTTATGGGTACATTCATGAAAGGTCACACTAGCATCTCTTCTTACTAATTTTGTTGTGTACTGATTGAGTTACTGGGAATGGAAAGAATCACTTTTTTAAATGGTATTTAGTCTGATTTTTGAGGAAGTTGATATTATTCAATTTAAAACAGTAAAATTTAACTAGTGACATTTTGTCTTTGCTTTGTTTTACTCTATTTTCTTTGACTCTTTAGTTTCCATATATTGATGTTGACATGGCAAAAATCTTGGTAGCTTATATAAAGGAAATTTTTGCCAGTGTTACATATGACAGAGAAAAGAAGGGAAACATTAAGTTTTACTATATATCTGTGGTTAGAGCACATAGGTGGGATAGTTAACTTTATTTTCTTACTCCTGCTTTCTGCTACTCATTACAAAATGGTTATGAATGATCTCTGTGAATATTGCATTAATTAATTTAACAGAAATATTTTAATTTTAAATGTTAGTTTTTTTACAGAACAGTAATTGAATTTGCAACAAAGATATTTATTAAAATCCACTCTCATTTCTACAGAGAATGTTCCTGAGTATTTCTTGATTGTTGTCACATTAATTAAATTGGCAATCTGAAATATCTAAAGGATAAAATATTTTCTAAATAGTTTGGGTGTTTAAATAGAAGCATCCATTGTTGAAATCTAAATGATAACAAATCTTCAATTGATTTATATAGTGGTGATTTAAAAATAGAATCATTTCTCATCTGTTGATGCCTAAGGGAAACATTGACATTGTGCCTTTATGATATTGAACAGATGAGTCATGTAATTTTCAGTTACTTAGACAAATACTGCTTCTTTGATGATATATAAATGCCTTTTTTAAAATACTTATTTACATGGAACATATCAAATTTCAGAGTCTTATTTCAAATTAAGTAGGCACGATAATTTTTCAATCTATGATTTCTAAAAATTGAAGTTTAAAGTTCTGCTCAAATAAGCCAGATATGAAAATATTATTTTTTTGATTAAGTAATAAGATAATAGTCTTACAATTCTGGTGACTGTAAATTTTGTTCAAAGAGTTTACCTTTATTTGAGATTTATTCATTATACAAAGATGATGCCATGTTATTTCAGCTTATTAAAGTCCCACTCTTTTACCTTGAGTGAAGTTTTTGAATTTGAAATTTTTCATATTATCATTAAAATGTAGTATATCACTATTTTCATCTCTACTAATTTTAAGATTCTATTTTGGTCTTGCTAATTTTAACTCCTGAGTATGAGAGGGTGGTGTGTGTGTGTGTGTGTGTGTGTGTGTGTGTGTGTGTGTGTATGTGTATGTGTATGTGTGTATGTGTGTTTAAAGTTCAATTCACTCAGAGAAGGCAAGGAAGAAACATGACAGGAGACCACTTACTCACGGTACAGAATCTAGTAGGGAGGCAATTTTCTTTTTGGCCTATGGTGACCTTTTTTGACTATGTTCCTTACACCAGAGACAGTGTACTGAATGCCTCTATTTCACCCTGTTTAGCAGAGTGCAACAGTGTTCTTTAACTTACTTTTGGTGGGAGGAGAAGTTATAGCTGAAATTTGAGAAGGGCGTGAAAAGTTGTAAGAGGCACAAGGAAGAGGGGTAGGAACTTCCTTCAAATGTGATTTTAATAACTAGTCAAGTGTGTCCAACTGTAGAAAATCACCAAGTGACAATCTGTCTACCTGACAGTGATCACAATGAATTACAAGACTTTTGAATAGCTATACAGATTAGAATAAAGCAGGACCAAATAAAATATCTTTTGTTGGTAAAACTTTTGACTTAGAGCTAAGAAACTTTAAAAAAAATTCTCTTTTGCTTTGATGTAGAAAGTTTAAATTACAGAATGTGTAAAGTGTTTTATAAGCTTTTTGTGAAAGAAGCATTATTCTAAAAGCTTTATTTGAACATCTGTTGAAGAATGGGTGGTGGTTTGTAAATCAGTTTGCTATATATTATTATATAGTTTCCATATATGTAAGATGACTGTATCTTAATTAATAGTCCTATCATTAAAATCAGAACTTCAGTGATCTTGAAAATTTCCAAACTAAATAATCGTTTTAGACAATAATATCATCTGATGGAGGAAAAAATAGAAAACAATTCCAAAGAAGTTTGTAAGTAGTTTGTGAAATCAACTGTTTAAAAAAACCAACCATGTGCAGTAATGCAGCATATTTTAAAATAAGATAATTGAGTCTGTGCTATTACTGGTTTACTATTACTGCTGTCAATTTTTTAAAATCATCTTATGGTTGGTTTGGCAAAAAATTTAAAATTTAAACTTCAAGTAGAAGATTCTACAGTTACTGTCTTGAAAAACTATATATACTACCTATTTTAAGTAAGGATGAGATTTTATAAGTTTTATTTTCTATTAAATAGATTTTCTAATAAATAGATTTTGTGAGCTATTTTCTGTAGCTCTTATGTTTTTATTATAATATCATACATCTTTTAAATATGACCTTATAGTATTTTACAAGGACATAATTGGAACCTCACAACACATAACTGAATAGAAAAGACAAGATATATAATAGCTTCAAAAATTTGTGTTACCCATGCTTGTCAATGGTTATTGTTTATCCCTCTCTATATTTTCTCATGGTTAGCTTATTCCATTAGACATAATATAAATATCAAACGTTTTCTTAATTATAACCACAGAAATGTTTGCCAGGCTAGAAAGAAATGAGACAGGAAAACATGTTTTACAAATTTAAAAAAAAAAAAGCCTTAATAGCTCAACAAGCTGTATTTTTTAACTTTGGAACCTTGCTTATTTCCTGATTATAGTTTTTAATAAAGAGAATTTTTATGGTAGGTTGAAAAATGAAAGAAATTTTAAGATTAAAGACTTGCTTCCATACATTATAGTAAGACAGTGGCTTATTTTGCTACATGATTTTTCTGGCCTCCTGTGAGAAACAAAGTGAATAAAATTCAAGGTACACAAGTAGATGTTATGTCTTTATAATAATGTAGGTATGGATGGTTTTGTAATGTTAAATCAGATTTATTCTTTTTTAACTGCTTATTCTTTTTAATTGTTCAGACAAATAAAAAATGCTCTTGAAAGGGCCATTGTAAAGAAAAATATACAAAAAAATGTAGTTTGAATTGTAAACTTTGATTTCAGAGGTTGTTTTCTCAAAACAGATAGTATAAATATTAATATAATTTGAAAGTTTACTTGAAAATAAATTATTTGCTAATTTATTTCAGTCATTTTTGGGTTCTGAGATATCTGAATTAGTTTTTTAATTTAAGCTTTATAATCTTTATGTTGCAATTATATTTTTTGTTCTTATAAATAATAAAAGCTTATTTATATACACAATAAAGGCAAACAATTTTAAATGACTTTCTTTTGAAAAAAATAAAATCATTATCTTGCCTAAAGGAGTATTTTAATGAATATGCAACTATATAAAAATTGCTTAGACTGAAATTTTAAGAACTTTTTTGAAAATTGAAATGGATTATAAGATTTAAATTATGCTACCTTCTTTCATTTCAAAACAGGAAGGATATGGAGTAATAGTACTAAATCCCAATGAAAACTATATTGAAGTAGAAAAGCCGAAGATACACGTACAGTCATCATCTGATAGTTCAGATGAACCAGCAGAAAAACGGGAAAGAAAAGATAAAGTTTCTAAAGAAACAAAGAAGCGACGTGATTTCTATGAGAAGTATCGTAACCCCCAAAGAGAAAAAGAAATGATGCAATTGTATATCAGAGTGAGTGAGATCACTACTTTCCTTTACTATTTTCTTTACCTTGTATATATTTTATTATATGTAGATTGTTTTGTTTTTCTTCAAGAATATTAATTTTTTTATTTGTCATCATTTATTTCCCATAGTCGTCTACTTGGATTAAATGGGTTTTTAAATTCAGAATTACAAAACGCATCATTCTTATTTCAGTGTGACATTTTATAGAAGTCACAAATGCAAATTCTGTTTCCTTTTGTGTCATATACTACCTCAAGAAAAATTTTCTAAAATAATTTTATTGTGATGGATGCAGAAGGCAGAAAACTTGCCAATTCAGTTTCCAAACACGCTGTTTCTTTAAGGAAACATAGCATCAGCATAACATGCCGTTATGTTGTCCATAAGAGAGAGTATATGTAGCCTCACAATTCTAAGACATATCACCTGCTGAATTAATAATGCTCCATACAAAACATTCATCTTGGGGGGTAAGGTTTACTGGATAATGCATTGTTTTACGATGAGCAACTATCTACAGTGTCTCAGCCTAATGTCTAAAGGCAGATAGAGGGAGGAAGAGTAATTAATATCTTAATAAATACTTAAGCCAAAATAGTGTAGGGATAGTGTAATGAGGGAACTCTGTCCTTTTCTCTTGTCCTACCCAGCGAACTTTTACACTTTGTAGTACTAACGGTATGGGATCATTAGAGCAGTGTTGCCCAAGGATTTCTAATTCTGTAGGGGGCACAAACAATTTTGTTTACACTTGGACATATTCAGAATGTTGACATGCATACTATAAATTATATATATGAGACATTTGTCAATTTTCAAAGCCCTTATTATGGATGCTAGAAGTTTAATAGTAAAGCATGTCGAAAATGCTACGGGTTAAGAAAAATAGTATATTGAAATAGTCCTCAAAAGTGAGCAATTCAGAACATTTAAACACAGAGAAAATAACGTTTTATAAATTATACAATAGGATAGTAGTAACATTTCAAATTATTCAACTTGAACTATTTTTACATTTACTTTAGAAGATCATTAATAAAATGTTTCATACTACCTTTTAGGGGAAATATATTGCTTTCTAAGTTTTTATTTTCTGTATTATTCTAGTTCATGGCATAATCAC
This sequence comes from Homo sapiens, assembly GCF_000001405.40. Classification (NCBI taxonomy): domain Eukaryota; kingdom Metazoa; phylum Chordata; class Mammalia; order Primates; family Hominidae; genus Homo; species Homo sapiens. Next base: position 93,880,349 of record NC_000005.10, on the reverse strand, counting down.
TCTACTTTTTGGAATTGTGCTTTAAACATTCAAAATATTTTATTTATAGGTCAGTCTATTGAGTAAGCTATGACAGTTAAGCAGTGGTGAAAACAGCATATATATTCCCAAGACCCCAAAAATGTATCCTGACAAGGAATTCTCAAAGCAGCTCATATAGTGAATCAAGCAGATTATAATATTTAAATTTTTAGAAAGCATCTCACTATTTAATATATTATTTGAAAAGCAAGAACGCTTATTATATTTAGAAGCAATAAGTAGCTTGTTTGTTCCAATGCGGTTATATCACCCCCTTTCTTTCATATGATTACATCGGGGTCATGATGTTACCATCTTCTCTATCAGTTGTACTAAGCTTCCTTCTATATGATCCAGTCTGTAAACCACCATCTTATGACAGGTTAAAATTTTTAAAAGATTACCTCTGATATCCAGATTCCAGAAATGAATTATATAAGGCTTTTGAAATATAAAATTATAAGGAATACCTACTTGTTTATGTAAAATGCAAACAAAATGATATTGTATATTAGGTTTATTTCTTCTTAAACAATTTTTTTTTGCCTGTGACATGTACAGATTAAGCATCTATCTCAGATATCAGACATCTGTCCCGTAAGTTTATTTCTTCCTATTTTGTCTTTATCTTGTCACCATTGCTTTGCTTTTTTTCTTTTGTTCTCTTTATGCATGCATTTTCTTTATTCTGTTTTTCACATCTGCTTTGTTTTTCCTCTCATCTATTTTTTCTTATACCAAGGAAACAACATTCTTTTTATGTTGCTTCATTGTTAAGACCTGCTCTCTTTCCTTTTGTTTTCTTTTTAATTATTTTCTCTCTTTTAGACTCCTGTCATTTTTCCCTCTTTTCTAAGTCTTTTTGCCTCTTTGTCCCATTTCACTCATCAATTCAAGTTCCCAACAAAAGCACCAAAAGACAAAAATAGGCCCAAACACATAATACAACTTTGTATCGATGGTCTTAGTTATGAAATGTTTTTTCTTAGTAAACATCATTTCTCTTAAAATCTTCTGGAATTTTGCAAAATAGCAGAGATGTGCTGACACTCTTCAAACATACTTCTAGATAGTAAGTTTTGGCCTTGTAGTGGGAAAGAGAAGAACGGTTCATTTTGTGTGAGGTGTATTAATTCCTTAGTAATTTTGATCCATTCTGGAAATGACTTCTGCTAGTGCTCTTCTTCTCTCTACTTATCTCCCAATACCAAGTGTTTGTAATTTTCAGACACAGAGCATTTTATATGATGGAACTAAACTAACTTTTATTTATATACTTCTTACCAATTTACAATTTGAAATTATCTTCTATTCTTTGTGACAGCCTAATAGGTAGATGAATCACATCATTTTGTCCTGATTTTATAGTTGGAAACTGATGCACAAATGTTAGTCTAGGATCACAAAGCTAGTAAATGGTAGATAATAAATCTACTTGTTGAAACCAGGACTAGTAATTACTGTAGATTCTTCCCCTCTTTCTTCTTTACCACATTGTTCTGTAGATTGAAAACAAAATATGTATCTGAAATTTGAAAATTAAGCCATGTGTAGTAAATGTATGATACAATATAGTAAACAACATTTGATGACAAAGATAGATTTTTGATCAGCTATTATTTAATGGACTCTGTTTCTTAAATGTTTATAAACAATTTATATGTATAAATGTAAGTATTTCTATAAATATGTATATATATTTATATATTCTCTACAAATAGTATGACTAATACTGATCCAAATTTACAGATCAGATTGTGGGTCAAAAATTTTTAGCTTTTGGAGGGTGGAAACTCAGTCTGAGGACCCTGCCCCAGGAGCAGGAGCTATCATATCCTCCCCTCTGCCACTTTCCATTGCAACTAATAAAGCCTGTTTGTACCATAAACACACACACACACACCCCTTTGAGTAATTTTTCAAAGGTCACATAGCTCTTAATATAAGCTTCATGAGGGCATGTACTTAGTCTGTTTTGCTCGCTACTGTATCCCAGAGCCTACAACAGAGCCTTCATAATAAATATTTGTAGAGCAGATCTTTCACAATAAATTTTAAATAAGGTGGTAGAGCCAGGATTAAAACCCCTCACTACAACTACCACTTTTTAAAATATGTCCTGCATTATTAAAGTATACAGCTTGATTTTCTATGAGGAAACATTCCAACAAACCAAAACAAAAAGTCAAACAGCACTACAATTGTTGACTTCCCACTCAATCCAGTAGCTGAGATTACAATCCAAAAATTAATGGTATAAGGTCATTATTTGATACCTTGAACTATATATTTTCATCTGAATATATAAAAGTAGAATATCCTATTTTCCTTTTGAGCTATGTCATTATACTGCTAAAATTATGGATGAAAATGGAAATGTTTCAACCTGACCCATTGCAATTTCTGTGTTACACATTTGCTCTTAAGAGTACAGCCAGGCTGCTGGGGTTACTCTACCCTGTACAAACTTTGTGCTTTATGGAATCTGTAACTTCAATTTCTGTTCTTTCCTGAATCCAAAATTCTATCCACTTACAACCCACGTTATAAGTGCCTAGCTGAAATGCCACCTCTTCCTCTCACTATAACCGATGACCCCTCCTTACTGAGACTCATGGAATGTATAATGATTAGCTAATTTACATGGAATTTACCAGGTACTGTCTTGATATGTCTCTTGTATTTTTGTCTAATAATTTAATTAATATTACCAATTATTTTCATGCCTCTCCACTAGATCTCCCCATAATCCTTTAGATCTTTGAGCGTGCTTTATATGTTTTGGCATTGCATGTCAATCCTTAAAAGCAGATATGTGCTGCTTTTTGCATTAGTACAGAGCATATTATGAGGGAGTCAGGAACTGATACTAGAATTTAATCCCTTGGATGGAGAACAAAACAACAAGATTAGGCCTAAGTGATACCTAGATAAAGGAACCTGCAGCATAGGAATGAAGGTTATTCTGTTATCAAACTGGAGCATAAGAGGACAACTAAATCAAGGAAGGTCAGTTAATAGAATTTTAGAGACTATGTGTAGAGTATAGGCAAAAGTGACTTGATGCTGATCTGTCTAATGTTGGGTTGGAAGTGCTTGAACATCTCTTTCCTAAAGTGAGACTTATTTGTAGACTCTACTGATGGGAAGTAAAGGAGAAGAATTAGACCCAGCCTCTGAAAGAAAGCAAAAACAGATGCTAAGGATAGAGGGGAAGAGAATTACATGGACACAAAACGAAAAGTCCAAATGTTAAAGAAACATTTACAGAATAGAAATCTTAGCAAAGCCTGGAATTGCACATAGAGATGCTTAAATATTTATCAATTATTTGTTGACATCCGTCAAAAATCTTATTCTTTAATATGTAAGATAGTTGGTGTTGCCTAGTTTTCTGATTGATTTTTTTCAGCATTCATGTGAATTTTTGCAATAGTTTAGAAACAGCCAACTCTGATAAACTAAAGCTTTCTTTCCAAAAATATGTTTTTGATGTTCTGACTGGGGTATGTTCACAGTTCTGAATCTCTTCTGTGCAAATGCCATTGAAGTCATTTCTATCTAGTATTTTAGCAACCAAGTTCAATTTATTTGTATTACAAACAATGATTGTTTAATTTCTGAAACTATTTTATTTTCCAAGTATATTCAAGTATTTGGATTTTCTTTTCTCTAGTATCTTGTAAATAGCCAGTCTCCTTTCAAATTTTTGCAAGTATCTAGTATACACAGGCAAAAGTAAATTTGGGCCTAAAACTTTAAGATTAGCAAAGTATAATTTTATTTTACTTGCTGAGTATAAATAGATATGACTGGTAGATTATGTAGCACTTTTCTGAGACATTAGGAGCAGAGCATGAGAGATCAAAGAACTTACTATTTCATGTGGCAAGTTTTCTTAACTATGAAATAGTGTACTTGCTAGCATATATTATGGTTTATTAAGGGGATTGATTTGGTCTAGGCAATACACATCATGTCAGACTTGCCTGGCAGGAAAACCTGCTTAATATGTTTTGTAATAAGATGGAATTTTTTGTTCTCAAAAACATCTGCCAACAGAATTCAAGAGTGAAAACAGAAAATGTCATCAATTTAGTGGTAATCCTATAAATTTAGTTTCTTTTTGAGCAAGACATACCAAGACACACAAAATTCCCAGTGTTAATCACCACTGGTTATAGTACTTTGTAAAACGATGAAACAAAAACATTTTATTTTTGTATAATGTGTTAATTAATTCATAATGAATTTTAATATCTCAACTGATAAAATTTTAACAAGCTTCTTGGCAACAGATTATTTTTTAAAGCATCTGTTTTTTAATGTGTTGGGTTGAGAACTAAGTCAAATGGCTAAATATGTACATATATTCTTTTAAAAAACATATTTTCACCCCCCATAACTACAGATACACTGCTTTTCCCCTTAGACCACAAGGGGCTGCTGCTGTTCATATCGGATTTTGCTTCCCTTAGAAACTTGTGTACCCCAATTAACTCTATCTTTAGTCTCTTTTTTTTTTTTTGCCCCCAGATCTTTTAAAATATAGCTGGAAAGAAGAAAAAGAGGCTTAGTTAGTATCTTAATAATCAGCATAAAAATGTATTATTGTAAATGTTTTCTATAATACATTCCAAGGCATTTATATTTCTCTACATCAACTTAAAGCTTGTAGTCATTGAAGGCAAATTGTGAATAATAACTTTTTATTTCCTGTTTTAGTGTATGAATAACATTCAGAATCATACCATTGTAGAGATATAGTATGGAGATGAGGTTAAAAATGCAGTCCGAGGCTGGGTTGCAGTGGCTCACGCCTGTAATCCCAGCACTTTGGGAGGCCAAATGGGCAGATTGCCTGAGGTCAGGAGTTCGAGACCAGCCTGGCCAACATGGTGAAACCCTGTCACTACTAAAAATACAAAAATTAGCCAGGCATGGTGGTGGGCACCTGTAATCCCAGCTACTTGGGAGGATGAGGCAGGAGAATCACTTGAACCCAGGAGGCAGAGGTTGCAGCCAGCCGAGATCACGCCACTGTGCTCCACCCTGGGCGACAGAGTGAGACTCCGTCTCAAAAAAAAAAAGCAGTCCGATAGACCTGAGTTTGAATTCCAGCTCTTCCATTTAATATAGTGTGACCTCAAGTTAACACCCCTGCACTTGAGTTTTTGTCTGAAAAGTAGAATGATGATAATATATGTAGCCAGGTGCCTTAGCATATGGCTATAGTCCCAGCTACTCAGGAGGCTGAGGTGGGAGCATCTCTTGAGCCTAGGAGTTTGAGTCTAGCAAAACTCAAACCTGATATAGCAAGACTTCATCTCTAAGTAATAATAATATGTGTAAAGCAAACATAGCATCTGGCACACAGTCTTGGGGCTTTAGGGCTAATAAATAACATCATTTCTCAAGTTGAGACTCAATTGAGAACTAATCCAATTCTTAAGGTCCCTGGCCCTTGTACCTTTCAGTATCTTTCTGGGGTGTTTTCTCTGATGCCAACCAATTCTGCAATTTCTGTTGGGTGTCCAGTAGTTCAATTCAGTTCTAACATTATCTGCCTAAAGAGTTCAGTTTCACAAGACTGCCCCTGTTTCAGACACCAGTCACAAGTCCTGGAGGAGCCACTCATACTTCTGACCAACTGAATGTAGATTAGGGGTTCCTGTTACCACCTCCTCAGTTTCAATAACTTGCTAGAATGACTCACAGAGCTCAGGAAAATACTTATGTTTACCAGTTTATTATAAAGGATGCAACTTAGGGACAATCAAATGGAAGAAATGCATAGAGCAAGGTATATGGATGGGAAAGGGCATACTGAGCTTCTGTCCCCTCTGTCAGCATGCCACCCTCCCAGCTGCACATCAGTGTGTTTACTAACCTGGAAGCTCTCCCCTTCCTGGACACCAGTGGGTGAGGCTGAAAGTACCCTCTAATCACTGGGTCTTTCTGGTGACCAGTCCCATCCTAAGGCTATCTAAAGGCCCCAGTCTAAGTCACCTCATTAGCATAAACTCAGTGATGGATTTTTTTCAGGGGATTGTTATGAATAACAAAAGACACTCTATGACTCATGAGCTTTCAAGCCTTTTAGGAGCTCTGTTCCAGGAACCAGGGACAAAGACCAAATATGTTTTCGTATTACAGTACAACATTGTTCCAAAATAATACCTCAGTGCTACACTCTGCAGTTTGGAACTCAGCAATATTACATAGGAATCAGACAAAAGGAAACAAAACACCATCATTAAAAATTGATACAGTTCAACTGGAAAATTTGTTTTAGATCTGTAGCTAATGGACTTCCAGATATATTCCCCCGAAAATGAATTTTCCCCTTATCCTGCAAACATTCCCTTTGCCTTTCATGTGGTAGAAAGTAAAGTAGAATTCATCCTTTCTGCAACCTATTTGGAAGATGCCCTGAAGAGCTGAGCTGAGCATGTTCAGTTTCTTTTCCTAAATGTGCTAATCAGATAAGTCACACTCTTCCTGAGGGAAAGAAAGAATGGGATATGGGGAGAGAAACTAAGAATGTTAACTCTAGCTGAAGTGCCTCCATATGAGGCCAGGAGAGGAGTGGCTCCCACCTGACAAGGTCACTATTATATGCATTTTCTAACAATTCAATAAGGCAGTCTTAAAATATAATCATTAACTGTTCACCAAAGCATACCTGTTTCTTCATTTTAGAGTTTTCATTTAAAAGGGAAACTGTGATCAAGCCTGATTAATTTTAAAGCCTTTAAAGGGCCATAATTCTGTTTTAATTACCAGAAATTAACCTTTACATTGTCATGTTTTATATTTCCAAAACCTAGTAAACACAGTAGATTTTTTTTCTCCTTTCCCTTTCCCCTTTTCCTTTTCCTTTCCTTTCCCTTTCCTTTCCTCCCTTCCCCTTTCCTTTCCCCTTCCCCTTCCCCTTCCCCTTCCTTTCCTTTCCTTTCCTTTCCTTTCCTTTCCTTTCCTTTCCTTTCCTTTCCTTTCCTTTCCTTTCCTTTCTTTCCCCCCCCCCTTTTTTTTTTGAGACAGGGTCTTACTCTGTCACGCAGGCTAGAATGCAGTGATGACATCATAACTCACTGTAGTGTAGAACTCCTGGCCTCAAGCAATCCTCCTGCCTCAGCCTTCCAAGTAGCTGGGACTACAGGTGCATGCCACCACACCTGACGCACAGGAGATTTTTAAAATAAAGGTTTGATTAATGAATATTATTTGTTTACATGAACCTATGAAGACAGGCCTTTGCCTATTTGTATAAATCTACCCTTTGATGTTGAGTAGCATGAGATTGCAAGAACTCTTGAATATTATACTGAAGTGTGCTGACACTGGAAAATTAGTACATTGTGTTGGAAGCTCAGTTATCAGCCATTATTTTTTTTCTTTCTTTTTTTTTTGAGACAGAGTCTCATTCTATTGCCCAGGCTGGAGTGCAGTGGCGCGATCTCGGCTCACTGCAAACTCTGCCTCCCGGGTTCACGCCATTCTCCTGCTTCAGCCTCCTGGGTAGCTGGGACTACAGGCACCTGCCACCGTGCCTGGCTAATTTTTTGTATTTTTAGTAGAGACGGGGTATCACTGTGTTAGCCAGGATGGTCTCGATCTCATGACCTTGTGATCCGCCCGCCTCAGCCTCCCAAAGTGCTGGGATTACAGGCATCAGCCACCGCGCCTGGCCAATTATCAGCCGTTATTAAGTGTACCCAGCCTTCTTTGGATTTGGTAAAACAAGCCAATAATGAAGAAATAGAAATCAGTTCAAGAATTAGACCTTTGGATTTCAAACAAAAATTATGATAAAGACCGAAGCTCTGCATTTATGAGTTTTTGTTGGACACTGACCAGTTAGGGTGGTGGGGGTCTGTCATAAATATGATATGGTAAAAAGAATAAGCACTTCAGAATCAAATACATACTGTAATCTTAATTTTTTTGCTTACCAACTGTGACTTTAGGCAAAAATCACTGTTTCAGTTCCTACATCTATAAATTAGGGATAATCATATCTGTTAGACTTTTATAAGGAATAAATGATGTAAATTAATGTGTATGAAAACAACCAGTGGGACCGGGCACAGTGGCTCGTGCCTGTAATTCCAGCAATTTGGGAGGCCGAGGCAGGCGGATCACTTGAAGTCAGGATTTCAAGACCAGCGTGGCCAACATGGTGAAACACCGTCTCTACTAAAAATACAAAAATAGCCGGGCATGGTGGTGCGCGCCTGTAGTCCCGGCTACTCTGGAGGCTGAGGCAAGAGAATTGCTTGAACCGGGGAGGCAGAGGTTGCAGTGAGCCGAGGTCACGCCACTGCACTCCAGCCTGGGCGATAGACCGAGACTCCGACTCAAAAAAAAAAAAAAAAAGAAAAAATTCCTTTCTCATCCCTCCCTTCCTCCTTTCCCATAGGAAACATGGGAAGAATTATGGCAGAGTAAGGTCTTTTCCCATTGGCTTATGTTTAACTTTATTAAGGTCACTGTGGGGTTTTTGTTTATATGGGTTATATCTATTGATGTTTACTATTGAAAGGAATTAAAAATGAGAACATTTTAAAATATTTATTTTTAAATAACAATAAACCTATGATGACATAAATAGCATTTTATGAGAAATAACTGTATTTTTAAAATGAAAGACACAATGAAAAATATGGCATTTTTGAAAATCTAATGTCTGGCTTAATAGAAGGCAGCTGAATTCTTATACTTGCTTCTATATTTCCTCTCTTATAATATGTTGTCTTCATTGATGTTTTTGAGGAAAACTCGGCCTCAAACAGATATGCAATTGTAAAAGAAAGGTCTATTTTAATAGCTTTTTCAGATAATTTTGTATATTCTTCTTTGATGCTATACCCACACTAAAAAGGAAGTTATTTCTTAAAGTTTAGTTGCAGTATGGAGTCTAGAACACATTTTATACTCATAAAAATCCATTGGTCTGTCTTGTACTTTGAATGGATCTTTTACCCATATATGATTTTGTAACATCATACATTGGTCATTTGGAAAATATTGTTTCACTTAGTTACATAAATCTTGTAAATGTTGACACATCTTATTACACAGTATAAAAAAATCCTACCCATTAATATTTCCACCAGTATCATCAGAAAAGCTTTAAGAATTAAAAAACTCTCAAAGTTATCAGTGATGATAAAAGTTTCCCAAAATTCCAACTTTAACAAGAAAGCTCAGTTTGTATCATTGACCACAAATACCATCAGTTGTTTTTCTTGAATGGGATTGTCAGGCTTACTTTGTTCATTTACAAGAAAATACCTTCCAAATTACCCAAATCCGAATAATCATAATTTGTCTATCAGTCTTACAAGTACAAATGCTATTCCATTAGAAAGTTAACTACTTTAGCTCTAAACGCAATCAAGTGCACAACTGCTTTTCCTCCAGACTGTCATCATAGCATAGTTTGGTATGCAAGTGCTTTATGTATACCTTCATTTCATCACTCATAATATTAAACAGATATATACTCATGGATTGAGATTTAACAGAGGTAAATTTTACTCTTCATTGACATTTATGTGTAGTTGGCTTCCCTCCAACCTCCACTTCCACCCCCCCTTATGTGGCAGTAAAGACTATGACTACTAGTATAGTTTGGTATCACTGCCTTCGTAGGTGCTAAGTCACAGGCAGTTTTATTCTTCATTGCGTTTTTAATGATTAATGCAAATGTCAATACAGTGAAATAGACAATGTCTTAATACTATAATGAAATAGAGACCTTGCAGGTCCCCTGAAAGAATCTCAGGAATCTCCAGAGGTTTGTGGACCACATGTCTAAAAACACTGGTTTTTGCCTCTTTTCTGGAGCTGAACAGAGAAACAATGAAAGAAAGCAGTTTATTAACATTTATTTATAAAAATAGAAACCATATTTCAGTTGGCCTGTTAGGTAATGCAAAATTAGGTGACTCAATATGAGCGGCGATGTAAACTGAAATAGAGAAATCGAATCGGGTAGGACTGCCTCATTGAGACATTTGGATCTATCTCATTTAAACTCTTGATCTGGACTCAGGGAGCATTGTATATACACTACTCCAACAGTTTGCCCTCCTTCCTCCCTCCTCCCTTTGGTGAAACTAAGATAATGTCAGTCCATAGTGACCCAGCAGGTGGAATTTGAGGATTAGAATTTGTTTTCTACTGATCCACTTCCAACAATAGAAGACCGTGGAGAATCACTTGCCCATTTTAGGCTTTAGCAACTACAACTTTCATTCCGTTTTTTCTCTAGAATGGGTGGCTTCTTGCTGAAAGAGCCCAGATGTCTGTGCCTGCTTTCTAGCTGTCTCACGCGTCCATGTGAAGAGACCACCAAACAGGCTTTGTGTGAGCAACAAGGCTGTTTATTTCACCTGGGCGCAGGCGGGCTGAGCCCGAAAAGAGAATCAGCAAAGGGTGGTGGGATTATCATTAGTTCTTACAGGTTTTGGGATAGGCAGTGGAGTTAGGAGCAATGTTTTGCGGGCAGGGGGTGGATCTCACAAAGTACATTCTCAAAGGTGGGGAGAATTACAAAGAACCTTCTTATGGTGGGGGAGATTACAGAGAACCCTCTTAAGGGTGGGGGAGATTACAAAGTACATTGATCAGTTAGGGTGGGGCAGAAACAAATCACAATGGTGGAATGTCATCATTTAAGGCTATTTTCACTTCTTTTGTGGATCTTCAGTTGCTTCAGGCCATCATCTGCTAAATAGAGTTGTTAGAATTAAAAGAAGTAATGCAATTAAGTACTTAGTACCTGCTTTAGCACATAGTATGCACTCAGTAAACATCACTTGTAATTATAATTATTATTATAATTGAATTACAATTCAAGTTGCCTCTGTCCATGACTATTTCTGAGGCCAAGCTCTTCCTAATTCTTCAAATTGAGCTCCCTTTGTCTAAGGTAACATTTTTTGTCTAAGATAATATTGGACAGTAACTGTAAAATACAATTAGATGGACTGTGCCTCAATTTGAATTTGGTTATGCATATTAGCCCCTCTCTCTACTCCCACAACCTTCACCCACTTCTTGGGAAGAAAGGGCAACTTAAGGCCCTCTGTCTCCAACTCATTTCCCATTGCTGGGGCCCTTGTCAGGTTAGAAGCAGTAGTTGTTTGTGTAATCATCACGCTAGTCTCGTGTATTACTCTGATGTTACAGATATGTAAAATGAGGCCTAGAGACATAAACAGACTTACTCATAGTTATACAGCTAATAAGAATAACCAAACCAAGATTTGAGCCCAATTCTGACTGCAAAGTCTGTGTTTTTCCCGCTACACCAGGTTGCGATAGTGAGTATTTTCTCTAAGTGGTTATCTGTGTATATATTATAATATAAAATATGTATACAAATGTGACTAGATAAATGGAGTTTTCTTGGTAAGGCAGTCGAAATGCGATTAAAGAAATAGAGTTTCCTTGGTTGGTAAGGCAGTCACTATGATAAAAGACAAGCAGTAGTTCCTTCTATACAGTAGTTTATTCTAAGACTATTGTTAGGGTGTTGCATTGAGCAGATATATTGGTTCTAGAATCTGGGACCCACATTTTTTTTCTCCTCAAGTGAGACGCCCTTGCACATTATTTTTGCCTCAGTCCCAAACTGTCCATCTGGGTTTTGTGAGCCTTGTAGGTGGAGATGAAGGAAAGCCTAAATGAGTTTTATATAGTTGACCCAAAAGTGCTTTGTTTACTATAGGGAATCTTTTTTATCCTCACCCTGATTTCAGCTTGTCTATAGGTAACTTTGCCTGGTAGTCAGCCAATCAGCATATTGCTCTTCACTCTTCTATCCTTTGGTGTTTAGCCAGTTTCAGTACTCACGCATGCACACTGTGGCTTTATCAATGGATGTAAACATTACCGTGTGCATCCTTTATGTGTGACATAGCATGGCAATGTAACGTTTACTGAGTGACTTGAGTGTTTCCCTAATAGACTCATCTCATTTCTTTTCTTGTTGTTGTTGAGATAGTGTCCCATCCTGTCACCCAGGCTGGAGTGCAGTGGCATGATCACAGTTCACTGCAGCCTTGACCTCTGGGCTCAAGTGGTGCTCCCACCTCAGCCTCCCAAGTAGCTGGGACCACAGGCATGTGCCACCACACCTGGCTAATTTTTTTTATTTTTTGTATAGATGAAGTCTCACTCTATTCCCCAGGCTGGCCTCAAACTCCTGGGCTCAAGCAATCCTCCTCCCTTGGCATCCCAAAGGGCTGAGATTACAGGTGTGAGCCACCATGCCCAGCATCTCAGTTGTATTTGAATTACATATGTGTATTTGCAAATGTGAAATTGTATGCTTAGATTTATTTGTTTGGAGCATGACATTTCAGCTTAAAACATTATCAGTTCTACCTTATGTAATATTAATTTTATTCTCAGTAATATTTTCATTAATTTAATATGAGAAGAAAACAATAGGTTTTTTTTTTCCTTGAAAAGTAATAGATTATATATTATAATTAGTGACTCATTTAGGGAACATATGAAAACAAAGATAAAATTACCCTTGAATATTAGTCAAAATGGTCATCAACCAAGACTTTCCTTAATTCTTGTTCTCCTAAATATAATTCTTATACCTGAATTTGCTTTTCTAAAAGCACTTTGGGAGGCTGAGGCAGGCAGATCACGAAGTCAAGAGATCGAGTCCATCCTGACCAACATGGTGAAACCCCGTCTCTACTCAAAATACAAAAATTAGCTCGGCATGGTGGCACACGCCTGTAGTCCCAGCTACTCGGGAGGCTGAGGCAGGAGAATCGCTTGAACCTGGGAGGCGGAGGTTGTAGTGAGCTGAGATCGCATCACTGCACTCCAGCCTGGCGACAGAGCGAGACTCCGTAAATAAATAAATAAATAAGATAAAACGTAACTTCCTAAATGTCTGATAATTGTTATTTCTGTGTGAAATTTCAGAAAATCCCCTCTCTCCCATAAGGTGATAAGAAGAAATATTACAGAACTATCAGTTTGGATGCTATCATATTTAATAACTTTAAAATAATTTGACAGTTATAAACAGTCACTATTTTTCCTTTAGAATCTGAACCAAAGTATATTGGTTCTGTCATAGCAATAATAATATCAGTACCTTTCAGAGGTATGTAATAGATTAATACTTTTTTAAAACACAGACTTTGAACCATTATATACAAATTTAACATTAGAACTAAGATTTTACACTGATAAGTAAATCTATTAAAAGTAAAATCTGTTTAGCTATTATTGAGAAGAGGAACTCATGTTTTTGTAATGTTGCTATTCTAAATTTTTAGCAATGAGGCATTTTTTTTTCACATTAAAGGGGTATGTACAATTCATTCAGGCCATGTTTGTTTACTGTTTTATATAAAGAATATGTTTAGGAAGAAAGAACATTTTTAATAGAAGGATTCTACCAGAATAGGTTTCCAAAAGATAATATCTAAAACTTAGTAGATATTTTTTAGACTTTTAAAGCCCATCTATTTCATTTGTAGATGTAGATAAGGAAACTGAGATTAAGAGAAATTACACACAGTCATCCCTTGCTTTACGAAGGGAACTGATTCCAGAACCCCTGCATATACCACAGTCCATGCATATGGAAGTCTTACAGTTGGTCCTGTGGAACCATGGATATGTAAAGTAGGCCGTCTGTATATGCAAAACCTGCATATACAAAACCGGCATATACAGATGGCCTACTTTTCAATCTGGCTTTGGTTGAAAAAAATTCTCATAACTGGACCCACACAGTTCATCCCTCTGTTTTTTTCTCTCCATTCATATTCTGAAGTGGCCTCTCTTCTGGCCTTTTCCTCAGCAGCTGCGTGTATGTGGGTTTCTGTGTGTGTGTGGGTGTATATGTGTATGTTTATTAGGCAGGGAAAGGTATAAGTGCCCAATAAGTAATTTAGGCTTGCACCTAAAAGTTAGTTGAAAACACTGTTCCTCCCATAATCAATTTTAAGAACTAAGGGGAAGAATATAAATTTGAAAATCTTGGTGCATTATATCTGAATTGTGACATTAACGGTACTTCATTCACTTCTAATGTTCTTTATTTTGACTTCACAGAGGAGAGTGAAAAAATTCCCTCAGAAATTCTTGTACAGACTGCTGATAAAATGATGCCATCAAAGAAAGGCCAATTGAAGATTGCTTGTATTATCCTCTTTTTTCATTGGTCCTAAAACCTTTTATCACATTTTAACATCTCTGAATTTGGGATGCATCTTAAGAATTAATAGCATATTATAGATTATTTAGCAACGTTTTTTCTCTTAATTATACTTTTAGTTGCATAACTCTTAAGGGGACATAATTCTTACTAGCAACCCCTGGAGTTGTGCTGTGTATACACTGAGTGCCCTTATGGGGCAGCCCTCATAGCGATAAGGTGGACATTCATTGTTTTTCCTACCTTTTAACCTCATATTTGACCTCACAAATTGTATAAATATCACCTGCCTACTATTCGGCAAGTAGTGACTCCTCCATAAATGTTGATTTACTTATTTATGCATCATTATAGTCAGTTTTGTTCCTTTATTTCCCAAAGCAGACTGAGAACAGGTTTGAATTCTTTCAGTACTGGATGTCATATTATTAAGAAGAGGTAGATCTTTAGATGATAAATATAGATGATAAAGCTAGGAAGTAAATGGCCAGATTAAATAAAGATGTTAGCCCCAAGTGTCCTAATTGTTTCCGTATGCTTTTTGCTTTTAAAACTTCTTTTAGTACTTTCAAGATACCTGAAATAACTAGTAGTGTGATAAAAGTACAATGCCAGTTATAGGTTACATTGTCTTAGTATACCTTCATCGATTATGTACCATGTCACAAGTGCTAGATATTAAAGATAAAAGGAGAAGAATAAAGCATGTAATTTCTACTCACATGAAATTATCCAGGATCGGCTGGGCGCGGTGGCTCATGCTGTAATCCCAGCACTTTGGGAGGCCGAGGCGGGCGGATCACAAGGTCAGGAGATCGAGACCGTTCTGGCTAACAAGGTGAAACCCCATCTCTATTAAAAATACAAAAAATTAGCCAGGCATGGTGGCAGGCACCTGTAGGCTCAGCTACTCAGGAGGCTGAGGCAGGAGAATGGCGAGAACCCGGGACGCAGAGCTTGCAGTGAGCCGAGATCGCGCCACTGCACTCCAGCCTGGGCGACAGAGAGACTCCGTCTCAAAAAAAAAGAAATTAGCCAGGATGATACATCAAGATATCAAATGTGTCTTGAAACTGAAGATGTGTATCCTGTTTAGTAGCACATGTTGGAACAGATCTCTTCACATTTCATTTCAATAGCTGAGTACTATTTATAAAATATTGTGCTGGCCCTCTGTAAGAAATAGAGATAGAAAAGCCAGAATCCCTCTTTACCAGGAGCTCACAGTATATAACAGGGAGGCTACGATATTCATAAGCAACTCTAATATTAGGCAGATTACAGTATGTACTTTGACATCATTCATATGTTATAGGATTTTAGGAAAATTTTATTTTTCAATGGGAAATTGAAAGTCCTTCACAACTAGTGATATATCATTAGTAATAAAAGTTCAATACTTAGAGATTGTTATAAACCACATTGAATTTTAAAATTTGAGACTATATACATTTTCTGTACTAAATACAACTTATCATTGCAATGAGAACCTCAATTTTTGTGCAAATTGTTTCTATAAGAATTTTTTTACATAAGGTTATGTAGCATGATTGTTTTGTTGAATAATATAAACCATTTCAAAATTTGGCACTTAAAAGGAATTAGTTTGTTGGATGTTTTTAACACATTCTGAAAACTGAAATACTTCAATTTCCAGTAATGTGGTGGTATTTATCAATGATACTTAAAATTGTTTTGCCTTTACTTTTAGTTCAAATGAAGCTAATCAAACATATAAGGAGCATTTAAAACCTGTCACAACCATTTAATATCCCTTAACTAATTATTTTCTTCTTTTGCTTTCACCTCCTCCACCAAATGATATATTCATTGTGGTATATTCATTTTACAACACTCATTGTTTAGGAGAAATAATGTAATAATTAATAATTGCACTTAACCTTTTAATAAGGTTTTACAGTTCATTAAACATTTTCACCTACATTTTATCTTTTAGGAAATATAATATGAAGTTAATGATTAGCAGTTTTCATTAAAAACCATTATTTCTGTTTAGATTTTTTACATTTTCTTAATTGCTTGTGATACTATTGACATTTGTTAGGTAGATCCTCTTACAGTGTCTGGCACATAGTGGGTACACCAAATATTAGTTAAATGACAGGGTGATCGATACATTTTTTGTTTTGACAAATATGGCAAGCTGATATTCTTATGGGCAAACCAATACAGTGGAATCTAGTGACTAGAGAAAATAAATACTTTTTTAAGACTCTAAAAAACTAAAACAAAAAATTTTAAAATTTTAAAGAAAATATTTAAAAATATATTTATGAAGATATGTGTCATATTTCTTTCAATGGATAATTTTAAGTGATATTAAATTATGTCAATAGTTTGAATAGCAATAGCAACCATTGAGCTAAAATTATGCAACAAATAGTTGCTTGTTAACCTAAGATATTTCAACATTTTTGAAAGATTAGTAATAAAACATGCCATATTTAAAAAGCCTTAATGTGAATCTTCTCTCCACTGTAGTTCAGGGGACACTCAGGATGCTAGAGTAATGCTATAAAAAAAGCCACTCAGACAGGTGCAGTGGCTCACACATGTAATCCCACCTACTCAGAAGACTGAGGCCGGAGGATCACTTGAAGCCAGGAGCTCAAGAACAGCCTGGGCAAAATAGCAATACCCTCCTCTCTAAATATATATAAATATATATATATAGATAATTAGTTGGGCATGGTAATGTGCCGGTAGCCCCAGCTACTCGGGAGGCTGAGGTGGAAAGATGGCCCAGGAATTTGAGGCTACAGTAAACTATCTCACTGCACTCCAGCCTGAGCGACAGAATGAGACTCCATCTTTTAAAAAAAAAGGCACTGAAATGACCCCATCAAATCCAACCAGCTATGCCAGGCTCTATTTCCATCCTATTTCTGAGGAGTTTTTGTCCTTGCTGGGTTTCCTTTGGCTTCATACCCAGATTCTGCTTGCCCTATATAACATGGATGGTCTGTCTGTCCTTTGTTCAGTACCTGCTCAAGATGCCACTTGCCCAGAGCTAGAGCCCACGAGGCAAGGGGCATCTCTTCTCTCACTGGTCAAAGGTAGGTGGTTGGAAGTGGATATTCTGGATTCATCTCTCCAGGCCCTTACTTCTAGGAAAACAAACAAACAAAAACAAGCAGTTTCTCTAAATTAATATGTTAATATAATTCTAAAAATTAGCACAGAAAAATTACCCATTTAATTTATAATGGTTTTTTAAGACATTTGGAAGGAAATATTTCTTTCATAATACTCAAACACTTAAAGGTTGAACATTATAAAGAAGCATCAGTATTATCAGAGATTTTTCAAGATTCTGTTAAATTCTAAACATCATCTAGAAAGTTCTTGTCTTATATCTAATACCTAACCTTAATGTCCCCTCCTTTGTTAAAACTTTTCTTGACTCTCTCTCTTCCCGTGCCTGTACAAAGACATGCATGTGCATGGGAACACACACACACATACACAAACACACACACACACTAGTAATCACAGCCTCCCTTTTGCCAGCATGTATATAACATAATTTTTAGCATTTTCCCACATTAAAGAAATAATTGAAAGCTTATATATTTATTCCCCAAAGTAGATATCTAATTATTTAAAAGAAAGGCTTATATTTAATGCATCTATGTTTTCAGGGCTTGAATAAAAGTCTGTTTAGCAAGGTTTTCTTTGATGGAATTATTTGATTCATACTGGAATCTCTGGTTCATTTTTCTGTTTACAGAAGTAAGTTCAGATTGTAGTATATTGCACAGATTGTCCAGGTAAACCTGGTTAAGACTTTCAGGGGAACTTATTTTTGCTGCTATTGTGATGTGGAAATGCTGTTACTACTTCAGTAACACTGATATAATGTATGTACTTATTAACAAGAAATGTGTAGATAGTAGCTCCAGTACTTGAAGCATCATTAAATTTGAATGAATTTTCTATTTGTAAATATACTCTGTCATAAATACCATTGAATATATTTCACTATGTAATAAATTTTAAAATCAAGGAAGTAATAAATCATAACATTTAATTTTAAGATTAAGAATATTGGCAAAGATTTGTTTATTTTTACCTGTCTTTATTCAAATGTTCTAATATACATTAGTTCCAAGTTCTCTATTACTTCTAAATAGAATATACATGATCAAAAGAGTATGCCTCTTTCTAAATGAGAAAAACTTTATATTATAAATCCAGTGATACGGATACTATCCATCATTTTGTTTTGTATGGCCTAATGTATATCAGTAAACTAAATAGACTTAAATGTGGCTGGATTTTGACTGGGAATATGGGAAGAACAAAGCAGGTGAGATCATGTATGTGACTAAATATAGCGTTGATGCTTAACGATGGCCTCTGAGCATGTTAGTGTAACTTATATTTTGCAGCCAAAAACTGTATGTATCAAGCTCCAACCATCTATAATAAAGTTTATGGTTCAGTTCTAAGATTGCTAACCAAGTGATTTTTTTTTCAGAGACGTTAAAGAAAAAGTACCTTCAACCAATAAATTCTTAAACATTTCATCAAATAGTTATTGAACAGCACTGTGCTAGGCACGTGGGATGTGAAAATCAAAGAACACATGACCCTACCCATAGCAACTCAGTGATAACAATGATAAAGGACTATGCTAGATTCCACATCGTACCTGGAGTGGGGGCAGAAGTGGTACATAATCCAGTTAGGGGGTGAAGTGGAAAATCCAGGGCAAGTTTCGTGGAGGAAGTGATGCCTGAAATGTATCTCAAATAAGTTAGCAGAGCTAAAAAAAAAAAAAAAAAAAAGAAAAAAAGAGTAGAAGTTAAAGGGAATAAATGGAACCGGGTGTAGAAGGGTATTCAGAACAGAAGAAATTATATAAGCAAAGACAAAGAAGCAAGAAATAGTATGCATGTTTGGGTTCAGGAGAAGATGGTTTGACTAGAAAGTTTAACATTAGAAATAAAATTATTCCTTTACAAAAAAAGAAATACTTAAAAGAATATGTTGGTTTTCAAAACAGATATAGTGATTTTTGCTTAGTTGCTTATACATCTTGAAACCAAAACTGGAGTTCAGCTATTTATTGTGTTCATTTTAGCATAAGCATTACAAAGTCCTTCTCTAGTTAATCAGGTTCACACTTTGCAACTAAGAAAACAGAAGTGGGCCAGGCACGGTGGCTCACGCCTGTAATCCTAGCACTTTGGGAGGCCGAGGCAGGCGGATCATGAGGTCGGAAGATCGAGACCATCCTGGCTAACACCTCATCTCTACTAAAAATACAAAAAATTAGCCGGGCATGGTGGCAGGCGCCTATAGTCCCAGCTACTCAGGAGGCCGAGGCAGGAGAATTGCTTGAACCTGGGAGGCAGAGGTTGCAGTGAGCCGAGATCGTGCCACTGCGCTCCAGCCTGGGTGGCAGAGAGAGACTCTGTCTCAAACAAAAAAAGAAAAAAAAAAAGAAAGAAACAATCTTACCACTACCATAGAAAATTGACATGTGTTCACATCCTTCTCCCTGTCTTTCAGAGGTATGAATTTTGTCTTAATGTTCTTTTCCTTTTCATTATAGTTTACTAAATATGCATATTTTTCTAAATAACATGTTTATTATATTGTTTGGTTTTGCTTGCCTTTACTTTTATCATTTTTTTTTTACTTCTGGAATTTGCTTTTTTGTGTACGACATCCATTTATATGTTTAGCAGTAATTCATTTTTACCTCTATATGGCATTTATCCACTTTACTGTGGATGAACATTGTTGGTTTGCTTTCTAATGTTTTTGCTATTATAGTATAAGATTCTTTATTTTTTTTGAGATGAAGTCTCCCTCTGCTGCCCAGGCTGGAGTGCAGTGGCACGATCTTGGCTCACTGCAAGCTCCGCCTCCTGGGTTCATGTGATTCTCCTGCCTCAGCCTCCTGAGTAGCTGGGATTACAGGTGTGTGCCACAACACCCGGCTAATTTTTGTATTTTTAGTAGAGACGGGGTTTCACCATCTTGGTCAGGCTGGGCTCAAACTCCTGACCTCGTGATCCATCCACCTCAGCCTCCCCAAGTGCTGGGATTATAGGTGTGAGCCACTGCGCCTGGCCTATAAGATTCTAATGAACATTCTTAGGCATGCCTCCTGGGCTTCAGATGCCTCCTGGTGCTCTAGAATCTATACTTATTAGTAGAATTGTTGGGTCAGCTTTACTGGGTAATATCAAATTGTTTCCCAAAGTAGTTGTATGATTTATTCTGATCACCCATACATGGCTATTCCTGTTGTTTCACACCCTTCTCAAATCTTTGTGTTATCGTTACTGTTTAATATTTGCTAGCCTGGATACTATAATATGGTATCATATTGTGGTTTTAGTTAGCATTTTCCTTATTACTAGTTAGGTTGTATATGTTTTCGTTTTTCATTGGCCATCTATGATTCCTCATCTGTGAATTGCCTATTTATGTGTATGCTCATTTTGTTATTTTGAAAAAATCTTTTTTTACTGACTTGTAGGTGTTATTTACATATTGCAAGTCACTCTTCCACTCTTTGGCTTGTCTTTTTAAAAATATTTTAAAACATTCTTAATTTTAGTATAGGAAAATATATCTTTTTTTATATGGTTTATCCTTTAACATATTATTTAAAAAGTCCTTACCTAGCCTAGGTGATACAAATATATTCTCCTTTTTTTTTCATGTGCCTTAGAGTTTTTCCTTTCACATTTAGGTTTATATTCTGTCTAGAGTTAACTTTTACGTTTGGAGTTAGGTATGAATCCAATTTCCTTTTTTCCCGTATTGATAATTATCCTGACCCTATTTATTTGAGAGATCATCCTTCTTCAATAATATGTGTTTTAACCACTAGAAATTTGTTTTTATGCTTATTTTGTGGATAGGCATCATTAATTTTTTTCAAAATGGTTAATCAGTTTTCCTAATAGCATTTTTAAAATAATACATTCTTTTTTCACTGATTTGAAGTGCCACCTTTAACACAGATTGAATTCTTACATTCTTGCCTTTATTCCTGGGTTTTGTTCTATTCCTTTCAAATGTCTATCTACATGTGCCAGTGCTATTCTTATATAATTATTGAGATTTTATAGAACCTGCAGTATTTGGAAGTGTCTCATTTTAATCTTCTATCCTCTTCCTTCCTCACTCACTAATTTGAAGTTAGAATTTTAGCTCTATTATACTGCCACTACCAACAAGTCTTTTCCCTCTCTCCTCTTTTTCCTCTTCTTTCCCCTAATTTCTGTCTATATTAACAAAATGTTACATTATAAAGATGATCATTTTTACATTATAGTGTTTCTTTTTCTAGAAGAATTCTTTTACATTTGCAAGCAGGTAAATAACCATAACAATTATTTGTCATTTTAATATTTCACCTCTCACTGCCAATCTTTTTATGCTGTCACTTCAGGCATATATGCTTAATTTTACTTCCTAGGCCATTGAAATAGATGATGGGCTCTAGAAGTAGTTAAGAGTGTCAGTTTAGAAGTACAGTGTTAAGATGGCGAATGGCAGGATATGCCAATTGATTAGATAAAGGCTAAAGGAGATGGAGGAATATAAGTGGTCTCCCAGGACCTCTCTACTCCATTGGATTGTAATGACAATTAAGAAGTGAGGTGAGCAGGCCTGAGATGGCTATCCTTAGAAAAGCCTGCCTGCAAAGCTGGCCTTTGATTATCATCTGGGAATTTGGATTTCAGGAAGGTTTCTGGAACCCTAACTGACAAAGAATGGCTCATTGGGCCCAAAATGATTGTGCAAACAATGTGGTCTTTGCTGAACACTTGCTTTCCTTCTGGAAGTCTGGATTCTTGGTAAGGTGCTAGGTAGGAAGTGGCTATGTGACAAGCCTCCAGTAAGAACCCTGGGTTCTGAATCTCTAATGAGCTTCCCTGGTACACAACTTTTCACATGTGTTGTCATAATTTGTTGCTGGAGCAATTACGCACATCTTGTGTGACTCTACCAGGAGACGATTCTTGGAAGTTTGTACCTTGTTTCCTCTGGATTTTGCCTTATGTGCCTTTTCTCTTTGCTGATTTAGCTTTGGATGTTTTGCAGTAATAAATCATAGCCATTAGTATGACTAAAGAAAATAAGAAGTGAGGTATGTGAAGTCACTTTAAAGATTTATAAAATACATGTAATGTGGGGGCAGCCAAGATGGCCGAATAGGAACAGCTCCAGTCTACAGCTCCCAGCATGAGCGACGCAGAAGACAGGTGATTTCTGCATTTCCATCTGAGGTACCGGGTTCATCTCACTAGGGAGTGCCAGACCGTGGGCGCAGGACAGTGGGTGCAGCGCACCATGCGTGAACTGAAGCAGGACGAGGCATTGCCTCACTCGGGAAGCGCAAGGGGTCAGGGAGTTCCCTTTCCTAGTCAAAGAAAGGGGTGAGAGATGGCACCTGGAAAATCGGGTCACTCCCACCCTAATACTGCACTTTTCCGACGGGCTTAAAATACGGCGCACCAGGAGATTATATCCCGCACATGGCTCGGAGGGTCCTACGCCCATGGAGTCTCGCTGATTTCTAGCCCAGCAGTCTGAGATCAAACTGGAAAGTGACAGCGAGGCTCGGGGAGGGGCGCCCACCATTGCCCAGGCTTGCTTAGGTAAACAAAACAGTCGGGAAGCTCGAACTGGGTGGAGCCCACCACAGCACAAGGAGGCCTGCCTGCCTCTGTAGGCTCCATCTCTGGGGGCAGGGCACAGACAAACAAAAAGACAGCAGTAACCTCTGCAGACTTAAATGTCCCCGTCTGACAGCTTTGAAGAGAGCAGTGGTTCTCCCAGCACGCAACTTGAGATCTGAGAATGGGCAGACTGCCTCCTCAAGTGGGTCCCTGACTCCTGACCCCCGAGCAGCCTAACTGGGAGGCACCACCCAGTAGGGGCAGACTGACACCTCACACAGCCGGGTACTCCTCTGAGACAAATCTTCCAGAGGAACGATCAGACAGCAGCATTCGCGGTTCGTGAAAATCCGCTGTTCTGCAGCCAGCGCTGCTGATACCCAGGCAAATAGGGTCTGGAGTGGACCTCTAGCAAACTCCAACAGACCTGCAGCTGAGGGTCCTGTCTGTTAGAAGGAAAACTAACAAACAGAAAGGACATGCACACCAAGAACCCATCTGTACATCACCATCATCAAAGACCAAAAGTAGATAAAACCACAAAGATGGGGAAAAAACAGAGCAGAAAAACTGGAAACTCTAAAAAGCAGAGCACCTCTCCTCCTTCAAAGGAACGCAGTTCCTCACCAGTAACGGAACAAAGCTGGACAGAGAATGACTTTGATGAGTTGAGAGAAGAAGGCTTCAGATGATCAAACTACTACGAGCTACAGGAGGAAATTCAAACCAAAGACAAAGAAGTTAAAAACTTTGAAAAAAATTTAGCTGAATGTATAACTAGAATAACCAATACAGAGAAGTGCTTAAAGGAGCTGATGGAGCTGAAAGCCAAGGCTCGAGAACTACATGAAGAATGCAGAAACCTCAGGAGCTGATGCGATCAACTGGAAGAAAGGCTATCAGTGATGGAAGATGAAATGAATGAAATGAAGCGAGAAGGGAAGTTTAGAGAAAAAAGAATAAAAAGAAACGAACAAAGCCTCCAAGAAATATGGGACTATGTGAAAAGACCAAATCTACGTCTGATTGGTGTACCTGAAACTGACGGGGAGAATGGAACCCAGTTGGAAAACACTCTGCAGGATATTATCCAGGAGAACTTCCCCAATCTAGCAAGGCAGGCCAACATTCAGATTCAGGAAATACAGAGAACACCCCAAAGATACTCCTCGAGAAGAGCAACTCCAAGACACATAATTATCAGATTCACCAAAGTTGAAGGAAATAATGTTAAGGGCAGCCAGAGAGAAAGGTCGGGTTACCCACAAAGGGAAGCCCATCAGACTAACAGCGGATCTCTTGGCAGAAACCCTACAAGCCAGAAGAGAGTGGCTTGTACTCTGTATTGGTTATTCTAGTTATACATTCAGCTAAATTTTTTTCAAAGTTTTTAACTTCTTTGTCTTTGGTTTGAATTTCCTCCTGTAGCTCGTAGTAGTTTGATCATCTGAAGCCTTCTTCTCTCAACTCATCAAAGTCATTCTCTGTCCAGCTTTGTTCCGTTACTGGTGAGGAACTGCGTTCCTTTGAAGGAGGAGAGGTGCTCTGCTTTTTAGAGTTTCCAGTTTTTCTGCTCTGTTTTTTCCCCATCTTTGTGGTTTTATCTACTTTTGGTCTTTGATGATGGTGATGTACAGATGGGTTCTTGGTGTGCATGTCCTTTCCAATATTCAACATTCTTAAAGAAAAGAATTTTCAACCCAGAATTTAATATCCAGCCAAACTAAGCTTCATAAGTGAAGGAGAAATAAAATACTTTACAGAGAAGCAAATGCTGAGAGATTTTGTCACCACCAGGCCTGCCCTAAAAGAGCTCCTGAAGGAAGCACTAAACATGGAAAGGAACAACCAGTACCAGCCACTGCAAAATCATGCCAAATTGTAAAGACCATCAAGGCTAGGAAGAAACTGCATCAACTAACGAGCAAAATAACCAGCTAACATCATAATGACAGGATCAAATTCACACATAACAATATTAACTTTAAATGCAAATGGGCTAAATGCTCCAATTAAAAGACACAGACTGGCAAATTGGATAAAGAGTCAAGACCCATCAGTGTGCTGTATTCAGGAAACCCATCTCACATGCAGAGACACACATAGGCTCAAAATAAAAGGATGGAGGAAGATCTACCAAGCCAATGGAAAACAAAAAAAGGCAGGGGTTGCAATCCTAGTCTCTGATAAAACAGACTTTAAACCAACTAAGATCAAAAGAGCCAGAGAAGGCCATTACATAATGGTACAGGGATCAATTCAACAAGAAGAGCTAACTATCCTAAATATATATGCACCCAATACAGGAGCACCCAGATTCATAAAGCAAGTCCTTAGAGACCTACAAAGAGACTTAGACTCCCACACAATAATAATGGGAGACTTTAACACCCCACTATCAACATTAGACATATCAACAAGACAGAAAGTTAACAAGGATACCCAGGAATTGAACTCAGCTCTGCATCATGCAGACCTAATAGACATCTACAGAACTCTCCACCCCAAATCAACAGAATATACATTTTTTTCAGCACTGCAGCATGCCTATTCCAAAATTGACCACATAGTTGGAAGTAAAGCTCTCCTCAGCAAATGTAAAAGAACAGAAATTATAAGAAACTGTCTCTCAGACCACAGTGCAATCAAACTAGAACTCAGGATTAAGAAACTCACTCAAAACTGCTCAACTACATGGAAACTGAACAACCTGCTCCTGAATGACTACTGGGTACATAAAACGAAATGAAGGCAGAAATAAAGATGTTCTTTGAAACCAAAGAGAACAAAGACACAACATTCCAGAATCTCTGGGACACATTCAAAGCAGTGTGTAGAGGGAAATTTATAGCAATAAATGCCCAGAAGAGAAAGCAGGAAAGATCCAAAATTGACACCCTAACATCACAATTAAAATAACTAGAAAAGCAAGAGCAAACACATTCAAAAGCTAGCAGAAGGCAAGAAATAACTAAAATCAGAGCAGAACTGAAGGAAATAGAGACACAAAAAACCCTTCAAAAAATTCATGAATCTAGGAGCTGGTTTTTTGAAGGATCAACAAAATTGATAGACTGCTAGCAAGACTAATAAAGAAGAAAAGAGAGAAGACTCAAATAGGTGCAATAAAAATGATAAAGGGGATGCCACCACCAATCCCACAGAAATACAAACTACCATCAGAGAATACTACAAACACCTCTACGCAAATAAACTAGAAAATCTAGAAGAAATGGATAAATTTCTCGACACATACACCCTCCCAAGACTAAATCAGGAAGAAGTTGAATCTCTGAATAGACCAATAACAGGCTCTGAAATTGTGGCAATAATCAATAGCTTACCAACCAAAAAGAGTCCAGGACCAGATGGATTCAGAGCCAAATTCTACCAGAGGTACAAGGAGGAACTGGTACCATTCCTTCTGAAACTACTCCAATCAATAGAAAAAGAGGGAATCCTCCCTAACTCATTTTATGAGGCCAGCATCATCCTGATACCAAAGCCAGGGAGAGACACAACCAAAAAGAGAATTTTAGACCAATATCCTTGATGAACATTGATGCAAAAATCCTCAATAAAATACTGGCAAACTGAATCCAGCAGCACATCAAAAAGCTTATCCACCATGATCAAGTGGGCTTCATCCCTGGGATGCAAGGCTGGTTCAATATACGCAAATCAATTTATGTAATCCATCATATAAACAGAGCCAAAGACAAAAACCACATGATTATCTCAATAGATGCAGAAAAGGCCTTTGACAACATTCAACAACCCTTCATGCTAAAAACTCTCAATAAATTTGGTATTGATGGGATGTATCTCAAAATAATAAGAGCTATCTATGACAAACCCACAGCCAATATCATACTGAATGGGCAAAAACTGGAAGCATTCCCTTGGAAAACTGGCACAAGACAGGGATGCCCTCTCTCACCACTCCTATTCAACATAGTGTTGGAAGTTCTGGCCAGGGCAATTAGGCAGGAGAAGGAAATAAAGGGTATTCAATTAGGAAAAGAGGAAGTCAAATTGTCCGTGTTTGCAGATGACATGATTGTATATCTAGAAAACTCCATTGTCTCAGCCCAAAATCTCCTTAAGCTGATAAGCAACTTCAGCAAAGTCTCAGGATACAAAATCAATGTACAAAAATCACAAACATTCTTATACACCAATAACAGACAAACAGAGAGCCAAATCATTAGTGAACTCCCATTCACAATTGCTTCAAAGAGAATAAAATACCTAGGAATCCAACTTACAAGGGACGTGAAGGACCTCTTCAAGGAGAACTACAAACCACTGCTCAATGAAATAAAAGAGGATACAAACAAATGGAAGAACATTCCATGCTCATGGGTAGGAAGAATCAATATCATGAAAATGGCCATACTGCCCAAGGTAATTTATAGATCCAATGCCATCCCCATCAAGCTACCAATGACTTTCTTCACAGAATTGGAAAAAAACTACTTTAAAGTTCATATGGAACCAAAAAAAGAGCCCACATCGCCAAGTCAGTCCTAAGCCAAAAGAACAAAGAGGGAGGCATCACGCTACCTGACTTCAAACTATACTACAAGGCTACAGTAACCAAAACAGCATGGTACTGGTACCAAAACAGAGAACTAGATCAATGGAACAGAACAGAGCCCTCAGAAATAACGCCGCATATCTACAACTATCTGATCTTTGACAAACCTGAGAAAAACAAGCAATAGGGAAAGGATTCCCTATTTAATAAATGGTGCTGGGAAAACTGGCTAGCCATATGTAGAAAGCTGAAACTGGATCCCTTCCTTACACCTAATACAAAAATTAATTCAAGATGGATTAAAGACTTAAACGTTAGACCTAAAACCATAAAAACCCTAGAAGAAAACCTAGGCATTACCATTCAGGACATAGGCATGGGCAAGGACTTCATGTCTAAAACACCAAAAGCAATGGCAACAAAAGCCAAAATTAACAAATGGGATCTAGTGAAACTAAAGAGCTTCTGCATAGCAAAGGAAACTACCATCAGAGTGAACAGGCAACCTACAAAATGGGAGAAAATTTTTGCAATCTACTCATCTGACAAAGGGCTAATATCCAGAATCTATAATGAACTCCAACAAATTTACAAGAAAAAAACAAACAACCCCATCAAAAAGTGGGCAAAGGATATGAACAGACACTTCTCAAAAGAAGACATTCATGCAGCCAAAGAACACATGAAAAAATGCTCACCATCACTGGCCATCAGAGAAATGCAAATCAAAACCACAGTGAGATACCATCTCACACCAGTTAGAATGGCAATCATTAAAAAGTCAGGAAACAACAGGTGCTGGAGAGGATGTGGAGAAATAGGAACACTTTTACACTGTTGTTGGGACTGTAAACTGGTTCAACCCTTGTGGAAGTCAGTGTGGCGATTCCTCAGGGATCTAGAACTAGAAATACCATTTGACCCAGCCATCCTATTACTGGGTATATACACAAAGGACTATAAATCATGCTGCTATAAAGACACATGCACTTGTATGTTTATTGCGGCACTATTCACAATAGCAAAGACTTGGAACCAACCCAAATGTCCAACAATGATAGACTGGATTAAGAAAATGTGGCATATATACACCATGGAATACTATGCAGCCATAAAAAATGATGAGTTCATGTCCTTTGTAGGGACATGGATGAAATTGGAAATCATCATTCTCAGTAAACTATCGCAAGAACAAAAAACCAAACACCACATATTCTCACTCATAGGTGGGAATTGAACAGTGAGAACACATGGACACAGGAAGGGGAACATCACACTCTGGGCACTGTTGTGGGGTGGCGGAAGCGGGGAGGGATAGCTTTAGGAGATATACCTAATGCTAAATGACGAGTTAATGGGTGCAGCACACCAGCATGGCACATGTATACATGTGTAACTAACCTGCACATTGTGCACATGTACCCTAAAACTTAAAGTATAATAATAATAAAATAAAGTAAAAATACATGCAATGTTACGTATGCTGCTGTTCATATCTCTATGAGAACTGAAATTTCAACCAACAAAATTACTACAATGACCAGCAAGATATAATGGATAAGTCATATCATACCTCTTGGGCCAGGTTTTTTCCTCTGTAAAATACATAGGAATGCAAATAGGCAGGAGGCCATGATTTCTAAACTTCTGTCATTCCCTGAAATAATGAAATAATTTTTATTTAAATATTCATTCTTCTATTCTTAAAATGAGCTACTTTGCTAAGCATTTTCACTCGTTTTAATAAAGGAAAAGGAATACCAGGTTTCATTTTATCTGTCAGTCTGTCTATAACAGTCCCTGAAATATAAAAATACTTAACTGGGTCCATCTGACAAAATGAATGAATTCCACTTTGCCCTTAGTGTTAATCTTAGAGAACACACTCTCAGAGGGGAAAAAAATAAAAAGAAGAAGAACCAATCAATGACTAAGAATCCCTAATATTTAATGTAAACATACTTAATAGAAAATATACTGATTTAATTTTAAAAATTTGCTTGTAAATATTGGAGATTAAATTTATTTAAGTAGGATATTTCATACCACAGTACAGTTGCCTTCACAAAACATATCTAGAGGGAATATTTTGCTGAGTTAGTTACAGTATGAAAAAATGTTCATATTGACTCCAAATGTTAAATATATATGGTATTAATCTTGCCCATTCTGCTACTTGCAAATAACAGCCATTAGATATGATTTCAAAAAGAGTCTAAATTTTAATTTCTAGAACATGTTCATCACAAGTTTGATGGCGAGTTCCAGAAATACACCATTACATCCCTGTAATGTAGTTAAGAATAAAAAAACTTCACTGCTCACAGGCAACCATAGAGCAGAGGACTTAGTGACATTCTCTAATCAGCAGGAGCAAGCTTCTCTGGCCCTCCAGTGTGCACGGGCCCCCTGCTGTTCACAGCATCCTGATCATAATAAGGATCCCATCAGATATTTGAGAGGGTCAGTTATCTTCCACCCTGTACATACCTGCACACCTACCTACGTCTTTCTCAATAAGCTTATGACTTCTCACAGCTAAGGTTCTGGAAGCTCTGGTTGTATCTGCTCCTTAGATCCAAATTATTGATAAATAACTCTGGTCTCTTCCTCAGTGTATACTGTGAATTGGAATAATTGAATATCAGTTTTCCAGGAATAGTCATGTTTTAGGCCTAAGATCTATTTTTACAACTAGAAAGACTTTCTTGGACATATACGTGCACACACATACATGCACACATTTGTATGTATGTGGTTACTTATATAAAAATTACTGTAGGGTTAATTTAAGATCATGGGATCTGAAGTTAAACTCCATTAGCTATATTATGTTGGGCAAATGAATTAAAGTCCTCAAGTATCAGTTGGCTTATCTATAAAAAGTAGATAATAATTGTAACGACTGCTCAGGGTACCATGAGGATTAAATTAATTAGAACATACTAAGCATTTTGCACAATATCAAATACAGAGTAAGCACTTGAAAAATATTGGCTGCTGTTATCACTTTTCATGGGTTTAGGATTTCTTGAAAATCTCATGTTTTTTCATTTTCCTTATCCTTTTGAGCTGGCCTAATTTTCACCCAGTATTTTTTTCATCCTCTGTGACATTCTCTTAAATTTTAAAATAGCTAAATAATGTAGCAGATTCATAGCAATAGGAAGAAAAATCAACTATAAAAATATTTTACCTTTGGGACAAAAATTTGCATATGTCAGTCACTTTTGAAAATACTATCTGATCTATTACTGGATTCACCAAAGTATTATATTCCTCAATTAGAAGGGGATTTTTTTCAGTCTTATTCATACTCAGATTTATAAAGAAAATTATTTGATAAGGAATAATTATTGGTAACTGATTGTACAGAGTTATGGAGGTTTAAACAGAATATTCATCAAGTAGAAGATATGTATCCTGCGTGTGTGTGTGTGTATTCTTCCTGAAATTCACATTTTAAAATTATTTAATATTTCCTCATAGCATACTATTTCTAGGTGCTTAACTTTAGTACAATGCAATAATAATCTCATCTTTTGAACTCAGTAGAAAATTTTTCTTTTTACATTCTGTATTTTTATGTTAGGAATAATTTTGTTTTAAAATTAATTTTCAAGTTACACAGTCCTTTGTTTCATAAACTGCTTTTCAGAAGTATCTGTGGAAATTTTTTTTCAATTATTTGTTGGTATCCTATCCTAAGACCCCCAAGGTTTGGCCTGTGATTTTTGAGCTACGACGTGCTCCCAATCTTCCAGTTAGGTCAACCACAAAAATTAAGATATGATAGAAGGTCAGTGGAAGAAATTCATATCAAAACAACTCCTCACCATGTCATTATGACAGCCTGCTGTAACAAATGTGCTTCTGTTTTAACTTATGACAATTAATTGCTAAAAGTAATTTAATCTGACAGAGGCAGGGTGTTGAAAGGCTCCTGGAGATGTCATAAAAGCGACCTTTCTGCCCATGTGCTGCCAAAAGCCATTTTTAACAAGGAGCTAAGGAAACTGTGCAACTTCTTTTGTACTTTGTTAATTAGTTATTGATTTGAAACAATGCACTTCCAAATACTGTTAGGTATGTTAGACGCCAGCAAGGTCACTATGTGACAGTCTACTCCCAACAATCTTTATAGCATATGAGAATTCTTTGAAGCCCTTTGTTCTGTTATCCTAAAATTGAGATTGCCTAGTTTCCTAAAATGATTACAGTTTTATTTATCATTCATCTTTTCAGTTCAAAATATTTTATATATGAGTAATCTGATACTTAGTCACATTTTATTATATGAAGTGATTGCAATGGTCAGAATCCTTATTTGTGAATTTAGGCTCAAATAAGCACATATTCTACAGTGAAAATATTTATGGTTTGATTAGTGGTTCCAAAGAGAAGAAGAAAATAATATTTTAATCTTAAAAAGGAAAGCAAGGTAGTAGAGGTTCTAGAATTTCTAGAATTCATTTATTGGACGTATCAGTCAATATCTCTTTTTCTTTTTTTTTTTTTTTAATCTTTAGACAGAGTCTCGCTCTGTCGCCAAGCTAGAGTGCAGTGGCACGATCTCAGCTCACTGCAACCTCCGCCTCCCGGGTTCAAGTGATTCTCCTGCCTCAGCCTCCTGAGTAGCTGGGACTACAGGCATGCACTACCACACTCAGCTAATTTTTGTATTTTCAGTAGAGAC
Organism: Homo sapiens; assembly: GCF_000001405.40. Lineage (NCBI taxonomy): Eukaryota > Metazoa > Chordata > Mammalia > Primates > Hominidae > Homo > Homo sapiens. The sequence continues at coordinate 93,848,211 of NC_000005.10, read as the reverse complement.
GGGGTTTCACCATGTTGACCAGGATGGTCTCAATCTCTTGACCTTGTGATCCACCTGCCTTGGCCTCCCACAGTGCTGGGATTACAGGCATGAGCCACTGTACCTGGCACCATCTCTCTTTTTTAAAAAATTTGGATATTTAATTTCAGTTTCGATGATTTTGTAATGTTATTAACAGAAGTTAAATAAGTGTGTTATAACTCTTTGAGGAAGTCTTCAGACTGTTTTAAATAACATTTCTTAACAATGCATTTAAGTACAAGTTAAAACCGCAGGCCTTTGTGTGAACTGCAAGGTGCTATGGAGGATAGAAAAATCGAAGGGTGAGTTAGCATAGCACAGGGATTAAAAGTAGGCATTTTTAATTCAGACTTCCCATGCTATAATCCTGAATTGCACTAATTAGCTATTTTAGCCTGGAATAAGTGATTCAACCTTTCTGTGCTTCATCCATACAATGGGAACCATAGTAGTAGTTTAATACATGTTAATTCATAATACATGTAATATATGTACGTAATACCTGTAAAGTGCTTGATCCAAAGCTGGTAAGTAGCAACTACCTGATAAATGTTAGCTGCTATAATTAGTATAATAATTAGTAGTAACAAGATATAGTCCCTCCCCTTAATTTTATATTAACAATTTTATATTTTAGTATATGCAGTGTTTTCAACAGATCAAAATAAATATAATTATTTTTCTTATTTTTTCAAATATTTTAAAACTTTGTAAACTAGGATATGTTTGCTATACATGAGAAATTTTTTAAATAGAATGGTAAAGTTCTCTCTGCATTTTGTGATGGACAATAAAGGAAACATTTGGTGTGCCCTTATTCTAAAATCAGAACTGCTGATAAAATATACTGGTTTGTTATTTTACTAAAATATATTACGTTTTTCAGTTGAATTGTTTATATGTTAAGAAATCTAGCTTTGCTAGACTTCAGTGGAGGAAGGAACTGCAGATGAGGTGGAAACAGCAAGAGAACTAGAATTAGAAATGGAGCCTCAAGATGTGACTGAATTGCTGCAATCTCATGATCAAACTTGAATGAATGAGGAGTTGCCTCTTACAGATGAGCAGAGAAAGTGGTTGTATAAGATAGAAACTACCCCTGCTGAAGATGCTGTGAACACTGTTGAAATGACAACAAAGGATTACAAATATTACGTAAACTTAATTGATACAAGGACAGGTTTTAGAGGATTGACTCTAGCTTTGAAAGAAGTTCTACTGTGGGTAAAATGCGATCAAACAATGGTTCATACTACAGAGAAATCTTTCATGGAAGGGTGAGTCAATAAATGAGGCAAATATCGTTGTCTTATTTCAAGAAATTTCTTCCATCACTTCAACTTTCAGCAACCACCTCCCTGATCAGTCAGCAGCCATCAACATTGAGGCAAGACCCTTCACTGACAAAAAGATTGTAGTTCAGTGAAGGTTCAGATGATCGTTAGCAGTTTTTAGCAATAAAGTATTTTTAAATTAAACATGTTTTTGAAGTAATATTATAATATTAATAAGTATATTTTCAAGATGTTTTTAGTTTATGACTAAATTATAGCAAGTATATAAATAACTTAATTACACCTTTGTGATGTAGCCCAAAAGAAATCAAATATTTATTATGTGCTGTTTGCCAGGCTTCTTATTTTGCATTTCTCCAGTCGTTGTTTTATTTTTATTATTATTATTTTTTTAGAGACATGGTCTTGCTCTGTTGCCCAGGCTGGAGTGCAGTGACACAATCATAGCTCTCTGCAGCCTGGAATTCCTGGGCTCAAGCAATTCTCCCACCTCAGCCTCCCAGTGAGCAAAGACTACAGGCACATGCCACTACACCTGGCTAATTTTTTTTTTTTTTAGAGACAGGGTCTCACTATGTTACCCACGCTGGTCTCAAACTCCTGGGCTCAGGTGATCCTCCCTACTCAGTCTCCTAAAGGGCTGGGATTACAGGCATGAGCCACCACACTGGGCCCAGCCTCCCTTTAGATAGCAACTCTTCTCTTTGTTTCCAAAGCTTTGCTTTCCTTATCTTATCAGAAAAAGATAGAACTTTAGAGGTCTCCCAGGACTCTCATGGACAAATACAGAGTTTGAACATCTAAGATGGTAAGTCAAAGTCACAAAGCTAATTAAGTAGCACTGTCTGGTTGTGTGATTGTGTGTGTGTGTGTGTGTGTGTGTGTGTGTGTGTGTCACAGAGAGAGAGAGAGAAAATATGTTCTCTGGCAATTGTAAATGATCATCCCAAAGTTGCTAAATTAATCATTAATTCTTTGGAGACAGTTTACTCATTTCCTCTACAGCTATAATTATAGCTTTAGATTCAGATAGCAATACTATAAGGCATGTTTAGCTTCTGACTATACCATTTTGTCTATAGGATGTTCTAGATTGAACTGTCTGGAACACTTAATCTTACGCCCCCTCCAACACACACAGACACAGACACTCACGTTCCAAAGGTGTTTCTTTTGCCTCTCAGTCTGCTCTAGTATTCATTAAGTGGCAGTAGCCAGATCAGTCTTGGTGAGCAAGATACATTCATGTTTGTGGGCCTGTGTATATCCTGCATCCTTGCCATTATGGCTTTTTTGGTCATACTCTGATTGTGCCAGCACAAGTTAGTGATGGAGTCCAACAAATATAAACTGGCTGAGTCATTCTGCCTTCTTGGTTTTTTACTGCCTCTTCTGTGACAGATTACTCTCTGATGAATGACAGCTGAGATCTTCACTTAGTATAGGCCATTACTTTCTTCAAGCTTCTAAGAAAAATCCTGGCAACATTTTGGGACCTTCTCCCAGGGTTCTTGCTAGGTTATTGTGGTAGGGAGAATAATGGCTCCAAAGATTCAAATCTTAATCCCTGGAGCCTGTATGTTAACTATATGTACTCCTAAATAGCATGTTGTTTATTATGACACATTAAGCAGTGAGCACAGACCTGGTAGTATAAGGAAAGGAAAATATTTCTACTATTAGATGAAAACTCCTAGTTGAAGATAAGCTAATAGATACTATGGATCATGATCTGACTTAAGATTCCCAAAGCACTTACAAGATCCCCCTTATAGGGATATCAGTGGACAATGTAGTTTTGAAAAACAGCTTTTCATAGTTGGAGCATCTGGAAGGCAAAATCATCAGAAATATGGCTAGAGGGAGTTTTCTGCTCTGTATTTTCTGTTTCTAAGCTTTCCATGGTCTACCTGTACCTCCTAGTTTAGTGAAAACACAACATTTTCATAAGTTGTAATAAATGTCCTCAGCTGATACTGCAGCAAAGCGTGAATGGGCAACACGAATCTCAACAGTATGTGGTTAGGAAAAGCCAAATGCAAATATAAATCCAGGTCCGGCTCATTAGGTAATTATGTCTTAAATGATAATATAGTTGTAGTGAGGGTCTTGGTGATAACAACTCTCAGCATATCTATCTTTTGAATCACACTAGTATCACCTTTCTGGTTAACTGCTGTATGTGGTGTCCAGCTGTCATCTTAGCATTTTCTTTATTCTTCTGTTACTCTCTTAGGTTATTTCTCTTGTTTTCCATACTTCATGTCTTCCTCTTTCTTGATTTATTTCTTATTTTAAATGTCCATATCTCCCAGTTGTTTCTTTAGAAGAAGGGAATGAGATACAAATTTTTTTACTTTCTGCATTTATGTTACATTTATATTTTATGATATTTTGGCTGGGTATAGAATTCTAAATTAGAAATTATTTTCCTTTTGATTTTTTTTTTCTTTTGAGATGGAGTCTCACTCTACCCCAGGCTGGAGTGCAGTGGTCCCATCTCAGCTCACTGCAGCCTCCACCTCCTGGACTCAAATGATCCTCCTACCTCAGCCTCCCAAGTAGCTGAAACTACAGGCATGCACCACCACACCTGGCTAATTTTTGTATTGTTAGTACAGATGAAATCTCACCATGTTGGCCAGGCTGGTCTTGAACTCCTGAGTTCAAGCAGTCCACTCGCCTGGGCCTCCCAAAGTGCTGGAATTACAGGCGTGAGCTATGTGCCTGGCTTGGGCTTTTGAATTTTAGAGTTTTTTTTTTGTTTTTTTTTTTGTTTTTTTATCCTCATCTTGCTTCCTCTGTTGCTATTGAAAAGTCCGAAATTGTTCTGAATCCTAAAATTTTATTTTTCTTTCTTAAAACTTGTAGTATCTTCTCTTTGTTCCTGGGTTCTAAATTTTGCAGTGATGTACCTTTCTATACATATATATTTCATTCATTATACTGGGTACTTTAGTCACTTTAATCTATCAGCAAATGTCCTGGAAAACTTATTTTGTTGATAATTTCCTGCCTTCTATTTTTTCTGTTTTCTCATTATACAACTTTGCTTTTTGGATGATGGATCTCCTAGACTTACCTGGTTTATTACTTTTCTCTCCTATTTTTCATATCTTCTTCTGGGAGATTTCTTTAACTTAATCATTTAACCCTTCTGTTGAATTTTTCACTTCTGCTGTTTTGCTTTTAATTTGAAAGAGCTCTTTTTATTCTTCAAATATTTCTTTTTAATAGTACCCTTGTCCAGCCTGGGTAACATAGTGAGACCTTCTCTCTACAAAGCAGTTGAAAATTAGCCAGGCATGGTGGGGCATGGTGGCACGTGTCTGTAGTCCCAGCTACTCAGGAGGCTAAGGCTGGAGGATCACTTGAGCCCGGGAGGTCAAGGCTTCACAGCGAGTTGTGATCATGCCACTGCACACCAGCCTGGGTGACAGAGTGAGACCCTGTCTCAAAAAAAAAAAAAAAAAAAAAAGTATCCTTGTTCTACTTTTATGCATGTACTAGTATCTCTGAAGATAATAATGAAAGTGTTTTTGAAATTTTTCTCTGTCTGCAAAACTTCCGTTTCTTTCAAGTGTCTATTTGTTCAGGACTCTATATTTTGTATTTATAGGCATTTTCCATATGTCTAATAATGTTTGGCAGTCTATTCATATTTATCAGTAGGGATTAAAAAGTAATTGGAATCTCTAAGCATCTGGGTGGGACTTACTATGTTTGAGCTTCGCTATAATTAATCTGAGTAGTCTATTTGTTGGGAACTTTCCCCCATGCACACTCCCACCCATCTATATCTTTAGAACTTTTTGTCTTATTTAGCCTGATTTCATTTTCCAAAGAAGTCTTCCAGTCTTTTGCCTGAAGTCTAAGGGTCTGACTGCCAACAGTGGGGAAGTTTAGAAGGGATGAAGGCCCGGGGGTTTGGGGGATGGTGGTGATGAAACTGGGATAGGTAACTACATTCCACATTCAGTTTGCATATGGTCACTTTATCTCTGTTTTTTCTTATGAAGCTGATGCCAACTGTTTCTGATAGCCCCATTTCAAAACCTCTCCTGTCAGGATGTGCAAAGACATTTGCCAAGCACGTGGAATGGAAGATGGGAAAATATTTCTCAAACAGCCTTATTTTAGCATGTACATGTCACTCTCCTTCAATCCCAGAGATACCTGGAATCCTGTCCCTATGCTTTGGAGGATTCTGCAGTGTAAATGGAGTTGGTTCTCAGCTTTCCCACTGCCAGCTTGAGATTGGACTTTGTCAGATGTGCTAAATTAGTTACCACTCTTCTATCTGCTCTCTCTTCCAAAATGTTGTCATTTTTTTCCTTCCTTGTTCTCCTAGTCTTTGCTGATTTATGTCTATATTAAAAAAAATCTTTTACCATAGTTTTAGGGGGTTTGTGGAGATAATCCACTCAGATACGGATCTTGAATCTGCCATCCTATGCTGGAACTGAGATCATAAGTATTTAGAGAAAGGATCAACAAATTTTTTCTTAAACTACTTTAGACTGGTAGGCCAGACTGACTCTGTCCCAATTGCTCAGCTCTACTGTTGTGAGGTGAAAGCAACCATAGATGATATATAAACAAGTGTACATGACTGTGTTCCAGTGAAATGTTATTTACAAAAACAGGCAGGCAGCTTGCAGCTCACTGTTTTCTAACCCGTTACTTTCATCACCCCCAAAAAGTTTCCTCTTGTGCCCCTTTGCAGCCAAAGTCTTCCTCCCATTTCCTGACCTTGCTGACCACTGACCTCCATTCTAACATTATAGTTTTGGCTTTTCTAGAATTTCCTAACAATTGAAACATATTGCATGTAGTCTTTTGTGTCTAGCTTCTTTCTCTTAGCTGTATTTTTTTGTTTTAGATTAATAAATGGCAGAAAATTAATAATAGGTTTTAAGCTAGGTTCAGTGTCCCTCTTATATGATGTCAGAAGCTATTGAAGGAAAACGACACATTGAACTTTCAGAAAACAGACTCCTTCATTTTCACAGAGAAGGTGTTTTTTCATGTCAACCTGGCCCACAATACTGTTAGATACATAAGCAACACTCGCATCCCTTTGTCTTAATGGCCTCTTGCTGTTTTATTCATTACTATAAAGAATAGCAATACTCGTTATGCCTGCATGGAGAGAAGAATATTAAATGTGTTTTAACAGGGTTATATAAAGTGATTAAGATTACACGTATGAACTCAGACTACCTAGGTTTGAATTCTGGCTCTGCCAAATAATTAGTTTCCTAATCATTCTTTACCTGTTCATCTGATTATGGGGACAATAATGGTACCTAATTCATAGGATTAAATGACATAAATAATTGTCCTTCAGTATCCATAGGGAACTGGTTTCAGGACAGCCCCTCCTTCACGCCTCAGATACCAAAATCCACAGATGCTCAAGTCACTTATATAAAATGGCATAGTATTTGCATGTAGCCTATACACATCCTCCCATAGACTTTAAATCATCTCTGGATTACTTTACTACCTAATATATTGTAAATGCTATGTAAATAGTTGTTAATAGTGTATTATTTAAGGAATGATAACAAGAAAATAAAGTCTGGCCATGTTGGGTATATATGCTACCATTCTTTCTTTTTCTAAAATATTTTCAAAAATATTTTTGATCATTGGTTGGTTGAATCCGCTAATGCAGAACCGACAGATAAGGAGAGTTGACTGTTTTAAGATCAGTACATGTCACAGTATGTGCTGCAGAGGCATTTTCAGTTAACATTATTATGCTTGCATTGTATATTACACTAAAAGAAAAGACCTAAATTTTATTAAAGTGAGTAGGATTGTCAATGTTTACTTTGATGGACATTCCCAGGAGTACAGTGGAGCCCAGTTTTGGAATCTAAGAATCCTACCAGTTCTATATGCCTCCTATTTTAGGTCACACCCATTTTGTGGCAGTATGGCCCAATCACAAAGTATTTGTCACCCTGTCTGTAAATAATGGGCCATAATTACTTGTTTAGTCTTTAATACATATGATTTAAAGGGATAGTTAGTATAGCATAGAAGTTCAAACACTAGAACCACACAGACTGGCTTGCAATCACACTGGTTTTATGACCTTGATCAAATTAATTAATTAATTAATCTCTGTAAATTGCTATATTCAGAGTGTCTGCATCATAATATCTAATGTAAAAACCAAATGAGAGAAAGCATGTAGCCAGTTCAAGTGTCTAGTGTCCAAGACAAGAGATGGTGTTAGTGTTAGGGTAGTAAGAATAGAAGTAGAGATAAGTTTATGAATTCTAGAAATATGTCAAAGGATAAGTTAAATTGGATACATATGGGTGATAGAAGAGGAGGAAGATGTCAAGGGTGACTTCCAGATTTTTGGCTTGAGAAAAACAGGTGGGTGGAGTTACCACTTAACAAGTTGGGAAAGAATAGACATTGTGGTGTTGGGAATCCAATTCAGAGTTTACTTTTGGACATGGTAAATGTGAAATATCTGCTAAATTCAAATATTTAAATATGGTTCTGAATATTTATCGTTTGTCAGCTATATTCACTACAGATGTCTTCTGTGCATAACCATTTATAATTTTATTAATGTAGCCATATTGACCAGTAATGTAGCCTTGAATCTGTCTTCAAGACTGAGTGCTGTCAGAAATAAAGAAATTCTTTGAAACTAGTGAGAACAAAGATACAACATACCTGAATTTCTGGGACACCGCTAAGGCAGTGTTAAGAGGGAATTTTATAGCACTAAATACCCACATCAAAAAGTTAAAAAGATATCAAATTAACCTAACCTCAAGGAACTAGAGAAGCAGGAGCAAATCTACCTCAAAGAAGACAAGAAATAACCAAAATCAGAGCTGAACTGAAGGAAATTGAGACATGAAAAACCATACAAATGATCAATGAATTGTAGAATTGGTTTGGTGAAAAAATTACATAGACTGCTAGTTAGCCTGATAATGAAAATAAGAGAGAAGATCCAAATAAATATAATCAGAAATGACAGAGGGGACATTACCCCCAACCCCACAAAAATACAAAACACTGTCAGAGACTACTATTAACACCTGTATGCACACAAACTAGCAAACCTGGAAGAAATGGATAAATTCCTGGACATATACAACCTCCCAAGACTGAACCAGGAAGAAATTGAATCCTCGAACAGACCAATAATGAGTTCCAAAATTGAATCAGTAGTAAAAAGCCTATCAACCAAAAAAAAAAGCCCAGGACCGGAATGATCTACAGCCAAATTCTATCAGGTGTATAAAGAAGAGCTGCTACCACTCCTACTTAAACTGTTCCAAAAAAATTGATGAGGAAGGACTTTACCCTAACCCATTCTATAAGGCCAGCATCATCCTGATACCAAAACCTGGCAGAGACACAACAAAAAAATTCAAGCCAATATCCTTAATGAACATAGATGCAAAAATCCTCAACTAGCAAACCAAATCCAGCAGCACATCAAAAAGCTAATCCACCACAATCAAGTAGGCATCATCCCTAGAACATAAGATTGGTTCAACATATGCAAATCAGTGGATGTGATTAATCACATGAAACTAAAGACAAAACCACATGCTTACCTTAATAGATGCGGAAAAGCCTTTCAATAAAATTCAACATTTTTAATGTTAAAAATCCTCAATAAACTAGGCATTGAAGGAACATACTTCAAAGTAATTGGAGCCATCTATGACAAACCCACAGCCAACATAATACTGAATGGGCAAAAGCTGGAAGCATTCCCCTTGAAAACTGGAACGTGACAGGGATGCTCTCTCTCACCACTCCTATTCAACATAGTATTGGAAGTCCTGGCCAGAGTAATCAGGCAAGAGAAGGAAATAAAAGGCACCCAAATAGGAAGAGAGGAAGTCAAACTATCCCTGTGTGCAGATGACATGATTCTATACCACCCCATAGTTTCTGCCCAAAAGCTCCTTGATCTGATAAACAATTTCTGCAAAGTTTCAGAATATAAAATCAATGTACAAACACAAGTAACATTCCTATACACCAAACAACAGTCAAGCTGAGAGCCAAATCAGGAACACAGTCCTATTCACAATTGCCACAAAAAAGAATAAAATATCTAAGAATATGACTAACCAGGGAAGTAAAAGGTCTCCCCAATGAGAATTACAATATACTGCTCAAAGAAATCAAAGATGACTCAAACAGATGGAAAAACATTGCTTACTCATGGATAGGAAGAATCAATGTAATTAAAATGGCCATACTGCCCAAAGCAATTTACAGATTCAATGCTGTTCCTATCAAACGACCAATGAGATTCTTCACAGAATTAGAAAACCTTTTTTTTTTTGATACAGAGTCTTGCACTGTCACAGAAAAAGAACTATTTTAAAAAATTCACATGAAACCAAAACAGGGCCTGAATAGCCAAGGCACTCATAAGCAAACAGAACAAAGGTGGAGGTATCACATTACCACTTCAAATTCTACTGCAAGGCTATAGTAACCAAAACAGCATGGTATTGATACAAAAACAGATACATATACCAATGGAATAGAATAGAGAGCCCAGAAATAATGCCACACACCTGCAACTGTCTGATCTTCTACAAAGCCTACAGAAACAAGCAATGGGAAAAGGACTACCTATTCAATAAATGGTGCTGGGATAACTAGCTAGCCATATGCAGAAGATTGAAATTGGACAGACATCATATACACAGATCAATTTAAGATGGATTAAAGACTTAAATATAAAACTTAAAACTATAAAAACCCTTCAGGAAAACCTAGGATATACCATCCTGGACATAGGACCTGGCAAAGATTTCAAGACAAAGACACCAAAAGCAATCGCAACAAAAGCAAAAATTGACAAGTGGGACCTAATCAAACTAAAGATCTCTGCACAGCAAAAGAAACTATCAAAAGAGTAAACAGACAATCTATAGAATAGGAAAAATATTTGCTTACTATGCATCTGACAAAGGTTTAATATCCAAAATCTATAAGGAACTTAAACAAATTTATAAGCAAAAAACAAACATCCCCATTAAAATGTGGGCAGAGTACATGAACACTTTTCAAAAGAAGCCATACATGTGGCCAACAAGCATACGAAAAAATGCACAGCATCAGTAATCATTAGAGAAATGAAAGTCAAAACCACTCTGAGATGCCATCTCACAGCAGCCAGAATGGCCTTTATTAAAAAGTCAAAAAATAACAGATGCTGGTGAGATTGGGGAGAAAAGGGAACACTTATACACTGTTGGTGGGAGTGCAAATTAGTTCAGCCTTTCTGGAAAGCAGTGTGCTTTCAAAAAATGGCAATTCTGAGTTTCAAAAAAACTCAGAATTGCCATTCAACCCAGCAATCTAGTGGGATTTATTTTTATGGTGGAATGTATTATATTCCTTTGGGTATATTGGATATATAAATCATTCTACTATAAAGACACATGTATTTGTTTGTTCATTGCAGCACTATTCGTTGCAGTAGCAAAGACGTGGAATCAATCTAAATGCTCATCAGTGGTAGACTGCAGAAGGAAAATTTAGCACATATACACCGTGGAATACTACACAGCCATTGAAAAAGAATGAGATCATGTCCTTTGCAGCAACATGGATGGAGCTGGAGATCACTATCTGGAGCAAACTAATGCAGGAACAGAAAACCAAATACCATATGTTCTCACCTATAAGTGAGAGCTAAACAATGAGAACACGTGGACACAAAAAGGGCCTACTTGAGGGTGGAGTGGGAGGAGGGAGAGGATTTTTAAACATACCTATTGGGTACTATACTTATTGCCTAGGTGACTAAATAATCTGTACACCAAACCCCACAACACACAGTTTACCTATATAACGATCCTTTGCATGTGTCTCTAAACCTAAAATAAAACTTAAAAAAAGATTGAGTGCTGCAAATAGTATCTTGACACCTAAAAGGTAGAAACAAATTGATAGTCTCAAGGTATCTCCAGCTTATAGACTTTTTTTTGTCTATTTTCATTATGTTTAAAGTTGAATCTTGTGAAATTGCCATTTTTCAAGGTCCAAAATTTCTAATACTGGTAACTTATATGGTTCAATTTAATATTTTGGGACTGAATAATGTCCTTCAATTTTGAATATGTTTTTAGTATATGCATGTTATAGTGTTACTTTTATGCATCCAGTATACACCTAGTACTTTAATCATCATTAAATACAAATGCATACAATTTGTAAAAAAGCATACATTTAAAATATGCCAAAATGAAGAAAACATTTTAATCTAAATTATTTAATTGGATAAAATAAAATTACATCTCATGTGACAAGGTAAAATATGTTTTACATATAACTGTTCTTTTAAATGTTTTGTTCTATATTAATGCACAATTTATACTCAGTTAATATACAAAAGAGTTAAATAACAAAATCATCCAAAAGTTTAAAGCTTTAAAGCTAAAGCATAAAATTTCCTTGTGTGTGTCTTTCTGGATTAGAGCCATATCTGTGTTCCGTTTCTTCTGGAAGGATACTCCACTGGCCAATTGCTGAAAATAAGAATTTTCTTTAGGCCTGGCGTGGTGGCTCACGCCTGTAATCCTAGCACTTTGGGAGGCCGAGGTGGGCGGATCATGAGGTCAGGAGATCGAGACCATCCTGGCTAACACGGTGAAACCCCATCTCTACTAAAAACACAAAAAATTAGCCGGGCGTGGTGGGGGGCGCCTGTGGTCCCAGCTACTCGGGAGGCTGAGGCAGGAGAATGGCGCGAACCTGGGAGGCGGAGTTTGCAGTCAGCAGAGATTGCACCACTGCACTCCAGCCTGGGCGACAGAGCGAGACTCCGTCAAAAAGAAAAAAAAAATTTTTTCTTTCATCTTATCCTTGTGGATTGGTTGAGTACAAGATGGTAACTTACATTTTTGCATCCTCCATCCAGCAGACTAGACTATCTACCTTCCATTTGGATTTTATTGAGCCATACTTTTCCCAGTGGAAAGCCTTAACTTTTTAGAAGAAAGAATTTCATTTTGTAAATTTTGTCGTAAAACAGGTGTAGATTTTATATTAGTGTAATTTCTCCAGTTGATATCACCAATGTAAATAGCAAATCAATGGCAATACTAAGGGCAGCTGGTAGAGTGTGAAGTGTGTGTGTGTGTATGTACACATACATACTTATATACATATTTATATGACGTGGACATAACTGAAATTAGTGACATAGGTATGTGCTGAAGTCACAAAGGTTAGATTTGATTATTAAAAGATATTTTGTTAATAGATATGCTTACCAGTATAATCACAGAAAGATTTATATGAAGTAAAAAACCTTGAATTTTTGACTTTAAAATTGGACATTTAAAAAACCTTTACATCCATTAAATTTTCAGTTTACTTTTTCTAAAATCAATTGTAAGTTTAAAGTGTATATTATAGGAGTACTTACTTTTTATAACTTTGTAGCAACAGGTTAGCTGAAGAAAAATCTGTCAAATTTGGCAATGGTTCAGAAAATATGTGAACCTGTCACTGTAAGCAGTCTCAAAGGGAGAAATGCATTACAGGAGCTAATTAACCTTAGAAAATAATTACACAAATATGCAAATGTTGTTTAGATAATTCCATGTGCTGTCAGCTCAGGTAGTCCATCATAAATGCAGACCTTGCAATGCCTAGGTAGTAGAATCTGGCATAGTTGATAAGGCTTTGGTTACTGCATCACTTCTGTTTGGCATTTAAGGATTAGTGATGGCAAGAGTACATTAGGAAATTCCACCTGTATTCTGAATGTAGCAGAATTCTAGGGTAAATATCCTATGCACTCTGCCACCAGCAAATACTAATTAATGGATTTAGTTCTTTTCATGCACTTTGTACGTTAGCATATTCTAAAATCATCGAGTTTAAATCAAGTTGCTCAATACAAAATGCACTCTAATGTGGAATTCATGGGGAAGCCTGTGGAATAGATTTAGTATGTTTGCATTTCTGTAATTGAAGCGTATTAGAAAGCCTTTCCTATTGAATCTGTTTAGTCTCAAAATACACTGCTGATAATATACACTCTCTGGATTGTAGTCACAATATATAAATATATAATGATTGTAGACACAATGTGGACTGTGGGTTGGAATGACACAAATTTGCGTTGGAATAGCATCATCACATTTATAAAATTGGGATTTTAGTATGTATTATTAGTAATGTAATATTCCAGAAATACATATACATATATATTTAAAACTAATCTAAGTTTATTAATTTCTATGTTTAACATTTGTAGAAGGCTGCAAATATTTGGCAGAATTTGTTAAATCCAAAAATGATGGGAATCTAGCTTTCTTAAACACTGTATATAGTAAAAAGCCTTAATTTTGTGACAGCCTTGGGAAGTAACACATATGAAAGTTGAGTTTTTTATAACTAAGGCTTATCTCCCTTATATTTTGTTTTGTAAAGTAATATTTTGAATAAAACTATTTAATTGTGTGTCACTAGTCTTTCAGAAATCGAGTTCATATAACATCATTAGCCTTCTTGAAATGACCCAGTGTCACTGTCGTGCTTGTCAGTTATTGTGCTTTGAATATGGCACTGCCCTTAAGTTGCTCATAACAATACTTATGGTCTCACACTAGGTGCTACATGTGCTCTTCTAATTTTCTGGTTTTCCCGTTTCTTCAGTTAGTAGCAAACTTTCAACTATCACTTATTACTCTTTCTTCTTCTTACCCTTAAACCTATTTGAAACAACCTTTCTCATTTGCTGGTTGGAAATGCTCAGTGGGTTCAGACGATATATTTGGTGTACACATGTTTTTGTGTCAAATGGGACCTAAACATTGTTTACTCATGGACGTGAAGATGGCAGCAAAGACATTAGGGACTACCAAAGGTGGGAGAGAAGTAGGGGGCAAGGGTTAAAATACTAACTGTTGAATACTACACTCACTACCTGGATGATGGGATCATTCCTATCTCAAACCTCAGCACTATACAATATACTCATGTATCAAACTTGCACATGTACTCTCTGAATCTCAAATAAAAGTTAAAATTATTTTTAAAAAGATTCGAAGGTGTAAAAACCCTGCTCAGATGATAATTCACCCTAAGAAGACATCAGTAATTACTAAGTGGTATTCTGATTTTCCTGTTGTTTACTTGTTTAGTATAAAAAGCATGTACTTTGTAGAAATTCTGGCCATTCAGAAAAGTGTGAAGAAACTAAAAATAGAAAACTACTCATATTCCAACCATCAATAGACAGCTCAACTGCTTTTAGTGTTTTATTTGATTTATTCTTTTGAAAAGTCTTTTTCAGGCTTTTTTTATATGATAAAAATTACACTACATATCAGATAAGCTGCATGTATTATAAACTCATAGAATAGCTACATAATATTTCATTCAACAGATAAACTATTATTTATATTTTCATTATTGGATACTTACGCTTTATCCAAAGTTTTGCTTTTATAAATGAGACAGTGATGAATATCTTTGACCACCAGTCTTTTGCCACATTCCAGATTATTAGAAGCTGGATTCCTGAAATGAAGTTTAAATACTCATTTGTTTTCATTTTTGAAATGTACTCCAAAATATTTTGTCCACAGTATCATTGCCAATAACACTAGCATTGTTAATTATTGTTGAATGCCTGTAGCATGCCTTGTATTTATAGTTTGAATTAAAAAGATAATCTACTTTCAAGTTGGTTATATTCTAGAAGGAAGGAAAAGCGACTTGACATTAAACAAATAGAGTAGAGAAGAACCAATGAAATGGTATAGGATTCAAATTAAGCTACCATGGCTGATGGTAGAGCTGGCAGGTAATCCTGAGCCACCAATATTTTGCAGTTGTTTTAAACATAGGCATGATAATACATGTAAATAGTTATAAATACTTTATATATATTTCTTGTAAGACATTGTAGTAAATAACTAGTTCAATTTCTGCATGAGATTCTGACCTTCAGTTGACTTTCTGGCTCTTCCCCCTGGAAGCCTGATATAGTGGTGTGTTAGGTTGAGTTTCCCAGATAATAAATTTCGAAATGGAAGTTTACATGCAGGAAGATTGTTGAGGAGTCCTCTTGGGATCAGCACTTGTAGGGGAGTAAAAAAAAGTAGAATTGGACAGGAGTTGAACTGCAGTGTAGTCACAACAAAGCCCTCAGCTAACCCCATGGTAGTCTCTGGATCTGAGATGACTTTTCAAAGATGTTCTGCCATAGGCAAGCGACCAGGGGTAGGACTGTAACCTTAAGCAAGGTTGCTTTTTGGCTAAGGGCAATTTCTAGAGAGTGCCTCAGCTAAGGCCAGCACTCCCACAGCTAAGGAAATGAATGACTTATAACTGAAGGGATTCTGGGCAGCACATCATAGCATTCACTCTTAAGTGGATGGTCACTAGACAATATTGCCTGTGGTAGAAAATGACCCCTAATTAGTAAACTCCATCAGGATTAGTAGTAATCAGAACATGGTATACCATAGCTTTGATCTTCCCTAAGAGTAGTGACTCTTAGAATTGAGCATGTCTCTTATGGGATGGAATCCTGAAAGCCATACCTATGGAGTTATTGCAAAGATATTGGCTTCTGTGGGGTATAAGATTTTTAAGCCAGGATAACTCCTGCATCTGCTCAAGGTGAGCCTGATTCCCTCACTCCTAAGTTAACACGCCATATTCCAAAGATAGTAAATCCTCGGAGGTTCTGGGGGTTGCCACAAGGACTGCTGCAAGGCTCCCACTAAAAAGTAGTGTCTGGTGCTGCCCTGCTAGCAAGGTTGATTCCTTTTCTATATCTTTTTTAGTCAATGGATATCAAGTGTGGTCCAGAATAGTCTCATGAGTTTGATGGTTTAGTTGAGCCTATAAAAGACCCCCTTGTGGATATTGTAGACATTTTTCAGTTGGGTCTCACTTTTTAGAATATTTGGTTTAAAAGTCTAAAGCTAAAATCTGTAATTTCAGCTTGACCTTAGTCAAGCTGAAGACATTTAAGTACTTGAAGCCCATGGAAACATGAAGTTTCTCTTTCCTACTGCTGACAGGCCATTAACAGATATTATCTCCATCGACTGTGGAGGAAAAGACTAAGCTGTAATACTATTCTCTGTAAGCAGTAGAAACAACTGTTGGTTCTTAGCTCCCTTTAGTCATGGATGGGCCTGGCCGGCACTTTCCCTCAAATCCTGTGACTCACAAAATTTTGCTCATTTTTCTTTTATGATGATTCATTCTATCCCTTTCTTTCCATTCACTCTGCTACCACCCTGAGGAGTATTATGGTCTTTATCATCTCACATATGTGGATTACTGAACTACTCCTTGCTTTTAGGCTTTGTGTAATCTGGGCTGCATTGCCTGTCTCATCCCAGACTGAGTTGCATGACTGAGTTTTGTCTAGGGCTTTCAGACTATTAATGTGTAATCCAGATTTGCCTGGAGCATAAGATCCCTGGAAATAGATAGTGAGAGGGAAAGCTAGAAAGATAGTTTTAGAGAAGATGTTGGCTAAAGAGTTCCAGTTACTTTGTAGGCAAAATCATTTCAGTAAATGACTTTTTTTTTTTTTTTTTAGCAGCGGAGTGGCTTGATCAGAGCAAGGCTTCAAAAAGATTGATCTGGCAACAGAGTAAAGGGAAAGACTAGAACAAGGTTCCCCAAACCCCGGGTCACAGATGGGTACCAGTCCATGGCCTGTTAGGAACTGGGCTGAACAGGAGGTGAGCAGCAGGCAAGCAAGCCAAAGCTTCATCTGTATTTACAGCTGCTCCCCATTGCTCGCATTACCACCTGAGCTCCACCTCCTATCAGATCAGCTGCAGTATTAGATTCTTATAAAAGCATGAACCCTATTGTGAACTGCGCATGTGAGGGATCTAGGTTGTGCGCTCCTTATGAGAATCTAATGCCTGACGATCTGTCACTGTCTCTCATCACCCCCAGAGAGGACCACCTAGTTGCAGGAAAACAAGCTCAGAGCTCCCACTGATTCTAAATTATGGTTAGTTGTATAATTATGTCATTATATATTACAATAGAAATAAAGTGCACAATAAACGTAATGCACCTGAATCATCCCAAAATCATCCTCTCCACTCTGTCTGTGGAAAACTGTCTTCCACAAAACTGGTCCCTGATGTCAAAAAGGTTGGGGACTGCTGGACTAGAAAAATTGAGACTAAAGTCTGTTGTAAGAAAACCTAAACAGTGGTGGGACTGGAAAGAATGAGACAAATAGGATCCCAACAGTATACAGGAAGAATTAGTGACTGAGAAGACAGCAGGGAGAACCTCACTGAGGTCAGATAGTATGGATTTATAATGGCCCGTCAACCTTGGTTTCAGGACAGTCCAACAGGATCAGAGGAGGTAATACTCCTCACACACTACTGCTTCTGAAGTCTTTATGTGTTAATACCTCTAACTTATTAAAGGCCAGGATCATGGCATACTTATCATTCTTCCATCTACACTTCCAGCGCAGAGCTTAATGGGGACAGAGTTATCTAATTGTGTGTGGATATATATATATATATATATATATATATATATATATATATACACACACACACATATATATACATATAAATATATATACACACATATATGTAATCCTGTCCATATATGGAGTATTTAGGACCATCTCAGGTATTTAAGATGGTTAGTTATGCCAACCATCAATAGGTGGAAACTCTGGTAACTTTCCTATTTTGTTTTCATATTTCTTGCATTGTGAGCTATAACTAGGGTGATGAGGTGTTCAGTATTTTTCTGTATAGTTCCAATTTAGACCTGTTTTCCACTACAATTACTGATAATATCTTTCTTCACTCTCAAAAGTTTGAACAACAAATTGTATAGTCACTCCAGATATGTCTACAGAAAAGTGCTAAATATGTATGGTTAGTTTAAATAATAACTATAAAGAACACACTTGTGTAACTATCAAAGCAGACAAGAAGTGGAATGCTGGCAGCCACTAAAAGTCAATTTCTTAGTCACAACTTCATTCCCTTCCTTAAAGTTAACCACTATCCTCATTTTTATGTTAACCATTTTCTTACTTTTTAAACTAATGAAAGATAAATTATCAAAGCCTAAAATCCCTATAAGGTTTTCCTTCCAACTGTTTTATTCATTCTTCTGTGTGGGTAATTTCATATTTATGTTACTAAGAAATGACTTTGGAAGTATGTTTGTATTTTAATATATGACTACAAGGTTGTAGGTAATCAGCCTGAAGATAAACGTTGTGGTTTTGTTATTCATTTATTACACTAAGATTTAATGAACAAGAAGACATAGTTCTTGGCCTCAAGAATTTGATAATCTAACTAGTAATTACAATACAGCTCCTCAGTGCAATAATAGGAAGCATGCACAAGATGATGTTAGAAGACATTACCTAATCCTTGGGAAAAATAGGGTTGACTTTCCAGAGGAAATGATATCTCATTTCAGTACTGAAGACAAGTAGGGAG
Organism: Homo sapiens; assembly: GCF_000001405.40. Lineage (NCBI taxonomy): Eukaryota > Metazoa > Chordata > Mammalia > Primates > Hominidae > Homo > Homo sapiens. The sequence continues at coordinate 93,829,391 of NC_000005.10, read as the reverse complement.
TATGCAGTAGAAGGTGGTATGGGAAGTGAAGGCAGAGCACAAAGATCACTATCTGGACAAATGCAGTAACCCATAGGCAAGAAAAATAGGGCCCAATTAGGTTACTTCGAGTTGCTCCCTACAACTGGAACACAGAGACTGTTCTGTGTGTCTTCTCAGGGGGAAAAGGGATGTGTTTGGGGTCAAGGTATTTTGTAGGGCAATGGTGAAAGATATAGTTCAATACAGAGTGCTAGATCATAAAGGGCCTTGAATGTCACACTGAGGAGTCTGAACTTTACAAACGGCCTTGAATGTCATATTAAGGAGTTTGAGGGCCAGGCGCAGTGGCTCATGCCTGTAATCCCAGCACTTTGGGAGGCCGGGGTGGGCAAATCACCTAAGGTCAGGAGTTGAAGACCAGCCAAGCCAACATGGCGAAACCCCATCTCTACTGAAAATACAAAAATTAGCCAGGTGTGGTGGCATGCACCTGTAACCCCAGCTACTTGGGAGGCTGAGGCAGGAAAATCGCTTGAACCTGGGAAGCAGAGGTTGCAGTGAGCCAAGATTGCGCCACCACACTCCTATGCAGGCAACAGAGCAGGACTCTGTCTCAAAAAATAAAAAAATAGATATAGGAGTTTGAACTTAATTCTGGGAACAGTGAGAAAATAGGAGGATTCTAAGCAGGGAGTGAGTAACTTGGCAACATGATCATATTTGCATTCTTGACAGGTTATTCTCACTGCAGAATTAAAACATGTAAATGGTCAATCCTACAGGTCACTACTAGGCTAGGCTAGAGATTGTTGAGGCTAGGCTAGAGATTGTTGTGGTCATCCACTTGTGAAATGATGGTGGCTTGAGCTAAACCAGATTAAATGAAAGAAAAGTAGATGGATTTGAGAGACGGTGGCAGGATCAATAGAATTTTAATGACTGATTATGTGAGGAATTTGGGAGAAAGAGAAATAACAGATGAAAATCACAAGCATTCTTCTACACCAATAACAGACAAACAGAGAGCCAAATCATGAGTGAACTCCCATTCACAATTGCTTCAAAGAGAATAAAATACCTAGCAATCCAACTTACAAGGGATGTGAAGGACCTCTTCAAGGAGAACTGCAAACCACTGCTCAATGAAATGAAAGAGGATACAAACAAATGGAAGAACATTCCATGCTCATGGGTAGGAAGAATCAGTATCATGAAAGTGGCCATACTGCCCAAGGTAATTTATAGATTCAATGCCATCCCCATCAAGCTACCAATGACTTTCTTCACAGAATTGGAAAAAAACTACTTTAAAGTTCATATGGAACCAAAAAAGAGCCCACATCGCCAAGTCAATCCTATGCCAAAAGAACAAAGCTGGAGGCATCACACTACCTGACTTCAAACTATACTACAAGGCTACAGTAACCGAAACAGCATGGTACTGGTACCAAAACAGAGATCAATGGAACAGAACAGAGCCCTCAGAAATAACGCCGCATGCCTACGACTATCTGATCTTTGACAAACCTGAGAAAAACAAGCAATGGGGAAAGGATTCCCTATTTAATAAATGGTGCTGGGAAAACTGGCTAGCCATATGTAGAAAGCTGAAACTGGATCCCTTCCTTACACCTTATACAAAAATTAATTCAAGATGGATTAAAGACTTAAACGTTAGACCTAAAACCATAAAAACCCTAGAAGAAAACCTAGGCATTACCATTCAGGACATAGGCATGGGCAAGGACTTCATGTCTAAAACACCAAAAGCAATGGCAACAAAAGCCAAAATTGACAAATGGGATCTAATGAAACTAAAGAGCTTCTGCACAGCAAAAGAAACTACCATCAGAGTGAACAGACAACCTACAGAATGGAGGAAAAGTTTTGCAATCTACTCATCTGACAAAGGGCTAATATCCAGAATCTACAATGAACTCCAACAAATTTACAAGAAAAAAACAAACAACCCCATCAAAAAGTGGGCGAAGGATATGAACAGACACTTCTCAAAAGAAGACATTTATGCAGCCAAAAGACACATGAAAAAATGCTCATCATCACTGGCCATCAGAGAAACGCAGATCAAAACCTCAATGAGATACCATCTTACACCAGTTAAAATGGTGATCATTAAAAAGTCAGGAAACAACAGGTGCTGGAGAGGATGTGGAGAAATAGGAACACTTTTACACTGTTGGTGGGACTGTAAACTAGTTCAACCATTGTGGAAGTCAGTGTGGTGATCCCTCAGGGATCTAGAACTAGAAATACCATTTGACCCAGCCATCCCATTACTGGGGATATACCCAAAGGATTATAAATCATGCTGCTATAAAGACACATGCACTTGTATGTTTATTGCGGCACTATTCACAATAGCAAAGACTTGGAACCAACCCAAATGTCCAACAACGATAGACCGGATTAAAAAAACGTGGCACATATACACCATGGAATACTATGCAGCCATAAAAAATGATGAGTTCATGTCCTTTGTAGGGACATGGATGAAGCTAGAAATCATCATTCTTAGCAAACTATCACAAGGACAAAAAACCAAACACCGCATGTTCTCACTCATAGTTGGGAATTGAACAATGAGAACACATGGACACAGGGAGGGGAACTTCACACTGTGGGGCCTGTTGTGGGGTGGGGGGAGGGGGGAGGGATAGCATTAGGAGATATACCTAATGTTAAATGACGAGTTAATGAGTGCAGCACACCAACATGGCACATGTATTCATATGTAACAAACCTGCACATTGTGCACATGTACCCTAAAACTTAAAGTATAATAAAAAAAATTAAAAAAACATTTTAAAAGGAAAAAAGTTGACTCTCAGATTTCAGCTGGATATGGAGAGCTTAGACAGATTTGTAGAGGTTCTTACTACAGTGTTGGATTGGTTGAGTTTGACATGTCTGTGGTACATACAGAAGGAAATGACCATTAAATAGTTGGCTTTGTGGCTCTGGAGAGAAATTTAGGACAGATAGACATAGAGAGAACTAACTTCTAGATGGCAAGTGATGCCATGCATGTGGGGACCTTAATAATTTATTATAAAATTTCTAAAAAGGAAAATGTGATTGTGTGCATTGTCTAATATCCATGACATTCTTAGGAAATGAGTCTTTTAGTGTTCAAGCTTCTAAGAAATATTCGTACAAAGCATTTTCTTGAGGTTTCAGTTCTTCACAGTTTGCTTTTTGATCAGTATTATTTCACATTTTAGTTTGTTTTTGTTTTTCACATTATCCAGGTTTTGGCTTTAACCACAATATGTCAGCCATAGAAATAAACAGCAAAATGAAGTTATTACATAACTTTTGCAACTTAAGTGACATACATTTATTTGGGTTTAGCAAGTTAGGAAAAATGTAAAAGGCCTAGGTTTATATATTTAGGTTTTTTTCCCAATTCCAAAAATCTGTATAGAAAATGCTTTTAGAAAAAATGTATATATATATTTTGATAATTTCAACAGAAAATATTTATTATTCATTTTTCCTTATTTTTAGCTTACAGAGATACTTAAAATCTTATAAATAAAATAATTTAGATATATATTAAATATTTTCACATCTAACTATGGGAATGTAAATACATTTTTTAGTATTACATTGTTTTATCAAAAGATCAGTATAACTTTCTGCTATATAATTCTAATGTGCTCACTGATTTTTGAAGAGCCTTCAAAAAGTTCATGGAAAATGCATATTATGAAAAATCCATGCATGGATTTCATTTTTATTGCACCAAAATAAACTCTTACTAACTTGCTATGACATGCCTGGAGAGGATCTCATTCAAGGCACTAAGAAATACAGGACATCAGTTTGAAAAGAGCACCTGTCAGAGCAACATGAATTCTGCTAAAATTGAAGCAAGAACAAGCATCAAATTTATAGTGAAGCTTGGGTGGAAGAATGGTAAAATCATTGATGCTTTACAAAAAGTTTATGGGGACAGTCTCCCAAACAAATCAGTAGTTTACAAATGGCTAACTCATTTGAAGAACGGACAGAACATTGTTGAAGATGAAGCTCATAGCAGCTGACCATCTGCATCAATTTAGGAGAAAAAAAATTATCTTGTTTGTGCCCTAATTGATGAGATAAGTGATGAACAACAGAAACAATAGCTGACATATAGACATCTCAATTGATTCCACCTACACAATTCTGACTGAAAAATTTAAGGTGAAAAAACTTTGCACTCAATGTGTACCAAAACTGTTGCACCCAGATCAGCTGCAGACAAGAACACATATTTCAATGGACATTTTTAACAATTTGGATCAAAGTAAACATTTCTTTGAAGAATTACAACGGGAGATGAAACATGGCTTTACCAGTACAATCCTGAAGACAAAGCACAATCAAAGCAATGGCTACCAAGAGATGGAAGTGGTCCAGTCAAAACAAAATCTGACTGGTCAAGATCAAAGGTTCTGGCAACAGTTTGGGGGGATGCCCAAGGCATTTTGCTTACTGACTTTCTAGAGGGCCAAAGAACAATAGCATCTGTTTATTATGAAAGTGTTTTGAGAAATTTAGCAAAAGCTTTAGCAGAAAAATGCCTGGGAAAGCTTCATCAGAGAGTTCTCAACCACAAGAATATCCTGCTCATTCCTCTCATCAAACAAGGGTAATTTTGCAGGAGTTTCTCTGGGAAATCATTAGGCATCCACGTTGCAGTCCTGATTTGGCTCCTTCTGACTTGTAGTTTTCTAATCTTAAAAAATGTTTAAGGGCATCACTTTTCTTCAGTTAATAATGTAAAAAAGACTGCATTGACATGGTTAAATTACCAGGACCCGGAGTTCTTTAGGAGTGTACTAAAAGGCATGTATCACCACTTACAAAAGTTTCTTGACCTTCATGAAATGTTCAGAAATAAAGTGTTTTTTTTAATTTTTATCTTTTAATTCTATTTTTTTACAAACTTTTTGAAGTCCTCTCATATTCTCTAATTTGAATTTTCAATGTAGTTCTTTTATATTATTTTTATTTTGAATGAGCTATAACCATTGTATTTCATATGCTGTGTATGCAAGCATATAATTTAATTGTTGTTTGCTATGATAATAATTAGGTATAATATGTAATATATGACATTTGTTTCCCTTATAGGAAAATGGTTCTCCTGAAGAACATGCAATCTATGTTTGGGATCATTTCATAGCTCAGGCTGCTGCTGAGAATGTGTTTTTCGTTGCTCACAGCTATGGAGGACTTGCTTTTGTTGAACTGGTAAGTGCTTATTTTACTCTCTGTAGTTCCAGTCTCCTTGTAGGTTTATCCCCTCTCCTTTCTTTCTGTTGGTATCAATACTCTTTAAGTTATGTTATAAAGAAGGAAAATAACATATTTTGAGTAAATAATTTTATGATGTTTGAAAATAGTTTATTAATTTACTTATTTATTTTATTAATATTATTATTATTTTTTGAGACAGAGTCTCTGTCGCCAGGCTAGAGGGCAGTGGCACCATCTCAGCTCGCTGCAACCTCTGACTCCCTGGTTCAGGCTATTCTCCTGCCTCAGCCTCCCAAGTAGCTGGGATTACAGGCATGCACCACCATGCTCAGCTAATTTTTATATTTTTAGTAGAGACGGGGTTTCACCATGTTGGCCAGGATGTTCTCAATCTCCTGACCTCGTCATCCGCCTGCCTCAGCCTACTACTTTATTTTATGGTGACAGAGCTTTTTAGTGCTAACCAGAAAGCTTTTTGCCTGTTCCTTATTTACATATTAGTTTTTAATTTCTACATTATAGTGCCAGTTTCCATACATTTCATGATATTTATTGTTTCTGCTTTATGTATACACCATTGAGTCTTATGTTATCTATAAAGTGTTTAAAATGTCAAGAGACATTTTGAATACTTGAGAATATTTTGATAGTCTTTAACTGACTTGTACTTGATACTTGATCAGAATTTTATATAATTAGTATTAAAACTGCAAGAAAGCTTCCATTAATCTGCTTCTAACTAGAATGCATTGCTTGATCATAGAAATCTTCATATTTAAAAATAATTTGATTCTTGGAGTTAAGATTATGTGTACATGATAGAAAAAAATTACCAAATTTCTGAATTCTGTCTGTTTTAGATGCAATATTACAATATCACAATCATGGGCCAGCATGGTTAATGTGATATAATCAATTCTAATAATGGATTAGTGAAGAATTCATGGGATCTGTCCATAATCTCTTATGTTACAGGAAGTTACCAATCCTACCATAAAATAGTTAATTTGATAAAAGTGCAGTTGATCATTTTAAATCCAAATAGATCTAAGTGGACATTGAACCAGAGACACAATATTGATTGCCTAATTTTTATGTTTCTAGACTTTGGCATGTTTTTCTCTGACATGGAAATTGAATATATTTCCGTGACCTTTTCAACCACCCTATGTCTTATTGCTTACCCACTTGATTTAGTTTTAAAACTGGTAGTGACATCTGAGAATATTTTAGCTGACTTAACTCTACAAGTGCTTCTGCTGTCTTAAGATCAATAAATCGTTAAGTTAAATCATTTATTTTCTAAATTTATTTCAGTTTTTAGGGATTATTTTCAACTAATTTTAACTATGCTGAATTAATTTATTTATTTTGATATATATAATAGATATCTTAAGATAGCTCTTTAGCACACTACTATGATGTACTTTTTAAAATATGAATGTTGTTTTTCAAATAATTCCTTTCAATCCCTACAGATATAAATATATAGCTATATAGATATATATATCTCTATATCTCCATAGATATAGATTATATATAGCTTATTTTTTCTTTGTAAGCTGTTAAATTACTTAAAGCATGAAATTTCTTGACTTGTAGAGTGACTTAAAATATGTCTGAAAGTCTGCAAGGCTAATCAAATTTTAGAGTTCTATAAAACATAAATTCCCATTTTTTAACTTTAAGACAGTTTACGAAAACCTTTACACACCAAACTTAAAATTTACATTCCTTTTGGACAGTTTTTACAATGAACTGAAGATGCCAGAGTTAACAGATGACCAGTGTGTCAGTCCTATTTTGCCCGTCCTGCTTGTCACACACTGGTGGATATTTCTCCACTTTTGTTCCACTTTAATATAAAGCACACAGATGTTTCAGAACAAGACTTGACTTCTGACCTTGAGGCTATTAGGGTCAGGGTCCTCAGGGCCTGTGAAATTATCACAAGCTGAGCTAAAGTTTTTCTCCATCACAGGAAGTAACCAGTAAGTAAGAAGTTAAAAAGGAGCTTTGTCAGAGAGACAAGATGGTCTCAGTAAGGGTCAGCTTCTGTAGTCTGCTATCTCTGCAGGAGGCACATGCATGGGAGGAGGAATATAATATAACCACTGGCACATCACATATCTGTCAGGCAACGCCAGGGCTGAGAAGTCTATTTAATGTAATATACGTTGTTTAGGTTCTAAAGTATTAATGGCAATTATCTCATCTTCGTTTTTTTTTTTTGCTACTTTTTGTGAAATAACTTTGATTTGGGGGTATGTAATGGAAGCATACGGATGGTGGCAAATGAATAAAGACTGGTTCCTGACCTCATACAATGGATTCCTTTAAGCAAATAACATTGTACCCTGATGAATTTTACATTATTTTTTGACAAATTTGATTAATATGTTTAGGTCCACTGTGTTTTTGTTTGAAAGGCTTTCTAAAATATAGTATTGTTAAAGAAATAATAAACATTGAAATGTTTTTAGATCCTTTGCTTTTGCCTAAAACTGAAAAAAAATGTTATTCAGTTTTAGGCAAAAGCAAATTTAAAAACTCATGGTGTTAAAATATTGACAAATAGGCAATTTTTCAGGACTTTTCAACATTAACTGTATTGTATGAATTGTTTTACTTTCATTCAAAATTTTAATATTAACTTTACAAGCAAGTAAATTGTCAAGATTAATATGTAAATCTTAAATTATGATTTGGTTTTTTGTCCCAGTAGTGCATTACACATGTCAGACAGTAAATCCTTTGGATTTCAGTCATTTAAATTGCCATAAAATTTTACTTTTGATTAAAGATGACACACACACATACACACACAAACACACACATTTCTTAGGGAACAGTCTTAGTTTGTAGCGTCGTGTTTGAATGCATGGAAATCGTTTTTCTACCACTGTCCTACAAGTTCACATTCTTCGTTATGTCATGAATTTCAAAAAAAAATTGTTTTAAATGTAAATTGTAGCAAGTACAGTTTCACCAGTAAATGCAATTACTTATGCTTTAATATTTTGCTAATTGTTGTTTTCGAAAAGTGAGAACATAATTTACTATTATATCCTATCTTAAAATGTTGTATTTATCCTGAAGAATATCTTATAATCAGAGATTTTTTTCAAAACCAATATTCATTTTATGGTAGTAAATCTTAGAACTTGATTAGATCTAACCTCATTAAAAAACAGTATACATTTTACTATAATAAGAAGAAACATGATATTAAAAATATGCTATTAACTGCTTTTACTCTCACCATATGGTAACAACTCAAATTTCCAATTCTCTGAACTCTCTGTGTTCCTAGTAAAAATAAATTTTGATAAGACAACCCTATTGATTGTAGGATTTAGTCATTAAAGACAAAAGGAAAGAACTGTTTCATCTCATGAATTGATAATGAACTTTTAAAAGTAATATATCTGCCTCTGTTATCTTTTCTGTATACTTAAAATAATGCCAATATGTAAAGTTACAGTTATTAAACCATCATTTACAAAGCCTGAAATTTCTTACAAATTTTACTTTACACATAATAGAATTATTAACCATAATTAGAATGCATTTACCAAATTCATCTGGAAAGAAATCTACAAATAATGCAACTTACTTTTGCCTTATACTAGTTTTAAAAAATTCAGGCTCATTTTTTGAAAATTAACTGTCATTTTAAAACAATGCAGTTTTTGACCTTCTTCATCATCTTTTTCTCCAGCTACTATGATGAAGTGATTTCATCACTTTTATTGTTGGCCATTTCAGAGTGTTTTGCTCTTATCTTTCCAGGCGATCAGTTTGGCCAAATCAAGTAACCTTTAATTTTTTATTTAATTTGGAAATTAACAGGGTTTATCAATGCCCAGTTATTGATCTCAGCACACCTTACCTTCCCCGTTTGCAGTGCTCAATATATCAATTTGAATGGAAATTTCTTTGCTTAGCCAAAACAACAGTGTTCATATGTTTTTATAAAACATGTTAAGTAATTTTAGTAAATATATTTCATTAGTTTATTGAATCATCTCAACTGATACAAATTTTGTGTTTTTCTTATTACTTTTATTTCCTTTTCCATGTTATTATTAGTATATTCCCAACCATCATTAAAAAATCACTTAGAAATGTGTGAAAACAGCTCCTTTTGAAAGTGTATCGCTACCCACTTTTGATTTTGGTTTCTCCATGCTTGTCAGCACTTGATTGGCACCTCACTTGCATGTGAATTAAGGAATGAAGGGAACTCTATTTTCCTGCCATTGTTCCATGCTGGGCTCCCTGGCCTCCAGGCAGCCTAAGCTGCCCTTCAGCAGCTGATAGAGGACTGGTTTTGGACATAGCTGCATGAGGACACTCAACCTCTCTCTACTCTCAGCAGATTTTTTTAAATTGCCTGGAGCATGATTTGGATTTACACTGAAGAGAAAATGGAACTAAAATAATTAGTCTTTTACATCAGCTAACTGTGACCTTAAAGAAGTGTCATTTATATTTTGTCCATGAGGAACAAAGTAAATTGGATATTGGTAAGATATCTGCATAATGTGATCAATGAGAACAGCTAAAAGTTGGGCTGCTGGGAGTCAAAAATTGAGGGAAGTTAAAATAAGGGAAGTAAGCAAGAAAAACTGAATCATAATGGTATCCAGATAACTCAGGCCAAAAATACTCTTACAAACTTACTTTAAAAATCTAGGTAATTCAGTAAAAATAAATTGCCATTTGTAATATAACTTCAAGATACATACTAATTAGTTTTGTTAAAGTTATCTTTTATGTCCAATCTCATTTTGCCCAAATGATCTAGAAATATCTTGAGGATAAAGAGTCTAATACTGCTCTTATCCCAAGTTTGAAAATAATGTATATTACAACAACATGAGTAGTCTTAAATATCTGCACAGTTAGTTGACTAACATATAGAGTTTAAACCTTTTTTTTTTTTTTTTTTTTGAGACGGAGTTTCGCTCTGTCGCCCAGGCTGGAGTGCAGTGGCGCGATCTCGACTCACTGCAAGCTCCGCCTCCCGGGTTCACGCCATTCTCCTGCCTCAGCCTCCTGTGTAGCTGGGACTACAGGCACGCGCCACCATGCCCGGCTAATTTTTGTATTTTTAGTAGAGACGGGGTTTCACCGTGTTAGCCAGGATGGTCTCGATCTCCTGACCTCGTGATCCGCCCGTCTCGGCCTCCCAAAGTGCTGGGATTACAGGCGTGAGCCACCGCGCCCGGCCAAGTTTAAACCTTAACTCTTTTACTAACTAAATTTGTTAATTCTCCCTACTCTGCATTTAAATATTGACTGATTTGGGAATTCTACCTAATCAGTTACTCCACATTAGACAGTATTACTTTTTTCGTTCAGGTGTAAGACTTTTATAGGCTCCTTGTTGCTGGCATGCCCAGCTCTCAGTCTGACTGAAAAGATTGCTTCTGTATGACACACCCTTGTAGGTATAGTCTTTTCAATAAAATAAGAAAATGACTAAACTAAATTATAATATAACTAAATTATCATCATAATAATATCCTTACAATGTTATATGGCAGTCTATGAAATAAGTCTAGAAAACTTTCCATTTCATCCCCAATCGGTTCAGCTTCACCTTTTATTTAATAATTAGCTTACGTTCGCTTGTTTGCATTTTTTAAACTTTTTTATTTCTGAGATAAATTTTACATACTTTTATCAAGATATAATGGAGATTTATTAAGATTTATTGAAATATGACTTACATGCCATAAAATTCATCCTTTAAATAAAATATACAGTTCAAAGTCTTTTTGCATATTTGCAGACTTGTACAACTATCATTACTATCTAATTTTACAACATTTTTATCACCCCAAAAGAAATTCCATACCCATTACCCATTTCTCCCCATACTTACAATCCTGCCAGCAGTGTATGAGGGTTCCACTTTCTGCACATCCTCATCAGCACTTATTATTATCTGTCTTTTTTTATATTAGCTATCCTAGTGGGTGTGAAGTGGCATCTCACTGTAGTTTTTTTTTTTTCTTTTTCATTTCTCTGATGAATAATGATGTTGAGCCTCTTTTTATGTGCTGTTGGCCATTTGTATTTTTTGGAGAAATGTCTACTCAAATCCTTTGCTCAATTTTAATTGGGTTATCATTTTTATTTTTGATTTTTCATAGGTCTTTATATATTGGTACAAATCTCTTATTGATAAATGATTGTGAAAATTTTCTCCCATTCTCTGGATGACTAAGTCACTTTCTTGATGATTTCCTCCAAAGTACAGAAGTTTTAATTTTGATGAAGTCCAATTTATCTAGTTTTTGTTTTTGTCATTTAAGCTAGTTTTTGTATATTGTGTGAGGTAAGGGTCCAATTTAATTCTTTTGAATATGGATATTTAGTTAATCCCAGCACCACTTATTGAAAAATACTCTTCTTTCTTCTCTGATTTGTCTTAGCACCCTTGTCAAAATCCATAGACTATAAATGTAAGGGTTTGCTTCTGGACTGTATTTTATTCCATATATATGCCTGTCTTCATACCAGTACCACACTGACTTGATTACTGTAGCTTTGTGGTAAGTTTGGAAATCAGGGAGTAGATCCTCCAACTTTGTTCATTCTGTTTCAAGATGATTTTGGCTGTTCTAGGTCTTGCTTTTCCATATGAATTTTAGGACTGATTTGTTAATTTCTGCAAAAATAAAAAAGCAGAGATTTGTATTGGGATTGATTAAATAGGTTAATTTGGGGAGTGTTGCCATCTTGACAATCTTAAGTCTTCTAATCCGTGACAATGGGCTTTCTTTCCGTTTATTTAGGTCTTCTTTCAAAAATGCTTTGTTGTTTTCAGTGTACAAGTCTTAAGCTTCTCCTCTTAAATTTATTTCTAAGTATTTGATTATTTTTGAAGCTATTCTAACTGAAATTGTTTATTTTATTTTCATATTCAGTACTAGTAGATAGAGACATGATTTATTTTTATATGTTAGTCTTGTATTTTGCAACCTTGCTGAATTCACTATTTTTAGTTCTAATCAGTGTGTGTGTGTGTGTGTGTGTGTGTTTGTGTGTATTCCTTAGGAGTTTTCATATTCAAGATCATATCATTCGTGAATACAGATAGTTTTACTTCTTCCTTTTCAATCTGGATGCATGTTTATCTAATTAATTTATATATTTTTGTTTTTTTGCCAAATTCCCCTGGCTAGAACCTCTAGTACAAGGTTGAATAAAGGTGGCTAGCATGGACATCCTTGTCTTGTTCCTGATCTTAAGAGGAAATTGTTCGGTATTTCATCATTAAGTATGATATTAGTTGTGATTGTTTTCATTCCTGATAGGTTATTTCCCTTAAGAACCTAGTGTGCTCCTTAATGTTTATATCCTTTTATATCCTTCATGCACACCAAGATTCTATTGTTTGGAAGGCTGCTGAAGTGGAGAAAAATTTCACTAATCTTTAATAAGGATCTTTTTGTAGAATAAAGGACCCATATTACTCCATTGGAATTACCTTTGGAACAGGTTTTTCTTAGTGTCCACATAGTAGATGAGCTGCATTCAGGTCCTACTGCCTTCCCTGCATTGTTTGTAGCTGAGAGATTGGTCACTCTGTCTCCTGATTCCACAAAGACTGCTAGGAAACCAAGGATTGCCTGGCAAAATTAGCACAATAACAAGTTAAGGGGAACTCAAAGGAATTGACATATTAATTTGTTAAATATAAATCATTACATAAGAAATATTTCTTTTTTCCATTGGTATTATAAAAGATCTTAATGATAGATTTTGTATTTTACTGCAAATATGAGACTATGATTGACTATTGTAAGCCTTTTATAAGAAGGAATGTAGAAAAACACATTTCAGTTGATAATAGGGCTGTTTTTAGTGTTCTTGTAACCTTAAAATGATCATTCATTGTAAGCCCTCTCCCAAATAAAATTCCCAGGCACAGTGCACCTCAGACATCTCAAATTGGAAAGGACTTCTAGGGGACAAAAAGAATTCACAATCAAAGCTATTTAACTTTTAAAAGTTAGGATCCAATCGTTATTAAATAATTTATTCAAGTTAACTCAGAGGAGCCAGGTGGATTTAGACTCAAAGCATACTTGATCTTTGTTAAGGGAAGGCTTGAGAGAACAAGAGTGGAAGCCAGATTTGAGTAAAGATCTTATTACTAGAGTTCAGGATAGTTTCAGGAGGAGCTACTTCAGCTGTAGAGGTTGGCTTTAGAGGGAATAGAAGGTGAGCTCTCACCAGGGAGTTATATCAGAGTATGGTAAGCTCAGGTTTGAATCAGGAAGTACAATCTGGTTGTGGGGAACAGAAAATCAAGGCAATGGGTAATGACCGAGCAAACAAAATCTAGTAATTGGTTTTAAGAGTGCCTATTTTCCTTCACCATATCCCACCTCACTCCTTTATAGGAAATGAAGGAGAAAAAATAAACAGGATCCAGTACCAGGGGGAGGATTCACAAGGTAAAAGGTTTAAGGCTTCACTCATTGCCTGGGAGTTTCAAAATGGGATCTTTCTCAGGGAAAGAAATAAGCTATTATCATAGGCGTAAAAATCAGAAGGATTGTGAACAAATCAAGGCAGAAGTCTGATTATGTGGCTTAGATTAGAATGGAATAAGTAGAATACTGCATTCTGAGGACATGTAAGATACTCTGGACTGGTCTTTGGTACCCTGGTTATCTGGTTTCTATGGCAATAAAGGAAATGGAGAGGAAGGACTATCATTTTTCCTTCTCTTATGGCCAAATGTTCACTATGGGTCTAACACCTTCTTTGGTCTCAGAGTAACAAAGTGATACTCTTCTAGGTCTCTGTAATTTTAACTTTCAGAGTTGGAGATTTTTAACCCCTACATGTATATCAATTGTTCTCACTTCATATTTTCTGTTACAGGTTTTTAACACTTCTATTGAATGAATTTAGCTTACAATAAAGCCACCAGAACCACAAAAGTTTGACTTTGTGGATTGAAAGTGTTTCTTGGCTGGACCTTGAGGCTCATGCCTGTAATCCCAATTCTTTGGGAGGCTGAGGCAGGAGGATTGCTTGAGGCCAGGAGTTTGAGACCACCCAGGGCAACATAGGAAGACCTCGTTTGTACAAAAATTTTTTTAAAAAAATTAGCCAGGCATGGTGGCACATGCCTGTAGTCCCAGCTATTCGGGAGGCTGAGGCAGGAGGATTGCATGAACCCAGGAGTTTGAAACTGCAGTGAGCTATGATCACACCACCACACTCCAGCCTGGGCAACACAGCAAGACTGTCTCCAAAAACAAGCAAACCAAAAAAGTGTTTTCTTGGAGTTAAGACTGAATATTACGCCCTCAAGGCAAGAAATGTTTCCAAAAATTGTTATTAAAGATAATTACTGATTCAGTTGAACATACCCACTCCATACAAGTACTGGGGAAACATTAGAACACATGGTCTCTGGCCTCAAGAAGGTTTTAGTCTAAATAGGAAACATTTTTAAACAAAGAGAATAATATAGGGGATATTTGTGAAGTGGGATAATAGCGAAGAGGTCATTATGTTAAGGTCCACAGTATAAAGATCCATACAGTAAATTTGTCTTAGAGGTAAGTACTAGGAAAAACCATTTGTATAGATGAACTGATATGTTCTTTTTGTTAGAAAATAATAGCTATGTAATACATTTTTGCCTTTATCTCCCAGAAACCCAGAGCTATGGTTAGTTTTCCATTTCAGTAATTTATTCTCAGCCTCAGTCTCCTATTCATTATCCTAATACATAGTTATCTTTTGCTTGATGCAACCTTAGAATTCTTTTTTTAACTGGTAGAAAATAAATAACAAATGTATTATTTTCATGGGTTTATGCCATGCTGCCTAGCCTGGCTGGACATACAATGAGTATATACTCAAGAAATAGTTGTTGATTGTAGATTTATTTATAAATGAATTATCAGGACCAGATCTCAAATGGTGCTATGTTGGGTCCAAATGAAGAAAGTAAGGCCTGAGCCACAAGATAGAGAAAAAAGATGGACAAGAGAACAAAATTGATCATTTAAGTTGAAAAACAGGGACATCAAGAGTCAGTCTCACTGAGTGCACAGAAGGTACAGTCTGTGGCCCTGAAATTTTGAACACTTAGAAGCGCTGTTAATGGAAATTGATTAGGAATTCAACTGAGAAGATACTGAAATCTCTAATCAAAGAAACTAGCAGAACCTTATTTGAACCCCAAATTTCAGTTATGTTTTCTGTGATTAAGTTAGGCTTAAGTTAAGGTAAGGCTCATACCCTCTAGAAATTAGTTTGCTTATTTAAGTATTTATTCATTATCTTGGTCATTTTGGGCTCCTATAACAAAAATATTATAGAGTATGTGGCTTATACAACAAACATTTGTTCTCACAGTTCAGGAGGCTAGGAAACCCAAAATAAAAGTACCAGCAGATCCAGGCTCTAGTGAGGGCATACTTCCTGTCTTGTAGACAGTTGCCTTCCCACAGTCCCATCTTCTTTCCCTGTAGGTCAAACTGACAGTTTTCCTGCTGGGATATTTGATTAAGTTTGTGGTTCACGCCATGCTAATCTCCTTATCAAATGTTTGTTCAGCCACATCCTTAGTGCTCTCTTCAGAACATCCTTTCTCTTTTGTTCAATATGGATAGGCTGAGAATTTCCAAAATCTATAAGCTCTCTATCCTTTTTTCTTAATAATTTCTTGCTCATTTCTCTCTTCTTACATTTTCACTATAAGCAATCAAGAGGAACAAGCTGCTCCTCTAACACTTTACTTAGAAATCTCCTCAGCTAAATATTCAATTTTATTGTCACAAGTTCTACCTTCTAGAAAACACTAGAACACACAATTCAGCCAAGTTCTTTGCCACTTTATCTCAAGGATTACCTTTTCTCCATTGTCCGGTAACATGTTTCTCATTTTCATCTGAGACCTCATCAGAATTGACTTTAAGGTACATATGTCTACCAATGATATAACAAAAATGCCATAGACAGGTGGCTTAAACAACATTTATTTCTCTGAGTTCTGGAGACTGAGAAGTCCTAAATAAGGGTGTTAACATGGTTGGGATTCATTGAGGGCCTTCTTGGTTTGCCTATAGCCATGTTCTCATTGTGTCCTCACATGGCAGAAAGAGTGAGAGAAAGCTCTAGTCTCTTCCTCTTCTTATAAGGACACTAACCCCATCTTGGGGGCTCCATCCTCATGGCCTCTTCTAAATCTAATTACCTCCTAAGATTAGTGTATTCAGATTTCTTCTTAGTTTTTCCATACCTTATATGAATTTTTCTCATGAAGAAGCTTGTTAAAGAGCATTAGAATACAAATAAAAATTGCTATTCAATATTTTAGTGACAATTTTATAATCGAGTCAGATGATTTAAATGGATATGTAGGCACAAATAGGCATATTAAACTTCTAATATTTGTGCCTAAATAGGCATATTAAACTTCTAATATGCCTATTTGTGCCTAAATTTCCAGAAGTCTCAATATCTAACTTCTATTTTCTCCAAATTTCCATACTGCATTCACCAGACAACTGCATTAGAAGAAAAACTTTATATTTATCTTTCTGTGCCGGGCAGAAAGATAAAACACACTCAACTTTCTCCTACCGTAGAAATCCCCAGTCTTGACTCCTTTCCAGTTGGGATTCTTTATAAGTATAAATGTTGATTTTCTAAAGGTTTCTAGTAGCCTGTCTGCCGACAACAAAGAAAACTTGACTTTCTCCATCAAATGATGCCCTGTAAATTGTGAAAATAAAATAATGTGAGATCAGTGGCCTATATATTACCATTGTGTTACTGCTCAGTTTATCTCAGGAAAAAAATCCTGTTCCAATTATCATTGATAGTGTAATGAAAGTTTCTACCACTGTTCTAGGCTCAGCCTCAAATTTTCAGGTTTGCTTCCTATTACACATTGTAGGGCATCTATCCAAATATTAAACATATTTATATTATGTCTACATATTAAATATGTAGTAATATATTAGATATCTTTAGTATATTGTAAACTTTAACATCTGGTAGCATGTGTGTTTACTCTAAGATCTCACAGTAGATTCTCAGAACAGATACCTTCATATCCAATTACTGTGTTAAGAGTTCTGCCTCACTCTCATAGAATTCTGTCATTGCTATCAGTATGAATACATGTAATCTGTCAGCCAGCCATGATGGCCTAAGACATGACTGGGTCAAGAACAGTTCTAAAAAATTCATAGTAGTGTCTTTAAGGATAAACTTTTAAAATAGAACTAGGATTTATGAGTCTCTTGCGAATCAGAAGGCAGTGGCATCATCCTTATGCTGATCATCAGCATCTCTCATGCTTAAATGATAATGCACCGGGCACTATCCTAAGCAATTTGTATACTTTATCTCATTTAATCCTCATAACACTTTTATGAGATACTGTTATCCCCATTTTACAGATGAGAAACATGAAATATATATTTTTCCCGTTAAAAGTATGACCTCACTTTGTAACAGTTAGGTTTTTGTTTTCCTTCTCATCAAGTACCTGTGAAAAATAAATAAATAGTGTATTGTACTAATTGTAGTGACTTTTAACCCTCAGACAACGTCCCGGTTTTTCACGTATTTCAGGGTTCAATTCTACATTTCTCTGTTGAGTTATATGATGATTTAGTTTTTATTCTCTCTTTATTGCTTATTCTTTTTGTGCCTTCCAACTAAGGCTTTCAATTTTAATCGATTTTTCATTACTCAAACTAGTGAAGGGGAAATAAGGTGTGGAAAATGTAAAATTAGACAGTCTCCAAATCATTTATATTTAAATTTTGAATATGTTTTGATGTGGTGCTCTGGAAATTTAGTTTAAGCAGGAAAATTGAAAACACTTGATGAGGATCTGGAAAGTAGATGAGTTTCGTTGGCCAAACCCCTGGTTGGCTCTTTTTTGTGGCTCATTCCATGCTTCAAAGAGACAGCGGTCTTCTAATACCAACTAAATCGAATTGACCTTTTATATCTCGCTGGAACAGTCTCTGCTATCAGCATTTGCTCCTTCATATTATCCATATCCATAAGTTACACCTGGAAGTAATAGCTATGTAGAATAGCACCTACCAAGTACCAGGCGTTGTTTTAAGTGCTTTACAAATATTAACTCATGTAGCCCTTATAACAACCCTGTGATGTAACTACATTATTATCCTCAGTTTACATATGAGGAAACTAACCTCAGTTGCATATGAGGAAACTAACCCACAGAAATATTAAGTAACTTACCTAAGATCACACAACTAGCTAGTGAGGGAGCCAGAATTGAAACCCAGGCTTTCTGGCTCCAAAGTCCATGCTCATAACCACCATGCTATACTGTCACTCAAAAAAAAGAGCACTAGATTAGGCAGGATTCTTGTACATTTGGTCATTAAATATTATTTATGCCAGGTACAGTGGCTCATGCCTTTAATCCCAGCTCTTTGGGAGGCTGAGGTGAAAGGATCAGTTCAGCCCAGGAGTTCAAGACCAGCCAGCCCCGAAAACATAGTAAGACCCCATCTCTACAAAAAATTTTTTTAAATAGCTGGATATTATGATGCATGCCTGTAGTCTCAGCTACTCAAGAAGCTGAGGTGGGAGGATTGCTTGAGCCTAGGAGCTCAAGGATACAGTGAGCCGTGGTTGGACCACTGTACTCTATCCTGGATGACAGAGCCAGACCCTGTCTCCAAAAGCAAAACAAAACCAAACCATTATTTAGCAAGGCATTGTACAACCTAAGTTTAACTCTATCAGGTAGGTATGATGAGCCTTGTTTGACAGATAGAAAGATTGAGGAATCTATGGAAGGTTGCACAAAGGACACAATTAGTCCAAGTCAGCCTAGTCTCAGAACCAGTCAATTTACCCATGACACACACTTCATTCTAATTGGGTTTAAAAAAAAAAAAAAACGAAACCTACACAACGAAAATTTGTAATAAATTTAGGATATTTTTAATTGGTGAAGGAACTCTTCATTTAAAGAAATTTTGCCTTTTTATTTGTAAAGCACAAAATTCTTTGGCAGGCTAAACAACATACCTGATACCTACCTTTTAAATTGAAAATGTGCTTTTAAAAGCAAGAAGCACACATTGTACAATTGATCTCAAAAAATACAGAATTTCATTACTCAATGCTTATCACAATGTCAGTACATATCAAATATTAGACGATAATATTCTAAAATTGTTTTTCTTTTATTTTGTCCCATATATTGGAGAAAATATAATGATTTAAATATTTTAACAAGACGTGAAACCATAGTTGCTTGGTCTTTTGTATTTTACTTACTGTAAATTAGAGTTTACATTTCACTGTGAATACCAGACAACTCAAAATTCCTATATTTGAAATTAAAATAGGAAAAAGGGAAACATTTGAGTCCCTATAATTAACCTGCTACTTCATGCCTTTCTGATTTATTATAAGCACTTCATCTGATACCTAATACTTGAAAAGCTATAAAAGAGTATTATATTACTTTGATTTTTTTTATCTCTATGCTTTCCCCACATAAAATAGTAAAGTTTTTTTAAAGCTTTGAGTCTAAGAGGATCAAATGAATGACGTGTTTAGTTATGCCTTAGGGAAAAAATCTTACTAGGTTAAACTGAAACTTAAAATCTTACCAATGTAGAAAGCACTAGAAATGTTACAAATAAAAAGTGAGCTTTGTTTATCCTACATAGTTTCTTTTTAAAAATATTTTATTTATTTTTCAATCTTTTAGGTTCAGGGGTACATGTGCAGGTTTGTTACATGGGTAAACTGCATGTCATTGGAGTTTGGTGTACAAATGATTTTGTCACCCAGATAGTGAGCATAGTACCGATATATCGTGCATAGTTTCATATTCCTTTCCACTAGTTAAATAAATCAGTGTTTTAAGATGTCTACATCCTTTTAATGGCTAAGTAAACTGCTTCAAATAGTGAACTGTACAGTAGAGGACTGATTTTCATATTTTATGTAGTGTTTTGCCAAGGAATATCCCATACACCAATAGCTAAAAGAAGAATCATGTAATTTATTTTTAATATTAGAAATATTTGCTACATACCTGATTGAAAGTACATCTACAGCTAAATTTTCAAATTTAAAATTCCAGAATAGAAGACAATTAAAGTAAATGTACTAATAGATATTTACAGTTTTCTTATTTGCTTGGTAGTATCTATATTATAGTTGCTGGCATAATTCCTGTTTAAAATATTTTGATTTTTTAACTTATAAAAGGCTCTTTAAATCATGAAATTCCTAAGAAACAGCTGGTTTTAATAAAAACAAAAAATAAAAATATTTAGAGAAAAATTTTACACTCAGTTATTTATTATTCCCTTGAAGGCCTGATAATGGAGCATTTTTGATACAGCCTTATAAATTACCTGACTTGCCTTCAAGACCCTTTGACAGGGATAGAGAGCTTTGTATACTAACTTTGTGTACTAACTAGGTCTTAAGGTTATTATACATTCTAATCAGGTTTTTAAGAGATTCATGGAGATACAAACATTAACTTTAAAAGAAAAACTGTTCCTGTATCAATACATTAAACACTATAGAGAATAATCTTTGGTGATAGGGTGAGTTTTTAATGAATGATGACCATAATTTTACATTTTGAATGATTTCTCCCATAACATTTTTATTTTTTTCTTTGTTCAAAAACTACCTGGGATTGTATGTGGGTTTTTTTTTTTTTTAGATTATTTCCTGTTCTCGAATACAAACATACTTAAAACTTAACCTTCTGAAATGTCAGCAAAATTCAGCTATGCCAAGAAATTTAAGAAATCAGAATTTTATTTGCACAGTCTTAAAAGTAATGCTGAGTATTTCTCTTGTGATATTTTCTTCCATTTTGCTGCACTCCAGATCCCAGGAAGAGTTTTTAACTAGCTATTAAAAATAACCCATTTTAAGAATTCGCGGGCAGTATGAGATATTCATCAGTATATATTTACTGTCTGAAGCCGATATAGCCGTAAGGTTTTTTATATCCAATTGATCTATTGCGCATGTTCCCTCCCTAGGTTGCAGGACGTGCTTCTATTTGCATAAGGCCCTGGGCAAGGTTTTTTCTTGCATTGATTGGCCTGTCCAAGGCAGCCTGATGTGTTCTTGCATTGATCACTTTGTCTTTTCTTGGAAGACAGTGTTACACTGAGTTCATCTCAAACATTCTAGGGAGAAGGTAAAACTTTACTGCAGATGTCTCAATTTTATTCAGATGTTTCTTTTGAGTATAGGCCCTTTTTGCAAGGATAAGTATTGCTTTTTTTTCCCCCTAATTTGGATGTTTCTGCAGTTTGAGTGCACTGAAGACTAGATTATATTTGAAAAAGCTACGTTAAAGAAAATTGCTAGAGTATATGCCAGTTATCTTGTACTATTTTTGTTTTTAAAACAGTGTATCTTGCTTCCAGCTTGAAACCATTTTCTTTAAAGATGATCTCTTAAACGTAGATGTAAACTAAAATTTACTGGTGTTTGCAATAGGTTACCACTTGTCTTTACTAACTTTATATACATTATAGATTCCTTAGTTTCAGTGGGACATGCATTGCTTTATGTGTTTAAGAAAATGAGGAGTTTGATTAGTTTCACTATGAAACAGTGGTCCAGGATGATTTTCCTGGTGCTATTCATTATTATAAGTAATACTAATATGAATAGTACAAATTTGTCAAATATGGAAATGATTAAGCAGCTATATATCAATTATAGGTGAAATATATTTCGTACCATAAAATAGTAGTCTGTTACTTGGTGACAATGGAAATCTGAACTTGAGCATTTTTCAACCAAATCTGTGGGAAATTGAGCAATGAATGTTTTACAGCTTAGCACTCTTTATTGGCTGGTCCTTAAATCAACATTTATATGATCTGCCAAAAAACATATTTGCCTACACAGCTAATTATCAAGAAAATGCCCATTACCTCCAACCTATTAGCTATGCATTTAGTGAGGAACTGGTAAGACAAATGTAGGATTCTGTCAAGATGTAGGACAATATCCTCCTCCAGACCAGTTTTCTGTTTCATCAAAGCCTATGTGAATTTACAAAAAGGTTACTTTTGGCAAAGATTTAGAAATGTGTCATGGCTGAATTTGATTATTGTGTGGTTGTAATTAAATTCTGCTACCATAATTCATAATGGTTTTAGAAAGCATATTTAGTAACACCTACTACAAATCAGGACATTTTTGTGTATACTGTTTTTTAACAGGTCACTATTTCTGAATATTGTTAAAGTGTAGAAGTTAAATTTTACAGAAAAACATGACATCAGTGATTTCACTCAGTGGTATCACTGGTGTCACTCTATATCATAAGCCATAGAAATCTCTTTCTACTTTAATAATTCTGTTTTGTAAAATTTGATACTAAAATGTTAGAGATCATATTTCTTTTGTTTACTTTGGAAATTCTGGAATTCATACTTTAAAAACTCTGGAGCGAATTAAATGTTTATTATACAAGAGCAATAACCTCAAGTGGTTAGATAATGTCATTTGCTGTTTTAAGGTGTCCTGTAAAAGTTTCAGCAATATATAGCTATATAATGAAGTATATACCTGAGTTGTGTGTAATTTATCTAGCCAGTGTTTATAAATAGAGTTACTATTCATGTAAATAACATATATGAGGAAATATGATCTTATATTGAAAAATTAGATTTGTGAGTGATCTAAACTTAGAATGTCTAAAATTGTTAATAGTATATAAATCATAAAAATATGAAAAAATTATAAAAGCTGTAACTGTTTTCTGGAGATTTAGTATATGTTTGGTAGTTTAGGGAGAAAATTATGAAAATACCAATGAAAAAGGCATATAAAAGTATTAAGATGGAAAACCTCTTCAAGTACTTAAGAACAGCTCTTCAAAACTAAATCCAATCTGTGTAAACACAGATATTACGTTGCAACTTTTTTCAGTGCCTCTCAACTTGGTGCAAGTGTAGCTCTCTGAATTGGAATTGTATAGTGTTTGTACATTTTTTCCAGCTGAAATGGAATGTACATCATCTTGCATAATTTACTTGTCTCTGGTGGTTAAATTTGCGTATCTGAATGACTGAATATATATCTTAAGCTTCTACTAGATATAAAATAATCTCATGAGTGGAGGAGAGCTCTTTTACCTCAGAAATCAGAAGAGTCTATATATTTCACAGCAACTCATGATCAAACAAGCTAATTCAGATGCTGGGAAGTGCTTTCGCTTAGCTATGTGGAAGAACCATTGACTGTATACAACCAACAAGTGTATGGTGCAACAGGAGATCCATTGAAAACCGTTTATAGGACTGAACGACAACCCCAAATGCAAGTGACCATGAGCAACTACAAATAGGTATACATATGCATTTGAGCTGAACAGACTTTCTGACATATAATTTAGTCAAAATTGCTGTATTTCTTCCCCTTAAATTTATACATAATCAGCTTCTTGTATGGACCCAAATTGGAGAAATGTAATTCAGTAGTTGGTGAGAAATAAAGGATTGTGACCTCTGTGTAATTATCAGGAAGGATGCTGTATGATGCCTGCTGTTTTATTACTGCTCAGGTCATACTCAGGACCTTACACTGGAAGAACACCTTCTCCAGACTCTTCTGTGCAGGGGAATGGTGATCTGAGTCTGAAGTATGTTCACCGTGCTTACACTCTAAACATTTCTGGGGAAACGGGGGTTTTGCTGTGAGGTACTGGGAAACATGAAAAAGGTAAAATAGCTGGTAAAAACTTGTTCAGTGAAATCCTTTGCTTTTTCCTTTATATAGTGAAGGAGCAAGGAATTGCCAAAAAGCTTTCAAGCTAATGGATTTTCAAATATAGGAATAGTAATTTTTAAATCATAGAAGAAAGGATTCAGTGATTTCAACCCCGTTCTCATTATTTCCCTTTAACAAAGCATCATATATTTAGATTGGTGATTTCTAGAAGTTACCATGTTTGTATTATAACATATTTGAATCTGAGAATTTCTAATAACACCATGGTAACTTTGTAGTGAAAATCATTAATCATTAATTATATATTAAAATGCATCCCCTCATAAAATCTCTAAAGATGTATTTTTTTCTGTTTGACTACTGAAATAAAATTTGATATCTCACCACCTAGGACATGCTTGTAAATTTTTTGCCACTCTGTATGATATTATTATATATCTCTGGTTACTTAAACTTAAGTTTTAATTGTAACTTTGATTTTTAACTTGCAGTATATGTACAAATTTCAAATTTTTCAAAATAATCAAAAAATTAAACATAAAAAGATTACTAAAGATATACTTTGTTTTAGGCAAAAGCATTTCTTTTCTGAGGAATAAAACAGATATATTAAAAAGTATATAATTTCTGAATAAAAAAAATCTACTAGCTGTCTCTTACTCTTCCTCAATCCCTGCCCCAAGGTAATATAAATGAACAATATATATATTGGCTAATAAGCAAGCATTAACTCCCACTGGTAAATATGAGCAGTTCTTAATGTTAATTAAAATCAGTAGCTAAAGAAATTATATCAGAAGACTAATATTTCCTTTATGCTGTATTTTTTCTTTACAACTTTTAATAATATTGAATTATTATTGAAAGTATAATACAGTTATATCATCTTAACGAAAATGTTTTTGGTATAATAAGAGTCTATTAAAAATGCATTATGCTCAATTATTTGGTATGTATGTATGCTTGCTTAAGTATATGGAAACTCTTAGTGAATAATCCTTGCAGATATGATATGCATGAACAGTTGTTTACTTATTAGATACTCAGATGAATATACATATGTTAAGGAAATATCTTTCTTTGAAGTTATTTATCTTTTATATTCTTTTTCTGCCTTTAAGCATTTTATGAGAATCCTGTCATTTGTGTCTGTTAAGAACACATACGCAAAACAAAATTTGTATTTGAACACTTTAATGTAGGCTTTAGAAAGTTAAAGCTAAAAGCTCACATTTTAAAATTTATCTTTGTATGGTGTCTGTGTACATATATTTCCAAACTCTTTGAGATGTTCTAGAAAGGAATCAAATGTATTTATGGGTATGTTCATGCTGGTAATAGAGTACATGGGTTACAAACCTTTTCCATTTCTTTTGACCTTGTAGGAATAATAACAGCTCTGAATCACTATTTCTCTCCGGCTGTGTACAAACCTAGCTCCACTGTCTTCATAATCCTAACCCAGCATCTCTTTCATGCAACAGGCATGGACCTGCTTACCTTTCCCGTTTTCTACAAAAAGAAAAACCTGACCAGGGACGTTTATTCATACATTCCCCAAATCAACACATAGAAATATTTTGGGTTAAGTCTAAAAAATTCTTATGTCCAAAAATGGAAGCTTTTCTCTTTTTTTTTTTTTTTTAACTTTTAAGTTCAGGAATACATATGCAGGTTTTTTATGTAGGTAAACTTGTGTATGAGGGTTTGTTATACAGATGATTTCATCACAAGGTCTTAAGCCTAGTACCCATTTGTTATTTTTCCTGATCCTCTCCCTCCTCCCACCCTCCACCCTCCACCCTCCAATAGGCCCCAGTATGTGTTGTTCCCCTCTATGTGTTCATGTGTTCTCATCTTACATCTTAGCCTTTAGAATTTATCCCTCTTTTTGGGTGGGGGGGCGGTGAGGGAGGAGAGGGAATTGAAGTAGGAGAGTTCTAGGGTGGGTTTAGAAATCTCACATCACTTTATGCCTATATTAATAACAAATAACCACCAAGTAGTCTATTGTTGAATTAAAGATGAAAGCTGTAGTATCCATGAAAACAAAAATTTGTAAAAGACATGAAAGAACATAACAACTTTATATGTATAATGTTTTTGTCTGTTGAAGAGCTGCAGAAAATTACTTGATGTTTAGTGCCAGCTGCAGTAGCATGCTAAACTGCACATGTTCCACCAAGGAAAAAACAAGTCCTCATTCCTCGTGGATAGGCACACAAATTTGACTTTTCACTATCACCTATCTAAGCAGGCACCTGTTATTACTCATGTGGTATAATACTCCATTTCCATTGGAGATTTTTGTGAGAAGTAACTCATAATTGTTAATGCAACAAAATGTGTGTCCATACAATTAGCATGAATGTAAATATGTCCATCTACATTTTATTTCCTTCTGGATGTTAGCGAAATACTGTTATATGTAAGAAGGGGGTTTTTGTTGTTGCTGCTGTTCTTTAATTCTTAAAGATTTTAGTAGTCTTGCCATCATTATGCTTCTTTAAAAACTCAATAGTAAGCATTTTAGAACTTTTTCTAAATTTGAATAGTTGAAGTTTCAGCTTCTGTTTTAACCAGAATTTATTGTAAATGGCCAAAATACCTATCTACTGCTAAACATCATTCTGGAATTCTGTTTATGCCTGCTAAACTATTGCATTTGCATCTTCATCCTTTTAAAGATGGAGCAACTTAAATGCACATAGCAATCTTTTTATAAAAGCATAATTATGTCTTGTGCTTTTTAAAATGAAAAACTAGTCCTATATGCATTATTGGTTTATGTGAAAAAGTAATTCACAAATGGACTTCTGTATAAATACATGTTTTAAATAGCCTTGAATTTTTCTTGCCTTGTACTTTTTATGTAAATAAAATTAAGCAATTGTTTATCGTATTAATTTGCTTTTTATTAGATGCTTATTTGATACATACATACCCAGTCCTCCTGGCTTTTTGGTTTTTCCTGTTTATCATTTTTATTTGTATGGATGTTTTCTTTTTCATTGTGATTTCTTTTTTGCCCCCATTTATGTGTCATCTATGACAAAAATTGCTGTTAATAAATAAGTGACAGTATTTCACAAAACAAGAAACTGACTTTACCTGTTTGGCACATATATCACTCTCTAGATACCTAATTTGTCTTTTAAAAATAACTTAAATTTTCTTATAAGATTTATCAGAGAAAATATATCTTGACTTAAATTTTATAAAATATATTTAGTGTTTTTTAATATTTGAATTTTGTGTTGCATTTTTTTCCAAAGAGAGGATGTATATTTATTTGTTCTTCAGATTTAGGATTCAATATTCAGAATATGCATGGTAAAAGTTATAGCATTTTCAAAATCAGTCTCTAATACAGGCTAAATATACTAATTTCCTAATAACAATAAAAACAGAAAATGTCTAAAAATTCTTTACTGGTTGAATTATAATTTTGGTTGTATTTGAAAACCTTCAGACTTCGTTCTGGCCATTCCACTTTAGCCATTCAGGCCATGCTGCCTGTATTGTGTATTCAGCAGTTCCTATTAGATGTCTTCACAGTGAGTGATTCTGTAGGGCTTGCTGACACCCGCTTCATGCATGGCCTGCTGTGCTGGGTGGAATTTTTTTTCTGAGCTGCCTGAAACATTAAAGACATCTTGGCCATGTCAGTCTGTGTACAGTGTGTGTGCATGTGCCCTCACATGTGCACATTCCTGAGCAAGTCAGTATTAAATAAATGATGTGGGTGTGCTTTTATATACATGTAAAGTCTAAAATTTGAATAATGATGAATTTATCATGTATTAAAACATATATTTTTAATAATTTAGTTCAGCTAACATTAGCAACTTTTCTCTAGCTTTTATTGTCTGTGGTTATTGACACTAGGGGGCACTGCTTATCCTTGGTTGCATCTTTCTTCAGGAAATGAATAAAAATACTCGGCTGGTTTCTGTGCTCTCACTTTAATTAACAATTGAATTTAGAGAACTCTAGGCTGTTTGATCCTTTGTTATTTTGGTTTTATTTCTAATGCCTATATGTAGTGCTAACAAAGGGGGTTGGAGCTATTGGTTCTCACAAATAAATAGAGTATCCAGTGTCCCATACAGTAACTTTTTCTTCCATTGGAAATGTCATTCTTGGCAAAACCAGAAGGGCAAGTTTGCCCAGTGATGAGGCTTAGATCCCTTGCCAGCTGTGCTTCTAGCCAGCAAGTGTGATGAACAGCTTTAGAAATCAAGTGAGAGAAAGCATTCAAGAGTTAGTGTGATTCATTTGGATAAAGGTCAAAAGAAAGATAAGCAAAGGATTAAGAATGAAGAGCACAAATAGCAACAATTTGTACCTTTTTACTTATAAAAATTACTGTCAGTGATCCTATTTGTAATTTTTCACATGTTCGTAGTTCAAAAGTAACTTAAAGTCTTTTAAAACTATATTAAAGATTGCATTTCATTCTCTATTTCAGCTGATCATTTAAAAATGAAAGAGAAAAATTGATGTGCTACCATTCCTAACTCTATTTATAGATTAGAGCTGTGGCTACTAGTTGAAAATCAAGTGACAACATAATTAAGTAAACATTTTCAATCGATAATTATAGCTTGAAATCTTTTTAAAATATAAAGATTTGCTCCATTTATTTTTTAGAATTTTAGTGTCCATTCTAAGCCTAAATATTCATGTTTCAATCTATAGCACCACCTGTAATCTCTAAGGACATTAATAACATTTTTGTTTTAATACGCACTTTTAAAATAAAACTCCCTCCTCTCCCGTCTTGTCCCCCATCTTCCAAATGTAGAAAGCAATCAGTAGCCTAAGGAATATAGACAACTATTTTACACTGTTCTCCTAATTAATTAAACATGCCAGAACTGGTAAAATTTTATATCCTTCTCCTCTAGAGTTATAGCTGTATCTTTGTGTGCGTGTGTGTGTGTGTGTGTGTGTGTGTGTGTGTGTGTGTGTGTGAAAATATGCAGTTAAATCATGCCCTATTTTTATTAGCTAAAGGTATTGATTTTTAACATGAGTAATTTAAATAAAGTATTCTTGCAGATTTTAAAGTTTTCATAGCATATGTTTTACATCCTGAATGAAAAGAAACAAAAAAGATTACCACTATAGTCAAGCTTGGTCTAAACACCAGTAAAATAACTGAATATAAACACATGGGCAGTTTTAAATAAAATTTTTAAATACCTTTGCTTTGTAGCACATTAAATTGATTTCTCCTATATAGGTACTTCAATTAGAAATTATTTAAAATTTTTCAAAGAGAAATAGATATGTGCATTATCCTAGGTTGATTTTTTCTGTTCGCATTTTTCAAAGTGATTTTTTGATAGTGCTTATTGAATAACATATACTTTTGAATATATTTTTAGTGACTAGTTTTAAATAATTACCTGGAAAAAATATATCCCAAGATAATATACAGTTCGGGGGAAATGCTGTTATTTTTCATGCTGGTATTTTTTTCTAATTATTTCTATATAACATCATAAAAACATTAGCCAATTTAGGTTCATCTCAGATCTTTAGTAATAGATCTGTGACTTACTAATAATAGATACTACCTAGTTAGACCTTATCAGTTCATAAACAAAACAGTGATTAATCAATATGGGGCAGCTTTTGTTATATTCAACGCTTTATAATTTGAAATGTTAGTTTCCTGGTACTAACCATGTACAAGCAATCAGATGCCAGCCCATTTATAATAGGTTTTTCTCCTCCTAGCAGGATGTTGCTTTTGGCTATAAAAAGTTAATTTCAGATCCTGATATACTTGCATTAATTTTTGAAACATTGGCTAGGTGTAGTACAGCAAAGAATAACATGAACATCACACCACTGTGCTGTAGCTAATCGTTTATTACCTCAAGCCAGAGAAGCAGTGTTAATGTGAAGGCTATAGTATGTCTATAGAAAAGATGGAAACTGACAGAAAGGGTCTTAGAGACAGCTTCGTAAGAGTCTTGAAAGAGGACCATAACAAGGAGAGGGGGAAAGAAAACAACAGCAACACTATCTAAAGGGATATATTTTGATACTTACAGT
Organism: Homo sapiens; assembly: GCF_000001405.40. NCBI lineage: Eukaryota > Metazoa > Chordata > Mammalia > Primates > Hominidae > Homo > Homo sapiens. Next base: position 93,799,289 of record NC_000005.10, on the reverse strand, counting down.
TCTGGATATCTTTGTAATTTTTATGATTGAAATAAATTATTATCTTGAATAACAGACCCCATTCTCTATCCAAACATCTTTGCTTCAGAATGGGAAAGCTCATTGCAATGTTATCTTTTCAGGACCATAAGTGTTCTCTAAAAAACATATGACTGAGATGTTCATCAGCTGGGATGTTTGTTGTAATTCACCAATAAATTTGAATAATTTGACATAATTTCTGACAAAGATGAATGTTTCCACCTTCATTTCCATAGTAAGGCAGTATCTACATGAAGAAACCAGTTTGACTGAGTTGACCTGCCAAATTGATCAGAAAAAGAATAAAACAACAGCCATTCAGTCCATGGAATTAAAGCAGTTTATGTGTACAAACCACCTTGGTGGCCTGTCAACCCAAGACTTACATAAAAGTAAATCACTTTGGAGCCTGTAGTATTACAAGGAAGGAAAGTGCTAGGACATACCATCAAGGAACTAAGGCATATGTGCTCTTAGGTAGTGCACTGTAGCATAGAGTGAAGGAGAGGCATTATCAGTTGTGGAACTTGGAGTCTGATACTGGTGTTATCCCATGTCACACTAGAGGTGACACCTAAGTCACTTTATCTGTTTTCTCATCCATACAAAAAGCAATTGGATTGGATAATTTCTAACATTCTTGACAATTTTTCATTCTTTTCTTCTATGTGATGGTACAGGTGGAGCCATGCCATTATTACAAATAATATTTAAATGGTTTCAGTAAACCATGATGTTACTTATAAATTCACTTTTATATAAAAGGCCATAGGAGATATAATTGCCCTGTATTTATAACTATTAGAATGTAAATCTTAAGGCAGTAGAGTCTAACCCACCCACTCCCAGACTGAATAAAAAGTGGCATCAATTACCTTCTAGAAACATTTAATTGAATTACTGGAAAATTCAGCAGTGAGTTTATTGTCCTTTTTTGTTTGAGGAGAAAGGGGACTAATAGATCATAGTATGTGCTGGTGGTTGTGTGGGAAGAGACAGACTTAGGGAAGCCTTGCTTTTCCTGACAACTTAGTGACAGAAAGTAGTATGGTAGATTTCATCATGACACCCACAATAAGGAGTGGCAGGTTGGGTTCTTATGGAAGTGGGTAAGGAATCAGAACTATGGAAACTCAACATTTGTTCCTCATTCCTATGCATAGTCTTCTTTTGTGCTCTGACTGTGGTAGTATCTCCTTTTATTATACTTCTGATTACAATAAACGTTCCCCTCAAGGAGTCCCTTTTATTCTTTTTCAATCTAGATTTCTTCTTTTGACTTCTCTCAAATGTCATTCACTCTCCTCCCTTCAGACACATTGATGTTTTGTTGATATTTAACCGCCATCCTTTCATACATATATGCCTAAAAGAACAATATAGAAGCTATCTAGCAATTTATCACTTCCCTTGTACTGTACGTCTTCAGTAAAATTTTTCTGAAAACACCTCTCTTGTTCTCCCATTTCTGTGCCATGTCTATTTCACTTATAATCACATTAGATAAAACCTGTGTGTAATTCTGTTTTGTATATTGCCTTTTATATTATTAACACTCAGTAAAATAGTTTAAGAATTGCAGTCTGTAGTACTGTCAGTCTGTCACCTTTCAGGCACTACTTTAAAATTCTGAAAATGTAAATGAAGTAATTAACCTGATATGAAACAGTGATACATAATTGACTTTCTAAATTAGTGAACTACTGACTCTTTTATATATTTGCCATTTTATAGAATTTCATATTGGCTACTTAACAAAAGGTGTGATGTAACAAAAATTCTGCCTCCTACCATAATAAATACTGATGCTTATTAAACACTCTGTACTGTGCTTCCTAAGTATATTTATTTTAGAATTTTGCTGTTTGAATTATTTCATACTCATGAAATTGAGGCAATACTTAATGATAATAGAATAGAGACTCTGAATCATTGACTCAACTGATGGAATGTCCTCCAAAGAAGTGCTAAGGAATAGACACATGAAAGAAAATGGAATTTTTTAAAGTAGCCTAGAGAATAATTCACCTTCACTCACACATAAACGCTTCCTCAGTGTAAATTTTTCAGTGCTCTCATGCATCAGAGCTGTCAGATGTCTAAATGACGGGTTTCAGAGTTTTCCTCTTCCTGTTAGTGATCTGAAGTGCTACTCCAGTATTTTCCATTAGGGTGGATATTGATAGAGGAAACTTGTTGTATAGTGGACTGTTTATGGTTCACTAGTATATCAACTCAGAAGTGCTCTTTTGTTACATGTAGTGTATATACATGTTCTCTATCTGTGAAAGGAAGATGCAGCCATATACATAGAGGTAAGTAGCTACTTTAAATTCAATCCTGTCTTTTCTTCCACCCAATGTTTATATGGTTTTGTGCAGTAAGTGCAATCCCCAAAAGTCCTATCTCAAATAAACCTTTCAAACCATTTATTTCTGCAGACTTTCATTATTTCAGAAATGTGAGATGTGCCTTCATAAGAAAAATGTTTCCAGCATGTAATCCAAGTCGGATTTTAAAATCCCAACTTAAAGAATTGTCCCACATTTGTTGGTTGGGAAGTGTTCATTTAAACAGCCCTTAAAAGTTAGTTGAATAGAAGTTTCTTCAAGCAACAGTATTCACTTGCAGGGAACAGAAGTTTCAGGTATTTAGCATAAGTTCCTAGGTAGAAGAGCCATCTGGAGATCCTCGTTCAAATATTTTCAAACAATATAGAAGGCCTGTGACTTATACTTATTATAATGATGTCACTTTCTCATTTACAGATGGGTGTCAACCTCTCCCAGTATCTGGCAGCTGTAATAACCCACAGTTGATTAACACATCCTGTCTTAAGAACATTTAAATGGTTTTTATTGAGCTGGTCAAGAACCACCCCCCACCATATAGGCCAATCACATTAGTGCTATACCATTTCAGCTTCATAAACCTGAGCTTACATTGAAGAAATGTGATCAAATGAAGATTACCCTGAATTTCTAGAGGCAAAAATTTAGAAACATTTGAGGGCATAAAACAACTAAGATTGGAAAAGAATCAAAATCTCAAATGTCTTTAGTCCCCAAATTTATATCGCACAGTCTTTATTTTCTTTGTATCATAGGGAATAAAGGCTGAGATTTGAAAAGCCGTCTTGTTACTTTTACAGTGAAACCTCTCTGTCCATACTTATCCTTCCTTCCCCTACCAACACCATCAGGTTTCAGCGTATTACGCCAGATGCTAAGTAGTGATGATTGCATACTTTATTTGAAGTTTGGGTTATTTTAAACTTAGATGCATTTAGTTTTGAAATCACAGGTATAACTTGCTTTATCTGACATATACATTTCATTTGAAATTCAGAAAATCCAATCATTCCCCATGGATTTATAGGATGATTTTTGAAATTTGTGATTTTGATTTTTTTTTTTTTTTGCTTTTCAATAGTCTTCTGAAAGCAGACCTCACATTCTTTTAGCTCTGTGTTTTTCTCTTCATAATCCAACATTTAGTGGGTTAATATGGTGTCAGTGTGTAAGAGGTCTGAAATCTAAGATCTAAGAAAAACCTACTTGATCTCTTAGCTATTAGTGAGTCAAATCATGATGTGATCTTGAGTACATGAATAAGACAATGGAGTGTTAGCAGGTTGGAAGGAAAATTTAGATTTGAATGTAGAGGATTAAGATGGCAGATGGGGGCAGGACTAGTATGCAGCTCCCACTTGGATGGACAGAGCAGTGTGTGGAGGCTCACATCATGAATGTATGCTCCAAGAACTACCACAGGAACATACCAAGAAAGCCAAGAGAATCCACAGACCCTCTGAAGGAACTGGATCACTGCTGCAGGCTCCCTGAGATGCTGAAAAACTGTGAGTCTGCGTGCCTTCTCAACAAAAAGGCTCATGGTCTGGGTCAAGTTCTCAGCCCTGGTCACCGGCTGCCTAGAAATAGACTCGGTGCTGTTGTGGGGCATGGTGGGAGTGAGACTGGCCTTTAGGACTGTGGGCCGCATGGGAGCGGGGTGAGGCCTGTGACTGCCAGCTTTCCCCCACTTTCCTGGCAACCTGCATGACTCAGCAGAGGTGAACACAATCCCCCTGGGAATATTCCTTCACTGGACTGGTAAACACAGCCCCACCCCCCATAGCAGCTGCAGCCAGCCTGCCAGAGGAGAGACTGAGCTCAGACACACCTATCCCTACCCCCACCTTGTGGTCCTTCTCTACTCACCCTGGTAGCCAAAGACAAAGGTCATAATCTCTTGGGAGCTCTATGGCCCTGCCCACCGCCTGAGTAACCTGAATACTTAACCAGGTGTCCCTAGGACAAGTTTAGATCCTGCCTATAGAACCACAGCTGATGTGCTCTTGAAAGTGCCACCTCATGACTGGAGACCAATCAACACAAAACCAGCACACAAAACACAACCAAGGACCCTCACAGAGTCCACTTCACTCCCTTGCTACCTCCACCAGACTAGGTGCTGGTATCCATAGCTGCAAGACCTGAAGATGGATCACATCACAGGACTCTTTGGAGACACTCCCAGTACCAACCAGAGCCCAGTAGCTCTGCTGGGTGTCTAGACCCAGAAGAGCAAAAACAACTACAGTGCAGCTCTCAGGAAGCCCCATTCTTAGGGGAAGCGGGAGAACACCACATCAAGGGAGCACCCTGTGGGACAAAAGAATCTGAATGGCAGCCCTTGAATCCCAGATTTGGACATAGTCTATCCAAATGAGAAGCAACTGGAAAAACATCTCTGGTAATATGACAAAACACGGTTCTTTAACACCCCCAAGAGATCATACCAGCTCACCAGCAATGGATCCAAACCAAGATGAAATCTCTGAATTACCAGAAAAAGAATTCAGAAAGTCAATTATTAAGCTAATCAAGGAGGCACCAGAGAAAGGTGAAGTTCAATTTTAAAAAATCAAACACATGATATAGGATATGAAAGGAAAGTTCTTCAGTGAAATAGATAATATAAATTAAAAACAGTTACAACTTCTGGAAATCAAGGACACACTTAGAGAAGTGCAAAATGCACTGGAAAGTCTCAGCAATGGAATCAAACAAGCAGAAGAAAGAACTTCAGAGCTTGAAGACAAGGCTTTCGAATTAACTCAGTGTGTCAAAGACAGATTTGAAAGTAGGGTAAACAAATGCTATAATTTCTGTTATGGCCTGTGGTAGACACTGTGATGCACTACTCAGTTGCACCTTCAATAAAGGACTTAACTGCCTCAGCCCTTGGGAGTGCTCTCAGCAGACATCCTTCAGCTGTCAGTCCCATCAGAGATTGCCTCAGCCACTTTGGTGCCCATACTCAAAGAACAGTGTGGTAGATTAAAGGCCAAGCCATCTAGACCCAACTTGGAACAACTCTGAAGGGCCATTTTGGGTTCTGAGCTCCCCAGGGGTTATGCAAGTCTGTAATGGGACCTGCATGTCACCTTAATTTCTCTCTCTGTTCATTCTTGCCTCATTCCCCTCCCTTCTTCAGATGTTGATTGTAACGACACACCTTAATATCCTGCATGCTAAACGTTGTCTTAGAGTCTTTCCTAGGGAACCAACCTGTGATGTAAGTCATTTCTAAATACATGAAACCAGACATTACTCTAGCTTCCTAACCATTACCTTCCCTGATCCATTTCTGTAAATAGCACTTTCATCAGTCCACAAATAATTTTTGAGCACCTGTTATTTGCCAGTCATTGTGCAGGGAATGAGAATGTGGTGTTAACAAATATGGATTTGCCCTCATGGAGGCTACATGAGGGCAAACAAATCCTTACTGGTTTTATAAGTATTTCAGAAGAAAAAAATACAGGATATTATGTACAAATAGCCATGGTACAAAGACGGGATCTGGAGTTAAAAGATGTAGGCTGCCTGCAGTGACTCACACTTGTAATCCCAGGGCTTTAGGAGGCCAAGATGGGAGGATTGCCTGAGGCCAGGAGTTCAAGACAAGCCTGGGCAACATAGTAAGCCCTTGTTTCTACCAAAAAAAAAAAAAAAAAAAAAAAATTAGCCAGAAGTGTTGGTGTACGCCTGTAGTTGTAACCATTCAGTAGGTTGAGGCGAGAGGTTCACTTGAGCCCAGGAGTTTAAAGTTACAGTAAGCTGTGATCCTACCACTGCACTTCAGCTTGGGTGACAGAGCAAGACCCTGTCTCTTAAAAATAAAAATAAAAAAATCTAGCTATGCCACCACTAATTATGTGAATGTGGTATGCGTGGGTCACTTACTCTCTAGGCATCAGTTTCCTCATCCATAAAACTGGTACATAATCCCTCAGCTACCAACCTGTGTACTTAAAAAGGAATTGTTCTATCTAATGAGATAATCTATATATAAATACTCAGAATATGAAGGGTCTCTGTGGAATGTATCTTTTTTTTATTTTTTTATTATTATTATACTTTAAGTTTTAGGGTACAGGTGCACAATGTGCAGGTTAGTTACATATGTATACATGTGCCATGCTGGTGTGCTGCACCCATTAACTTGTCATTTAGCATTAGGTATATCTCCTAATGCTATCCCTCCCCCTCCCCCCACCCCACAACAGTCCCCAGAGTGTGATGTTCCCCTTCCTGTGTCCATGTTTTCTCATTGTTCAATTCCCATCTATGAGTGAGAACATGCGTGTTTGGTTTTTTGGTTTTGGTGTTTGGTTTTTTGTTCTTGCGATAGTTCACTGAGAATGATGATTTCCAATTTCATCCATGTCCCTACAAAGGGAATGTATCTTAACCTGCCTTCTTTCCTAAAATATGAGTTCTACCCAGAGGTCAGAAATCATGCCTTCCTCTGCTTTATAGTTATAATCTATTACCTAGAATTTTTTTCATAAAGTTTTGGTAAATTTTCTCACTTTTCTATCTAAGACTGTGTCACCATTTCAATGTCTTCTTCGCTGAGCCTGCCTTAGTTTTTTGGTTTGACAATGTTTAGTCCTAACTTACACTTTTATACTGTATCTACTTCACATATATTCATTGTAATTTTCAAATCTGTGTTTTATAATATCTTGCCTACTCTGGTCAGTCATATTACATAATAAAATGTTTTAATCAAACAAGTCAACATGATGATCACTTATACTATTTTCTTATTATGCAAGTGACCCCTTTTACTTTTTCCTTACAATTAACTTGTCTCTTATATAATAGATACTAGCTGTTTTCTTGATTGGTAAAGCAAGTTTTTCAAACAGTCGCCTTCCCCTCCCCACCCCCAACCACATCACGTATTTTGTAGAGCATGTGTCTTCTTTCTCAACTCCCAGATTGTCAATCACTTAATGTTTGCTTTTTTTTTTCCTTTTCTTTTTCTTTTAAACCTATCTTACACATGCTTTTTTTGTTGTTGAGGGAGCTTGCACGTGGCAGCATGGTCTAGGCAGGAAAGGAAAAGGAAGTTATTACTGCTCTCTTCTGGCCGCCTGCAATAATAAATCATAACTTGCCTTTCCCTAACTGGTGGCTGGAGACTTGTCTTCATAAACGCATGTGACCCAAGAAGTTTCAGTTTACATACCCTATCCCTTGGTGTTCTTGCCTATGGAGAGCCTTTTCCTTCCTGAAATTAAACAAAGATTGCAAGAATTGAAGCTAGGGCTTCAAAGCACAGGAAAAGAGAATGTTGTCTTATCCTGTTGCTACAGTGGAGATCCAGCTGGCCATGTTTACCTAACCAGGGTGTGAGACTGCTTGTCCATCTGTGAGGGGCTCAGCACAGTGCTAAGGCTTGCTCTTAAATTTTGAACTTAGAAACCTTTTGAAATACCTCTTGTGTGTTTTCCTACATAGTTATTTTTAGACAGTTTATACGTTTGGGGTATATGCTGAAATTGCTAAGCATTGAACAGAAGGAAACTTTATAAGCCTTACCTGTTTGCCAGGGTAGCATTCAACATCGTGTTATATATACGATGATCAAATTATTTCCCATTCAAGCCAGAGCACTGTAACAGGGAAAGGAGACTCTATTATTAATTATGCCAGTTTAATAGTCATAAGCCAAGACTGTTCTGGGCAAACTGGAATCTATAGTCATCTTATTTGTACTTGATTATTTCCTTTACAATATTTAATCGAAACCAAATCACTTTACAAAATCAGGGAAGTAGGGGTGGAGATGGGAGTAGAAGCTGTATGATACTTCAAAACTGGTATCCTATCAGTATGAATTTTGATGTCACTGAAGAGCACATAGATACCACATCTAAAAGGAAGGTTACATTTTAGAAATTAGAGATGAATGTCAAGGTAATAATAATAGCTGACATTATTGATTTCTTACATGCCTTTTCTCCTTTATGCTTCAGCAGCCCTATGAAGAGACTACTGGTATTATTCTCATTTGGGTGTTCTTACAAAGATTAACCAAAAATAAAAATCTAAGCACGTCTAATTCTAAAGCCTATGCATACTTTTAACTATAACACTATACTGCCTTCCTCTGGACATACTCTGTATCTCTGTGATTATCTTTTTTTTTAAATACAGTCAGTTACACTACCTCTATGTAGAAAACAAGGTGGTAAAGGGACTCTTTCCCCCAGCGTGGCACTGCTGAGCCATGGCTTCGTGCTTTGTTGCCAGCTCAAGCCATTCTGAAAGGGTTCACTGGTGGGAGGAAAGTAGAACTACCACAGTATTGCTTCACCAATTCTGTTTTCATTGTCAAGTGCATAGTGGTATGACTGGTCTAGTGTGCTGATGACAGGATTTTAAATACACACAATCATCAGATCTTAGTACTTCTTAGTCATGCAGTTATAGAAGTCTTGCACCATGTAATCAAAGGAAAAAGCAGCCCTTCGTACATGTTTTCTTTGCAGGCCTGTGCCTTTTTTAAAGTAATATTTGTCATTAAGTGCATTTATAAACTAAACTTCTATTAGCTTCCTCTGTATGAGTGAGGATAATGCACTTTTTAAAGATTCGGAGTAGTTTACATGGCATATTTTTGTGGGATGACCTATTATAATTATGTACTGTGTGCCATGTCCTCTGCTAGTTGCTTTTCAGTTTGTTCATTTAGTACTCAAAATAATCCTATGACTTACGGGGATTTGTCATCTCCCATGACATTCACCTGATAAAGCTGAAGTACAGAAAAATAATTTACTCAAAGTATCATTACTAGAAGTGGCAGAGCATGGACTTGAACCCAGGGAATCTGACTCCACCGTCCTTGAATTTAACTATTGCACTTAACTTCCGAAGCTTCTACTTTCAAAATAGAAATTGTGAATGCAGATTAGAGGTGTGAACTGCAGGTAACAGGAGAGTTGAATGTCATACTCATCTGAATTTCCTGCTGGGCAGTTTGGTCTTCACATTTTATCTACTGAAGTGTGTGTATTTCATTATAATCACTAGAGGTGCTAGTGCCTAAGATAACAGAATCAAGGTTTTAGTGTTACACCAAAGATGGTATTTGTTCTCTTAGTAGCATTCTGTTGGGATAGACTTGTCCAAAAGAATCTTCAGGAAAAATAATACAAAGTAGTCTCTGACCTTAACAGAAAAGACTGCCAAACCCAGAGTTGACTGATAAGTCATCTACAGGGCACACTTGTAACCAGGTGGGCTTGGATAGCACAGGACAGAGTACCATGAAATGGAGAATATGCAGGCAGAAGTGTAAAGTGATAGGAGAGGTTTGTGATAAAATATTTTAGTTTATTAAACCACATAAAAACTGCACTGAAGTAGAAGCACTGAATGCAATTATGATCTGCTTAATGAAATTATGAAAAGGTACCAGCATTTTATACTTTTCAAGCCTTTGAAACAACTTAATCTGAAATTTTAACTAAAGGAGCTCTAGAGGGAGCTAATCTATTTATATACATGTATTTTTTTTAAAGGCATCTCAAACCTCAACTCTGCTATTAACCGGAGTGATGATTCATTCATGCTCATACGGTAGTAATGATCCTTGGATTTATAAACGTACAGTAGTGTCAGATCCTAATCTGATGCAAATATGTGTTATCTGATTTTCTTTTCAGAATATTATTTCCTGTACAAGTAATTCACATGCTGTAACCCTCACAGTACATATGTGTAACACATGTCATAATTTAAAAAGAAAGTAATGGCTTTTGCTGATAGAAGACTTTAAAATATTTTTTCAAAAACACATTTGAAACATGTGATATATCCAAACATAGCTATGGGTCTGCACGCACATATATACATCCCTACCCCAACCCACACTGGCTCTTTTAGGAATTCCCTTGGACTTTAAAATATAAGAAGTAATTATTCTGAGTGTCATGGCTGCCAGGCTACAAATACAGGAAAATGAAATTATGCATCAGCTTCTTTTAGGTTAGGGTGAAGCCATCCCAATTTAGAGTTTCTTTCTCCTTTAGGTTGGGAGATTGAATTGAGTTGGATTTACAATTCCCATAACCCAAGGCCCTGGATTAGAGATATGCCAAAGACTTCATGGCAGAGCATCCCTATAACATCAACATCTCCCTGCCTTCAAAGTAAATTAAGGCATCTCTCTACCTTAATTCAGTATAAGTTAAATTAAATCATAATTCAATTTGGCAGAAGTAAAGGAATCTTTGTGTTTTCCTTTGCGGAAAGTCATTTATGGTGGAGTTCTGGAAGAAATGAAATCCAGAGAAATGCTAAAACAGTTTTTAAGCACAAAAAGGAAATTGAAGAATGCTTAGGATGACATGAAGCATTTGAATTTGGCCAGGTATCTGTGAAGACAGTAGGCAGGTACATCATTTGAGGACCTTAGAGAAAGCATGGTGCGGTAAATTAGGTGGACAGAAAAGGTCTGCAGGATTTCTGGAGGGAAATGGTAGCAGCCCTGTGGAAGGCCTGCACTGCACACGGAAGGGAGCAGAGGTAGCCTTGCTGCCTCCGGCCCTCCCGCACCTCCCTTTGGTCCTCTGGTCTTCATCTCACCGAATGAATACTCCTATTATACTCAGACGAACTCATCCGTCTTGTCACTGTTAGTTAATTTTTTAACTCTTACTCTGCAAGAAAAAATAATGATAAACAGGATTTCCCCCCCTCAATTTCAGCCCCATCAACAATGTTAATAGTAATATGAACTTGCATACAGATGGCATATGCTTTTAATCTGTTCAAAGTACTGTACTTGATATTTAGTAGCTTAAACTTTTGCCAGACTAGGAGCATGCCACATAGTGAAGGAAAGAACAGATTAATTATGTTTAAGCTCAAGTGAAAACACTATGAGTGGATAAATGGGTAGAATTAAGGAAACAAAACTATCAGGTAACAGGGCCACATTTTTTTGTTAATGCTGAAATCATCAATATGATTTATAGGAATATCTAATTTTCCCTCTTACCCTAGACATTATTTATTTTAGAACTGTAATAATTTTAAAGTGCTATTGTCAGTTTCTCCTCCTGGCTGATTTCTATCTTGGCATGAATTTTAGAATTTCAACATTCCTTACTGATCTGGATCTTTTTACCATTTAAAAAAATGTCCAAGTGAATGAAATGCTGTATATATGAAAAGGGAATTAATCAAATGAGTTTATTTATGTAAGAGTGTTATGTATTACTGAGAAGTAGACCTCGTGTAATACAGATGAAAGAACATGACATATATCCAAGGTCAAGTCACAGTTTTATCACTTTGTGTCTGGGTGGCCTTTAACTGGTTTCTTAAACTGTCTCAGTTTACTTATCCACAAATAGGGAAAATAAACAAGTTTTGCCTACATTTCCATATTATTTGAGAGTAAAATGAGAATTAATTTGTATTTTATTTTGAAATTTGGAAACTGCTATTCAGATTAAAATAAATATTATACACAGACAAAAGCAATATTTTAATTGTAACTTTACAATGTATATCCTATTAAGCCATGGAACTTTAGGATGTTGATGTCCGAGGTATCAAAATTTGTCATCACTTCTATCCAACACTTGATACCACACTGAAGATATTATAACAAAAATGGTATGGATGTTGACCTTAAGTGTAATTATTCAAAGGGATCTCTTACTGGATATTTCATAATTCAAGAATATATGGAGACATTTAGATCACATGGTCTTATCTTTTTTACAGACTAAGATTCCTTTGAGAATCTCAAAGTTAAAGATCTTCTCCTCAAAAAAATATTCATATGCCCATGTAGAAAGCATTTTACAAGGAATTTCAAGTTGTTTAATATCAATGGATCCTAATTAAATACTGCCATGTCCACCTTAGATTGTTATATAGAAGGACTTTGATGATATGGCTTTCCTCCCTTTCAGAGAGGGTTTTCCAGACTATTATGGTCTTCTGTTATAGACCATATTATAGAAGGTTTTTTCCTGCCCAGCTGTGCTTCTACTCATTCCTTGCTTTGGCTATATTTCATCTAAGGTCTGTCTCTTAAGCAAACCTGATTCTGTCTCCCTGCACCATTGCCTGTCTCCAGTATTTTTCATCAGTACTCATTCACAGTGGAAGAAGTAAGGGGGGACTGTGACCCAGACTAATAAATGCAAGAAGCAGAGGGTCTGGACAGAAATGGCAGTTGCAAGTAGTTCCAGGACTACTAAATTAGGCTGCAGCAAGGATGGAACAGAGGTAAATAGTCCAAAAAGTTAGACTGTTAACATATTCACTTATTCACAATTCTACTAATCCTAAACAGTCAAATATTGGAAATTCTTTGCTACTGGGTTAATTTGTAAACCGCTCTTCAGTAAGATCTTCTGGAATTTGGCCATTCCTCACCTGTAATAATAAAATATGAAAGTGATTTTTAAAGTGTAAAATGCTATAACAGTGTAAGAGAGTATCATATTGGATTATAATGTGACAGTGTGATGTGATGATAAATTGCGTGTTATCACTTCCACTGTATGAAACGTCAGCCAGAAAGACAGACTACAGATATTTTCCTCTAGTAGTCCCTCTAACAACTCTGTATTTTTCCATCTTGTAGAATTTTAATCCCCAGGTTTTCTACTTTAACACTAACTCCTCACCAATTCATTACTTTATTGTATCTCATTTCACAAATGGCTCTCAAGATTTAGTGTCTTCAGATGCTGTCTTAAATACATCTGCATATGTTAACAACAACCACAACAAAATCCGAGTCAAATATTTTAAAACGCAAACATATCCTTAGAATACCAGAAAGGCATGTTCTTATTTTGTACTTCAGCAACAATTGGTCTAGATCTCTAAAAGTGTTACCATTTAGAAAATGAGAATAAGGACGTATAATTTCTTCATAAGCCAGTTGGATTCAATATTGTGGAATTTGGGGTTTTATCATCTAATGTTGGTTTAAACTTTTATATGCTAGTGCCAATGTGATCCAATGATAATCTATTTGTAAAATAAAATCTAGAAGAAGGTAGCATACTAGTTAATAATTCATGTGAAGTATTAAATTAGAGTATTATTTTATGCTTTTAAAAGTATTATTGGTATTGCAGGATAAATTTTTGCAGCAATATTATGATGTTGGTAACCAATATTGATTTTAAGATTTTTATATTATATAAGCAGAAAACACAGGGCACAAAGACTTGAGGTGCAGAAATGTTGCTGAGGCAGCATTAACAGTGAGTTGGGTTCCCATTAGGTAGTATTCATTGAGACAGCATGTACATATGCTGGGCTTAAAAAAAATTAAGAGAGAGACATTTTAAATTCAGAACGCCAACAGGCATCCTTTGGTATCATAAGCATGGTGTGCAGTGTTCTTTCTCTGTATGAGCTTTCATCGCCATTCAGAATTCTCTTTTTTGAAGTGCACTATTATATTTTTGATAGACAATTCATAGAAATTAACAGCAAATGATAAAGAAATTGTTCTTTTTTTCAATAAAAGAATTTAGAGGGAGAAAAGACATTTGAAGCAAAAAAAAGAACATTATTATGAAATGCAAGGTTAGTATTTATGATATTTTAACTGCAATTTTTATAGCTTTCTTACATTTATTACACCAAATTAGGGCCACTAGTGTAGTAGATTAAAACCTTTTTTCATTTCTTTTGATGTAGAAATTTTAGCTTTTAATTTCTTTATCTGGCAGACCACTGATGAATTCATCGGTATCTCCAAGCCAAGCAAATCTTTTTTTGTTATTTTAGAAGCTATTTTGTTTTGTAGAAATAGCATTCTATAGGAAGAAGTTATTATAAAATATAATGTTTGCCAACATAAAGAAATATGCTGGAAAGCAAAATTAATAGGCTTTGAATGAAAAATATCTTTGTGGGCATTTAAAACACCAAGGAATTACAAGGCCATGGTGAAGAGCAGGCTAGTTAAATTGGAAAAGTCAAAGCAAGATATCTTTCTTTACTGATGTGCCATCTACTGAAAATTAGTAGAAGTTAGTCCTAAGTAGCTAACAGTGAACCCCGGGTACTAACTTCCCTGAAGCACTGAAATAGGAAGTGGTGGAAGAAACTTGTAAAAGAAACCCTCAGGGATTCCCCTGTGATCCCTTTAATCCTCGAATCGTCAAACCACATGGAAAATAATAGAGCTGCGTAGTTCTAAGACTTAAGTGGTATTTTTTTAAATGAAATATTAGGTCTTTTCACATCTCTGGACAAGAATAGGGTGTGTGTTCAATGCAAAAAAAGAGTAACTTTGAACCAGAGATGCATATTGCTTTTTCATTGTTAATATAATATTATTGTTATCTCTGACTAAGCAGGCTGCACCCAGTAGGAAAAACAATTATAGCCAATATTTTATTTTCCTTTTTTAAAACAGATGATTCAACGAGAAGCCGATGTAAAAAATAAGGTAACTGCTGTGGCATTGACAGACTCTGTTCACAATGTGTGGCATCAAGAAGCTGGCAAAACGATTCGAGAATGGATGAGAGAGGTGAGACTTGGTTTTTTTTAGTGCTGAGATGAATGGGTGTGAGCCTTTATATCTTGAGCCCCCACCAACCTGTAACACCTCCCATCCTCAAACTCCCTTTCTAGAGGCAGAACATTGAGAGGAAATAGAAAAAGCTAGACATGTTTAAAATAATAATAGAAAACCCATGTGAAGACCTAATATTTTTGAAAGCTCCCCTCCCTTCTTTTTGGTTTTCTATAGAACACTATATGTGTATAGTGTTCAATCTATGGTAGGAACTTTGGCTGAAAAAGGTCATGGAGTTAGGAGATTCTTATTCCCTGTTGCTTAATTTTTCCACCAGTTATTTAGCATTGGTGCTATTTAGTTACAAGAAAGACGCATAAGGTACACTTAGTCTCCTTTTCTTCTTGAAAAGGCAGTCAGTATGTGCCACTCTTAAATGGATTGGCTGACTACATCCAGTAGAGGGAAGAGAAGAAAAAAGCTGAAATACTGTTATGCCAGACCCTTGAGCTAAGAGAAACCCAGGGGCTAGCCATGGTTCAGCCTCAGGCTAAGAAAGCTTCTTTTCACACTTCCTAAGGGCTGGTGAACCTGAAAACTAACAAGGATTCATTGAATATGCTCCCATTATTACTATTTTTTAACTTTCAGCCTGTTATATTTTTTGTTCCTATGACAGATATCCAGCTGAAATTTTCTTTTATTTTTATTTATCTTTCTGATATTCTAAGCAGTTGGCATCAGCCACCCCGTGCCATAGTAATTGTTTAATCAAATCATTTACTTATATAGTATGAATGAGCTGATTGACCTTCCTGGTTTTCTTCCAGTTTTTCTTAATAGAATACCTAGTGGCTCTTCAGCTGACACCATAGGACTGTGTGGTGGGTAAATTCTACCAGCCTTCATGGTACACTGTAAGGACCACAGAGTTAATGTTTGAAGAGATAGAAAAATTAGGCTATATAATTTCATAGTAGCATTATATTATCACCAGTCTGTTATCACTTGTTTTTCTGCATTAGAAAAAGTACTTTCATCATACAAAAGTCTAAAATATTTTTATTCCAGTCCTCTTAATACTATAAACATGTAAAGATGGGTTTTTAAAATCTTTTCTAACATGTAGGTGTTTGATGACCATATAGAAAGCTCCTAGCATTATATAAATAGTAAGGTTAATAAATGAGCTGTTAGTAACTTTTCCCCGCTCACATAACTAGTATGGAATTTGATACTTGGCTCAAACTAAAAACTTCCTTACTCATGAGTTTTTCATTCCAGATGACAAATATAATAAAATTTATTTAGGTTTACTTTTTAAGTATTTCTAACTAAGGCTGGATTAGGTGTTCCTTTCAAAAATCAGAATATATTAATCTGTGTAGCTTCCATCTAATTGACTAGACAGCAGTTGAATTCATCATAATTTAATCAAGCCTGCCATTAATTTCTTTGCAAGCATAGCTTTTGTAAAATTTATAAAATTTTATAAATGCCCTAGTTCTTGGATAGTTCTCTCAGTTCCCTCAATTAAGCCTTAGGGAAGCAATTTGAAGAGTTTTGTATTTTGACCTATCAAAATTGAAATCCCAGCTCAATCACTTATATAACTTTGTAGTTTTAAGCAAGTTATTTTATCTCTTTGAGATTCAATTTTCTCATCTGTAAACTATAATACCTACCTTGCAAACATGTTGGAAAATAACGTATGTAAAGAAATAGCACAGTTCTTGGCACTTTAAAAAAGTTCGGTAAGTTATAGCTGTTGTTGTTACAGTCTCACTCCCAAATAATATAAAACACATAAACTGTATTCATCTTTTGTTTTTATGAATGGTTTGCCTATTCAAAATATCTTACAAAGGGAAACGGGGTGACATACTGGAAGTAATTCAGAACAAGCATATGGGAGAACTAAATTTTGATAATGACTCTGGCTAGGTAAATCAATAATTAAGAATCTAGCATGTACCAGCTAATTTGCTAAGATTTATAATCCTGGAAAAGCCACTTCATCTTTTTGGGTCTGTTTCATAATTGAATTGGAGACAATAATTCCTATTTCATCTACTTCATGAAATATTGTGAGAACCAAAGGTGATAATCAAGGATGAAAGCTCTTTGAAAAGCAAATGGTACTATATAAAGAAATGAGATGTGTTATCATTGAAAACACTATAATATCTCAGAGATTTAAATTATTAGATCATGCCTGATGGAGCTTTGAAATTACCCCTATTCAGTGATCTTCTCCAAAACGAGAACAAAAAGAGAGACTGTAAAAGAGTATGACAGGTATCCTTGTAGGAACCTACCTAAATGTGTGACCTCTTGTAGAGAAGATTACAGTGTGGGTTGGCAAGATAAGAGTCCAGTGTTTCCAAACTCTCAGGATGAAACTTCCTCCCCTTTTCTTTCTCCTTTCTTATTTCCTATCCCCTCTGCAAGACTCCTTGAAATAACGAAGAGAAACAAACCTGGATTACAGGAAAGGGCTGTTGTCTTAAGCATGGGTGTTGGAAAGTTTTTTGTTTTGTAAGTATGTTTAAGTATGTTTAAATTAATGTGATACATGTAAGTGGCCAATAAACATATGAAAAAATGCTCGACATCACTAATCATCAGAGAAATGCAAATTAAAACCAAAATGAGATACCATCTCACACCAATCAGAATGGCTACTATTTAAAAAAAAAAAAAACAGATGTTGGCAAGGAAAAGGGGATTCATATACACTGTTGGTGGGAATGTAAATTAGTACAGCCTCTGTGGAAAACAGTATGGAGATTTCTCAAAGAGCTAAAGATAGAAGTACTATTTGATCCAGCAGTGTCACTACTGGGTATCTACCCGAAGCAAAATAAGTCATTTTACCAAAAAGACATCTATACTGGTATGTTTATCGCAGTGCTATTCATGATAGCAAAGTCTTGGAATCAACCTAAGCATCCATCAAAGGATGACTGGATAAAGAAAATGTGGTACATATCTAAATATATGTATATAGATATATATACTGTGGAATACTACTCAGCCATTAAAATGAATGAAATTATATCTTACAGCAACATGGATGGAACTGGAGGCCATTATCTTAACTGAAATCACTCAGAAACAGAAAGTCAAATACCACATGTTCTCACTTCTAAGTGGGAGCTAAACTATGGGTACATATGGACATACAAAGTAGAATAATAGACATTGGAGACTCCAAAAGGTGGAAGGTGGAAGATGAAGGATGAGAACTTACCTATTGAGTACGATGTACACTATTTGGGTGACAGTTACACTAAAAGCCCAGACTTTACTACTATGCAGTATATCCATGTAATAAAAATGCACTTGAAACCCCTAAATCTATAAAAAAAAGAAAGGATGTGATAAAGTTACTGATGTTATGTATCCATTTTATAAAAAGCTAATTTTTAAACCTACCAATTTAGCACACAGAACAAAGGTTAAGTAATATATTATTGTATTACTTGTGTAATTTCTAAATATTAGTAACAGTTTCCTTTAAAGAAAGAAGGTCAGGCCAGGCGTGGTGGCTCACACCGGTAATCCCAACATGTTGGGAGGCCAAGGCAGGTGGATCATCTGAGGTCAAGGGTTCAATCCAGCCTGGACAACATGGTGAAACCTCGTCTCTACTGAAGATACAAAAATTAGCCAGGCGTGGTGGCAGGCGCCCGTAATCCCAGCTACTCAAGAGGCTGAGGCAGGAGAATCACTTGAACCCAGGAGGTGGAGGTTGCAGTGAGCTGAGATCATGCCATTACACTCCTGCCTGGCCAACAGAGCAGAAGCTCCAAAAGAAAGAAAGAGAGAAAGAGAGGGAGGGGAGGGGAGGGGAGGAGATGGGAGAAAGAGAGAAAGAGAAAGAAAGGTCAAAGAGTAGTATACTTTGAGCAATTACTCCAAGTGAAACCTATCCTGAACTAAAAGACCACGCATAGATGCTAAGCCAGCCTCTTGAGGAGAGAGAGGTAAAAGGTAAATGAAGGCAGCTCCTGAATTACTTCTTACTTCAAACCCCAGGACTGTCTAGGCTGAGTGGGCAAATGTTTCCCAACATACCCCTGGCCTCTGAAATTCTCCAGCCACACCAGATGTGCGGCTCTACATAATAGTTGTGAACCCTTCCTATCACCATTCAACTCTGAGTGTAGGGCTTTAGAAACTTGACCTAGTGAACCATAGTTGTATTTGTCCGAGGACACAAAACCTTTCACATTAAAAATCAGCCTTTAAAGCAATGGCGATTTACAACTCAGACAAATGCAATAAAAATGAATAAAAATCAAGCCTCAACCAAGGTAGTAAGCATCTCCAAATACCTCCAGACACCTTGCACAGGAATAGCTACTACCTGCTTTTCTCTTTAAATATAATATACTAAATTGTAATGTTTTTATTTAAAAAAAGTTATTTCAAACCTACTCTGAAATATTGTTGACCCTTGGTTCAAATGTCAAAGGGAATCACTCAGCACTGGGGCCTGTAGGCATTTCTAATCCATATCAATAGCTCCCCAAATTTTGGATGTTACAAAAAGGAAAATTTACAACCACAAAAATCTATAGGATCATCATTTTAGGGTAAAAAAATGTTTAAACTGAAAACACTTAGCTTTAAGAAATACTTTCTACATTACCTATTTTTCTCTTTTTCCTTCAGACCCAGAGAAACATTAGTCATGCGATCTGTCCCTATCTGCCCGCCCTGGCCAAGGACTTCTTTCTCTATGCTTGTTTGTTGGGACTAGGGGAGGCTGCATCTGAGACTCAAGCATGGCACTATTGGTACCTTGAGTTCAACATACCTTGTTGCCTATTCAGGGGACCTGAGAATAAATCTCAGGGGCTGCTAACCCTGTCCAGCATGTTTTGAATTTAGATAGGGCTTTCCTAGTGGGCTGCCTGCATCACTACTCGGAACACTTTGGTAGTGTTCATCTCAACTAAAAATTGGGATGGGGACAAACGGGGGCCTTGAAAAAAGGGACACGTAAGTATTAGAAAAGCACCAAAAGACACTTGACTTCTAAACTATAGTAACACATTTCAGAATAGGGAGTTAGATTTGATAAAATAACATTTCAGACAGATTGAATTTAGATATAATAGCTGTATGTCTTTCTTTGCATATGTTTATTTTATTTCATTATGCTCTATCATATAGCAAACATTTAACTTGTTTTGCCCTTTTTTCTATATACTTTTTGGGGTAAAAATGCCACATGCCCCTGCACGTGCGCGCGCGCGCGCACACACACACACACACACACACACACACACACACTCTGAAATGACCATATCAAATCTGTATAGTTCTGCACAGGTACTTGGTCATTGCAGAGAACTTTTGGACATACTCACTTTAATTATAGGATGTTAAACTTCTGTCCAGTTTTTATGAGAGATCAAAGCCTTAAACATGTGGCTAGATAAAAACTGAAATTTTACAAACATAAAATGTTAACTTATATTTTGCTTTAAGTGTTTGAGTTAAAGGTGAGCTGAGCAAACTGGACAAAAGTTCATTTTGTTCAGCTTTTTAAAGTAACAATTTAGAAAATGATTAATCCTCTGCATACTGTAATGTGCCATCACTTATATTAATACTAGAAAATCCTATAAGACATAGTTTTACATATGTGAAGTGTAGGTGAGCAGTAGGAAGACCGACATATCACCTGGTTAATAGCTGACTTTCATCAGATTTGGAGGTACTAGTTGGATGAATAATAATTAAAATACATACAGTACCTAATCGCTGCCTGTCTGTCGGTAGTGCTAATTGCTGTCATTGAAAAGACTGAATTGTTTAAAAAAAAGAGAGAGAAAGAGAAAGTCATTCTTCATTGAAGCTATCTCCCTGTATCATTGGGAGCCTATTTTTAGTACCTATAGAAGTCATGATTTTTGAATTTATTAGGGGCTGTGATGAATGATAAAACAAATCATCCATTTACATATCTTGACACTGCTTTGGAGAATACTTATTTCTTACAAGCAAGTGTCACATTGTATATAAAAGCTGGCTAATTGTGTGCTAATCTTCTGCATTATCTAGAACTCTCTGATGTGGTATTCTATCAATGGTAATATTAATTTTACTTATTTCAAATGTATGAAATATCTTCTAAAACCCTATTTCTTTTATAGTTTCTACTCTTACATTGTGTAATTTTGCATTCAACTGCTAATTAAGATTAGGAGAGCACATTATAGAATATGTATCCATTTTAAACCATCAAGCTTTTGTAATGCATGAAAAATACTAATATTTTATCCATTTTAAATGTAAAAAGAGAGAAAGTATTTAAGAACATTACTAGATGTTATGTTTGTTTTCATGTTTTTTTTCCTACACAGTTCAATAGTTTCATTGATCTACTGTTTCTTACAAAAATCTGCCATGCTTTGTGAACTTCACTTTCTAATCTCATACAGCAACCCTTCCTTTATGTTATTCCTGCTCTCCCTGGTCCCAGAACAGTAGGGTTGCCTTGACAAATCTATTCAAAAGCCATTCCTCGGCCTTTATTGGTGAGGACTGGGGCCTTTGAAATTCTCTCCTCACTGCAACACAGCTGACATCTTCTTCCAGACAGAATGAATTAAGGAAATACAATAAGACACTTGATCTACCAGTCAAGGATCTTTCCACAGTGAGGACGGATTCCATGGTGCACAACCAGGGAAGCAAGCATCTAAAAATACACAATACATGCTTGTTTACCAGAATAGCAATCAGCGATTTTGGCAAAATGATTGATGGGATGATTTCTTTAAAAAAAAAAAATCTGTCTGGAAATTCATTGTGTGTGTGAGAGTGTGTATGTGTGTGTGTGTTGAGACATTTTTTAGAAACCATATGATGATAATCACATATTTTTAGCCAGACTTCAAATACAGACTTAAAATGTATAAAAGGAATATAGATTATTTTATTTATCTGAATTGTAAATCGTTACCTTACATCGTTACTATTAAAAATTACCTATTTTTTAATATTGGAGGCTTTGTGTCCATATACACACAGCTACAACTCACCAGATGGTGATTTTTTTTTATTATTATTATACTTTAAGTTTTAGGGTACATGTGCACAATGTGCAGGTTAGTTACATATGTATACATGTGACATGCTGGTGTGCCGCACCCACTAACTCATCATCTAGCATTAGGTATATCTCCCAATGCTATCCCTGCCCCCTCCCCCCACCCCACAACAGTCCCCAGAGTGTGATGTTCCCCTTCCTGTGTCCATGTTCTTTACAACTATTTTGATACAGCCTTCATTAAAGCAGGTCAAAGTAAAAATTTAAAAATAGTATTTTTATATGGGTCAGATTTTGAGGAGTAAATACAAAATTCATTTCTTGTGGTATTACACAAAGAATATAGTTTAAAAATTGGCTATTCTTTCTTGAATATTCACATTAATATTTATTTTAATCTGAAAGTCAAAAATGGATACTTTTTTATTTTCCCTTAATTATAGTACCTTTATTTGTTTACTGCTTGGCCATCTAAACTTCACTTGGAAATATATTGCATCATGGTTCATGGAAGGTTACATGTCATCTATTTTATTTATTTATTTTTTGAGACGGGGTCTCCCTCTGTCACCCAGGCTGGAGTGCAATGGCACGCTCTCAGCTCACTGCAACCTCTGCCTCCTGGGTTCAAGCCATTCTTCTGCCTCAGCCTCCCAAGTAACTGGGACTACAGGCATGCACCACCACGCCAGGCTAATTTTTGTATTTTTAGTAGAGAAGGAGTTTCACCATGTTGGCCACGCTGGTCTCGAACTCCTGACCTCAAGTGATCTGCCCACCTCGGCCTCCCAAAGTGCTGGGATTTCAGGTGCGAGCTACCGCGCCCTGCCCTTACATGTCATCTTAATATCAGCACAGATGATTTGTTGAATAGTAAAACGAACAAACAAAAGGACCTTTTTCAGAGTCATGTTAATTATGAATAATTACCGACTGTTTACATAAGAAAAAAATGTTAAGTGTATGGAAAATAAATTGAATACACTCTAGTGGTTGATTTTATAGGATAAATTAAACTCTCCCTAAAAATTCCATCTTGGCTTAAATTGTATTTCAACAATATTGTCTCTATTACATTGCAGAACTGTTGTAATTGGGTCTCTAGCTCAGAACCATTAGACACATCAGTGGAGTCCATGCTACCTGATTGCCCCCGGGTCTCAGCAGGTATGTGTTTGATGAGAGATATATGATTGCTGTTGTTTTTCAGGGTGAAAAATATGCTAATGAAATGTAGAATTCTGTTTTGTGAATTAGTTTGTTTTTATCTTTGAGTTGTTAGATGAATTATTGGTAATGTTATGCATGGGTAGAATCCACTATCACATATTTGTTAAGTAGCTTAAAATGCTTACCAACAAACTCAGTAAGATGAATAGGTGAAACAATTCAAGAGTAGTATAGACAACTGCTGTTGAAGCTTAGAGAGATAAGACATACATATATGAATACCTAAACAACAAGGATTGGGCAGACATACAAGATCTTTCATAGGATATGTGTCTCTGAGTTCCAACTCAATGATATGACAGGCAGTCAAGGATGTTGTGTGTCCTAGAGACCTTAGAAAAAAATACTTCATGCAAAGATTTTAGTTGGTTCTTGTGTTAGATAGACTCTGGACTGTGGGAAAACATGCAAGATGGCATCCTGTGCAAAGGAGACAGAGCAATTTAAGGAGCAACAGCAGGAATGGATCTGAAGATGTTCACAGGGAACAAAGGCAAGACTGGACTGCCTATTGAAAGGGAAGAGGTGAAGAGATGAGCAGGTTAGGAGCAGTTGGGCTCTAGGAAGTTTAAGGATAGCACTGATTTCCAGCCTAAAGGCTTTGTATTTGAGTCACTAGGTAAGAAGAGAGAGTGACATTTGTTAGCTTTCTGGTTTTGACTTTCACAGTTCTCAGCCAAGTGAGCAGTGGCATCTCGTTATAACTGATAGCAGAAATGGGTTTGCTGTGGCCATGGGTGCTGGAGAATGGGTAAAAGTTTGGAACACAAACTACTTTATGTTAACAATCACAAGTGATAGCTAATCACTGAGTACTTAAAGTTGAAAATATGTGTACATATTTGAAGAAAATAATTTGGAGAATAGTTCAGATTCTAGGTATAGAACTATTGTTATAATTAAACGTCACTGTCATTAATACCTAAACTTCAACTGAGCTTCACTATCATTACAGCTGAATTTTATAAGTCTATAAGCCAGGGTTCAACCACAGAGACAGAACCACTAGAAGATGTATATGCTACTATACACACACACAGAGACAGACATATACACACATATACTCATGCACATATGTATATATGTGTGTGTTCCTAAATATTATACAATTGATTTTCATTATTTATGCTAGTTATATAATGTGAAGTCACTGAAAACACTGAATTAGCAAATAATCATTGCTCCTAGATGAAATACAAGGCCAGGTTCCTGTGAGCTTCTGGTCACATTTTTGTCAGCCAATCAATATGTAAACTTGGTTTATGTGTGTTTCTGTTTAATGACACCTTATTTAATATATATTGTTGATTCATTAACATTGAGCTCATGGCCAGCAGCACTGTAACTCAGGCCTGAATGAAGCTAACACATATTTTCTCCATAAGGCATATCACAGCCTTCTTGTGCTTAGCAACACTTCACAGCACTTCAGCACTACATTTGGGGGCTATTGTAAACAGTGAAACCAAAAAAAAGGCACAAAACTAGAAAAATGTGGCACTAAATAGTCTATAAAAAGGATACTTGTTTACAATGTAAGAACTGAAACAAGAAGGCAGAACATGACCTTGTTCAACCTTAATTAAGAATGGATGACTCAAATTTTTCACCATTCTGCCCATGAGTAGCACTTTTAATTTCCTCAAGAATTTTTCCTTTGCATTCACTACTTGGCTAACTGTTTAGTGCAAGAAGCCTAAATTTCAGCCCATCTTGGCTTTTGACACGCATGTCATCCTAAGCGGAATCATTTTTAGCTTTTGATTTAAAGTGAGAGATATGCAACTCTTCCTTTCATCTGAATTCTTGAAGGCCGTTGGAGAGTTAGTCATTGGCCTCATTTCAATATTACTGTGTTTCAAGGAACAGGGAGGCCCCAGGAGAGGGATAGGGACAGGAGAACTGCTCAGTTGGTGGTGCAGTCAGAACACCTTTATCAATTAAGTTCACCGTCTTCTATGGGTACAGTTTGTGGCACCTCAAAACAATTACAGTAGTAACATTCAAGATGACTGATCAAGGCCGAGTATGGTGGCTCATACCTGTAATTCCAGTACTTTGGGAGGCCAAGGTAAGAGGATTGTTCAGAGCCAGGAGTTTGATACCAGCCCAGGCTACAAAGCAAGACCTTGTCTGTCTCTCCAAAAAAAATTTTTTAATATTAGCCAAGTATGGTGGTGCACACCTACAGTCCCAGCTATTCAGGAGGCTGAGGCAAGAGGATCACGTGGGCCTAAGAGTTCAAAGCTACAGTGAGCCAGTGAGCTATGATTGTACTACTGTACCCCAACTTAGAAGACAGAACAAGACCCCATCTCTAATCACAGATTACCATAACATATGGTAATCATGGAAAAGTTTATTAGCACAGGGAGACACAAAGTGAGCACATGCTGTTGGAAAAATGGCTCCTATAGACTTGCTTGATGCAGTGTTGCCAGAAAACTTGAATTGGTTAAAAAAAAATCAGTATCTGTGAAGTGCAGTAAACTGAAGCACAATAAAATGAGGTGTGCTTTGTTCTCAGCAAGCACTATAGTTGGTCAAGACTCTTTGCCTGGTGAAATGATCCACACTTTCATTCTCGAAGAGTTTGGGCCATTAGCGTCCTGCCTGAATTAGGTGATCATAGTATGCTATTGCCTTTAGTTACAGAAACTACTTACAGGTACTCTGGAGCATTTCCTGCATTGCAGAGATACTACTTATTACCCATTGTGTAGTAGCAACTACGTTTTCCTTTGGAAATCAGGATTTATCACCCATCCAGTATAGTGCTCCCATCCAGTACATCCATGTCCTGTTGATTCAGTGGCATAAGGAGACCAAAGTGGCAACATTGCAGTCTCAACTTCCAGTTCAAAGGAATTATTATTATGTCACCTAATGGAAACATATCTCCTTTTTGGAACTAAGACCTTTAGACCAGCAGAGTCTGAAGTAATGGGCATGGGAAGCAAGACCTCTACTAGTGGATCACTAAAGTTAGAGGGAAAAGAAGGCAGTCCCATATCTATGCCTTTATTCCCAGAATTGGGGTAAATAGCAACATATATTAAATGCTGATTTAGAGAAAAGTCCATATTTGCAGGATATTGTCCAGCCACACAAGGTGTTGTCACCTAGCAGTCACAGCTGAGTCTTCAAAAGGTCATTCCAGCATTCTGTCAAGCCTGCTGCTTAAGGATAATGGGGAACGTGGTAAGAGCAGTGAATGATGGCAGACCTCAGGCTCTCTCTTGTCCTCTAGCTTGCTCACTGTGATGGAAACCAGCTGCCAGGTTGTAAGCTGCCCTGTGGAGAGGCCCACATGGCAAGGAACTGGTATATCAGGCCAAAAGCCAGGGAGGACCTGAGGTCCACCAACAGCCATGTGAGTGACCTTGGAAGAAGATTCTCCCCCAGTTGAGCTCTTTGAGATGACTGCAACCCCAGCCAACACCTTGATTGTAGTCTTGTGAGAAACCCTGAGCTAATATCACTCAGCTGTGTTCAGATTTCTGACCCACAAAAACTGTGAGATGATAAATGTATATTGTTTTAAGCTGCCAAATTTTGGGGTTATTTGTTCCACAGCAGTAGATAATTAATGCAACAGGCTTAAACTTCTTTTTTTTTAAATTTTTTTATTTTATTATTATTATACTTTAAGTTTTAGGGTACATGTGCACAATGTGCAGATTAGTTACATATGTATACATGTGCCATGCTGGTGTGCTGCACCCATTAACTCGTCATTTAGCATTAGGTATATCTCCTAAAGCTATCCCTCCCCGCTCCACCCACCCCACAACAGTCCCCAGAGTGTGTTGTTCCCCTTCCTGTGTCCATGTGTTCTCATTGTTCAATTCCCACCTATGAGTGAGAACATGCAGTGTTTGGTTTTTTGTTCTTGCGATAGTTTACTGAGAATGATGATTTCCAATTTCATCCATGTCCCTACAAAGGACATGAACTCATCATTTTTTACGGCTGCATAGTATTCCATGGTGTATTTGTGCCACATTTTCTTAATCCAGTCTATCATTGTTGGACATTTGGGTTGGTTCCAAGTCTTTGCTATTGTGAATAGTGCCACAGTAAACATACGTGTGCATGTGTCTTTATAGCAGCATGATTTATAGTCCTTTTGGTATATACCCAGTAATGGGATGGCTGGGTCAAATGGTATTTCTAGCTCTAGATCCCTGAGGAATCACCACACTGACTTCCACAAAGGTTGAACTAGTTTACAGTCCCAACAACAGTGTAAAAGTGTTCCTATTTCTCCACATCCTCTCCAGCACCTGTTGTTTCCTGACTTTTTAATGATTGCCATTCTAACTGGTATGAGATGGTATCCCATTGTGGTTTTCATTTGCATTTCTCTGATGGCCAGTGATGGTGAGCATTTTTTCATGTGTTTTTTGGCTGCATAAATGTCTTCTTTTGAGAAGTGTCTGTTCATATCCTTTGCCCACTTTTTGATGGGTGTGTCTGTTTTTCTCTTGTAAGTTTGTTTGAGTTCATTATAGATTCTGGATATTAGCCCTTTGTCAGATGAGTAGGTTGCGAAAATTTTCTCCCATTTTGTAGGTTGCCTGTTCACTCTGATGGTAGTTTCTTTTGCTGTGCAGAAGCTCTTTAGTTTAATTAGATCCCATTTGTCAATTTTGGCTTTTGTTGCCATTGCTTTTGGTGTTTTAGACATGAAGTCCTTGCCCATGCCTATGTCCTGAATGGTATTGCCTAGGTTTTCTTCTAGGGTTTTTATGGTTTTAGGTCTAACGTTTAAGTCTTTAATCCATCTTGACTTAATTTTTGTATAAGGTGTAAGGAAGGGATCCAGTTTCAGCTTTCTACATATGGCTAGCCAGTTTTCCCAGCACCATTTATTAAATAGGGAATCCTTTCCCCATTGCTTGTTTTTCTCAGGTTTGTCAAAGATCAGATAGTTGTAGATATGCGGCGTTATTTCTGAGGGCTCTGTTCTGTTTCATTGATCTGTTTCTCTGTTTTGATACCAGTACCATGCTGTTTTGGTTAGTGTAGCCTTGTAGTATAGTTTGAAGTCAGGTAGTGTGATGCCTCCAGCTTTGTTTTTTTTGGCTTAGGATTAACTTGGCGATGTGGGCTCTTTTTTGGTTCCATATGAACTTTAAAGTAGTTTTTTCCAATTCTGTGAAGAAAGTCATTGGTAGCTTGATGGGGATGGCATTGAATCTATAAATTACCTTGGGCAGTATGGCCACTTTCATGATATTGATTCTTCCTACCCATGAGCATGGAATGTTCTTCCATTTGTTTGTATCCTCTTTTATTTCATTGAGCAGTGTTTTGTAGTTCTCCTTGAAGAGGTCCTTCACGTCCCTTGTAAGTTGGATTCCTAGGTATTTTATTCTCTTTGAAGCAATTGTGAATGGGAGTTCACTCATGATTTGGCTCTGTGTCTGTTATTGGTGTATAAGAATGCTTGAGATTTTTGTACATTGATTTTGTATCCTGAGACTTTGCTGAAGTTGCTTATCAGCTTAAGGAGATTTTGGGCTGAGACAATGGGGTTTTCTAGATATACAATCATGTCATCTGCAAACAGGGACAGTTTGACTTCCTCTTTTCCTAATTGAATACCCTTTATTTCCTTCTCCTGCCTAATTGCCCTGGCCAGAACTTCCAACACTATGTTGAATAGGAGTGGTGAGAGGGGGCATCCCTGTCTTGTGCCAGTTTTCAAAGGGAATGCTTCCAGTTTTTTCCCATTCAGTATGATATTGGCTGTGGGTTTGTCATAGATAGCTCTTATTATTTTGAGATACGTCCCATCAATACCTAATTTATTGAGAGTTTTTAGCATGAAGGGTTGTTGAATTTTGTCCAGGCTTAAACTTCAACTCAGGTGGTTGCACAGCAGGTGGTTGCACAGCCTGAGTAAAAACAACCTTAACCTTTTATTGAGACTAAAGCCTTGTAAGGCTCATCTTAGCCCTGATACCTTCGGGTTTAAGAGCATCTATTTCTAAAGATGCACTAAAATGCTCATTGAAGACAATTTGTTCCTACCCTTGCTCCCCTACTAACTGATTAGACTTTGCTGTATAATTTATCAGAAAGAAGATATTAAATTACTTTATCATACTTGATCTTATACTAAGTTACTTTTATTATTCAGCTCTCCTCTGACCATTTCTTTCCTTAAGACAGAACTTGCTACTGAGTGTAACTTTTCATTCCCTGTGGGATTTTGTTCTAACAAATTTGGCCTAAATCAGAAGGAAATTGTACATACATTCCCCAGCACATATCCATTTATCACTAAAGTATTTATTGACATTTACTGTGTTCCAGGCACTGTTCTGGAAGCTGGAGACATAGCAGTGAACAAGAGCTCATCATGACCATCTTGTTCTCCATAATTTTAAAAAAGAATGAATTGCTTTCTGGGCCTGTGCTAGTGAAAAGGTTCTTCCTTTAGAAGCTGGCATCAACATTAGGTTGCATCAAATAAGAAGAGAGTTAGGACCAGCACCCCCAGCATTTCCTATACCTACTTATAAAAACTTACCACTTCTTCAGCCTGACTTAATGCTTTCCCTCAGAGTCCATAAAAAATGTTGAAAAAGATTAATTGTTCAACATTCATTGATTGAGGTGATGGCAGGAAATTCAAATAGAAACAACCAAAGGTTGATGAAGTACCTTTGAAACGCCGGAATTTCTCTGATCAATAATTTCTGTTATATGTAATTTAAAATGTTAATATTATTTGAAGATTTCAACATGTGTACTGACCACAAATTAGTAATGGATCTTCAGGCTGTATATTCAATTTAATGAAGTGTTTTTTCCAGCTTGCTAAATTGTAAAGTTGTTTTTCTTGTTATAATGTGCTTTGATCTTTT
Source organism: Homo sapiens (assembly GCF_000001405.40). Taxonomy (NCBI): domain Eukaryota; kingdom Metazoa; phylum Chordata; class Mammalia; order Primates; family Hominidae; genus Homo; species Homo sapiens. The sequence continues at coordinate 93,769,217 of NC_000005.10, read as the reverse complement.
GACTAAAAGTTTCACAGTGATAGCAGTGAAATTGCCTATAAACATACACGCTTATTTAATACTGTAGTTTTTCCTTTATAACTAGATTTGCTTCCCATTACAAAAAAAGTATGTGTTGTTCATAATAATTTCATTTTATGAATGTTACTTACCCGTTTATATATAATTTAAAAGCAGATATAAAATTTAAAATTTTAACTTAAAATATCACTGTATATTTAGCATAGTTATATTGTTTTTGTTTTTCCTTTTTTTTTAGTTTTATTTTAGCAGAGACATGGTCTCACACTGGTGCCCAAGATGGCCTTGTTGTTCATTATTAACATGTAGGGAGGGCCAAGCATAGTGGCTCATACCTGTACTCTCAGCATTTTGGGAGGCCAAAGCTCAAGGATCATTTGAGGCCAGGAGTTTGAGACCAGCCTGGATGACATAGCAAGACCTCATCTCCACTAAATAAATGTTTTTAATTAGCCAGGCATGGTGGCGTGAGCCTGTAGTCCTCGCTACTTGGGTGGCTGAGGTGGGAGGATTGCCTAAACCCAGGAGTTTAAGGCTGCAGTGAGCTGTGATCTTACCACTGCATTCCAGATATATCTCCACCATCCACTAAATACATATATATACACACACACACACATAGTATATATGTATATATAGTGTATAAATGTATACGCTATATATAGTGTATATATATGTATGTATATACACTATATATAGCGTATACTTTTATATACATATATATATATATATAGTGGATATTTGAGGGGTCTTGCATCTATGTCAGGTGACTGGTTTCCCACTTCCTTTTATTTAGAGTGTTTTCTTTTTGTTGTTGTTGGCTTCTAAAGACCAATTCTGTTTTTTTTTCCCATAGGTTATTGGGGTACAGGTAGTATTTGGTTACATGAGTAAGTTCTTTAGTGGTGATTAGTGAGGTTTTGGTGCACCCATCACCTGAGCAGTATACACTGCACCATATTTGTAGTATTTTATCCCTTGCACCACTCCCACTCTTCCCCCCCAAGTCCCCAAAGTCCATTATATCATTCTTATGCTATTACGTCCTCATACCTTAGCTCCCACATATCAGTGAGAACATATGATACTTGGTTTTCCATTCCTGAGTTACTTCACTTGGAATAATAGTCTCCAATCTCATCCAGGTTGGTGCAAATGCTGTTAATTCATTCCTTTTTTTTTTTTTTTTTTTTTTTTTTTTTTGAGATGGAGTCTAGCTCTGTTGCCCAGGCTGGAGTGCAATGGCGTGATCTTGGCTCACTGCAAGCTCCGCCTCCCGAGTTCAGGCCATTCTCCTGCCTCAGCCTCCCGAGTAGCTGGGACTACAGGTGCCCGCCACCACGCTCAGCTAATTTTTTGTATTTTTAGTAGAGACGGGGTTTTGCCGTGTTAGCCAGGATGGTCTCCATCTCCTGACCTCGTGATCCACCCATCTCGGCCTCCCAAAGTCCTGGGATTACAGACGTGAGCCAACGTGCCCGGCCTAATTCATTCCTTTTTATGGCTGAGTAGTATTCCATTGTATGTATATATATACACACCACAGTTTCTTAACTCGTTAATTTATGGGCATTTGGGTTGGTTCCACGATTTTGCAATTGTCAGTTGTGCTACTTAAACGTGTGTGCAAGTATCTTTTTCATATAATGACTTCTTTTCCTCTGGGTAGATACCCAGGAGTGGGATTCCTGGATCAAATGGTAGTTCTACTTTTAGTTCTTTAAGGAATCTCCACATTGTTTTCCATAGTGGCTGTACATTCCCACCAGCAGTGTAGAAGTGCTCCCTCATCACCACATCCACACCAACACCTACTGTTTTTTAATTTTTGTATCATGGCCGTTCTTGCAGGAGTAAGGTGATACCACATTGTGGTTTTGATTTGCATTTCCCTGATAATTAGTGATATTGAGCATTTTCTCATATGTTTGTTGGCCATTTGTATATCTTCTTTTGAGAATTGTCTATTCATATCCTTAGCCCCCTTGTTGATGGGATTTTTTCTTTATTATACTTTAAGTTTTAAGGTACATGTGCACAACGTGCAGGTTAGTTACATGTGTATACATGTGCCATGTTGGTGTGCTGCACCCAGTAACTCGTCATTTAACATTAGATATATCTCCAAATGCTATCCCTCCCCCCTCCCCCCAACCCACAACAGGCCCCGGTGTGTGATGTTCCCCTTCCTGTGTCCATGTGTTCTCATTGTTCAATGCCCACCTATGAGTGAGAACATGCGGTGTTTGGTTTTTTGTCCTTGCGAGAGTTTGCTGAGAATAATGGTTTCCATCGTCATCCATGTCCCTACAGAGGACATGAACTCATCCTGTTTTATGGCTGCATGGTATTCCATGGTGTATATGTGCCACATTTTCTTAATCCAGTCTATCATTGTTGGACATTTGGGTTGGTTCCAAGTCTTTGCTATTGTGAATAGTGCTGCAGTAAACATACACGTGCATGTGTCTTTATAGCAGCATGATTTATAATCCTTTGGGTATATCCCCAGTAATGAGATGGCTGGGTCAAATGGTATTTCTAGTTCTAGATCCCTGAGGAATTGCCACACTGACTTCCACAATGGTTAAACTAGTTTACAGTCCCACCAACAGTGTAAAAGTGTTCCTATTTCTCCACATCCTCTCCAGCACCTGTTGTTTCCTGACTTTTTAATGATTGCCATTCTAACTGGTGTAAGATGGTATCTCATTGTGGTTTTGATTTGCATTTCTCTGATGGCCAGTGATGATGAGCATTTTTTCATGTGTCTTTTGGCTGCATAAATGTCTTCTTTTGAGAAGTTCCTGTTCATATCCTTCACCCACTTATTGATGGGGTTGTTTGTTTTTTTCTTGTAAATTTGTTGGAGTTCATTGTAGATTCTGGATATTAACCCTTTGTCAGATGAGTGGATTGCAAAACTTTTCTTCCATTTTGTAGGTTGCCTGTTGACTCTGATGGTAGTTTCTTTTGCTGTGCAGAAGCTCTTTAGTTTAATTAGATCCCATTTGTCGATTTTGGCTTTTGTTGCCATTGCTTTTGGTGTTTTAGACATGAAGTCCTTGCCCATGCCTATGTCCTGAATGGTATTGCCTAGGTTTTCTTCTAGGATTTTTATGGTTTTGAGTCTAACATTTAAGTCTTTAATGCATCTTGAATTAATTTTTGTATAAGGTGTAAGGAATGGATCCAATTTCAGCTTTCTACATATGGCTAGCCAGTTTTCCCAGCACCATTAATTAAATAGGGAATCCTTTCCCCATTGCTTGTTTTTCTCAGGTTTGTCAAAGATCAGATGGTTGTAGATATGCAGCATTATTTCATAGGGCTCTGTTGTGTTCCATTGGTCTATATCTCTGTTTTGGTACCAGTACCATGCTGTTTTGGTTACCATAGCCTTGTAGTATAGTTTGAAGTCAGGTAGTGTGATGTCTCCAGCTTTGTTCTTTTGGCGTAGGATTGACTTGGCAATGTGGGCTCTTTTTTGGTTCCATATGAACTTTAAAGTAGTTTTTTCCAATTCTAGTCATTGGTAGCTTGATGGGGATGGCATTGAATCTATAAATTACCTTGGGCTGTATGGCCATTTTCATGATGTTGATTCTTCCTACCCATGAGCATGGAATGTTCTTCCATTTGTTTGTATCCTCTTTCATTTCATTGAGCAGTGGTTTGTAGTTCTCCTTGAAGAGGTCCTTCACGTCCCTTGCAAGTTGGATTCCTAGGTATTTTATTCTCTTTGAAGCAATTGTGAATGGGAGTTCACTCATGATTTGGCTCTCTGTTTGTCTGTTATTGGTGTATAAGAATGTTTGTGATTTTTGCACATTGATTTTCTATCCTGAGACTTTGCTGAAGTTGCCTATCAGCTTAAGGAGATTTTGGGCTGAGACAATGGGGTTTTCTAGATATACAATCACGTCGTCTGCAAACAGGGACAATTTGACTTCCTCTTTTCCTAATTGAATACCCTTTATTTCCTTCTCCTGCCTAATTGCCCTGGCCAGAACTTCCAACACTATGTTGAATAGGAGTGGTGAGAGAGGGCATCCCTGTCTTACGCCAGTTTTGCAAGGGAATGCTTCCAGTTTTTGCCCATTCAGTATGATATTGGCTGTGCGTTTGTCATATATAGCTCTTATTATTTTAAGATACGTCCCATCAATACCTAATTTATTGAGAGTTTTTAGCATGAAGGGTTGTTGAATTTTGTCAAAGGTCTTTTCTGCATCTATTGAAATAATCACATGGTTTTTGTTGTTGGTTCTGTGTATGTGCTGGATTATGTTTATTGATTTACGTATGTTGAACCAGCCTTGCATCCCAGGAATGAAGCCCACTTGATCATGCTGGATAAGCTTTTTGATGTGCTGCTGGATTCATTTTGCCAGTATTTTATTGAGGATTTTTGCATCGATGTTCATCAGGGTATTGGTCTAAAATTCTCTTTTTTTGTTGTGTCTCTGCCAGGCTTTGGTATCAGGATGATGCTGGCCTCATAAAATGAGTTAGGGAGGATTCCCTCTTTTTCTATTGATAGGAATAGTTTCAGAAGGAATGGTATCAGCTCCTGTTTGTACCTCTTGTAGAGTTCGGCTGTGAATCTGTCTGGTCCTGGACTTTTTTTGGTTGGTAGGCTATTACTGCCTCAATTTCAGGACCTATTATTGGTCTATTCAGAGATTCAACTTCTTCCTGGTTTATTCTTGGGAGGGTGTATGTGTCAAAGAATTTATCCATTTCTTCTAGATTTTCTAGTTTATTTGCATAGAGGTGTTTATAGTATTCTCTGATGGTAGTTTGTATTTCTGTGGGATTGGTGGTGATATCCCCTTTATCATTTTTTATTGCGTCTATTTGATTCTTCTCTCTTTCCTTCTTTGTTAGTCTTGCTAGCGGTCAATCAATTTTGTTGATCTTTTCAAAAAACCAGCTCCTGGATTCATTAATTTTTTGAAGGGTTTTTTGTGTCTCTATTTACTTCAGTTCTGCTCTGATTTTAGTTATTTCTTGCCTTCTGTTAGTTCTTGGATGTGTTTGCTCTTGCTTCTCTAGTTCTTTTAATTGTGATATTAGGGTGTCAATTTTAGATCTTGCCTGCTTTCTCTTGTGGGCATTTATTGCTATAAATTTCCCTCTACACACTGCTTTGAATGTGTCCGAGAGATTCTGACATGTTGTGTCTTTGTTCTCTTTGGTTTCAAAGAACATCTTTATTTCTGCCTTCATTTTGTTATGTACCCAGTAGTCATTCAGGAGCAGGTTGTTCAGTTTCCATGTAGTTGAGCAGTTTTGAGTGAGTTTCCTAATCCTGAGTTCTAGTTTGATTGCACTGTGGTCTGAGAGACAGTTTGTTATAATTTCTGTTCTTTTACATTTGCTGATGAGAGCTTTACTTCCAACTGTGTGGTGAATTTTGGAATAGGTGTGCTGCGGTGCTGAAAAAAAATGTATATTCTGTTGATTTGGGGTGGAGAGTTCTGTCAATGTCTATTAGGTCTGCTTGTTGCAGAGCTGAGTTCAATTCCTGGGTATCCTTGTTAACTTTCTGTCTCGTTGATCTGTCTAATGTTGACAGTGGGGTGTTAAAGTCTCCCATTATTATTGTGTGGGAGTCTAAGTCTCTTTGTAGGTCTCTAAGGACTTGCTTTATGAATCTGGGTGCTCCTGTATTCGGTGCATATATATTTAGGGTAGTTAGCGCTTCTTGTTGAATTGATCCCTTTACAATTATGTAATGGCCTTCTTTGTCTCTTTTGATCTTAGTTGGTTTAAAGTCTGTTTTATCAGAGACTAGGATTGCAACCCCTGCCTTTTTTTGTTTTCCATTTGCTTGGTAGATCTTCCTCCATCCCTTTATTTTGAACCTATGTGTGTCTCTGCATGTGAGATGGGTTTCCTGAATACAGCACACTGATGGGTCTTGACTCTTTATCCAATTTGCCAGTCTGTGTCTTTTAATTGGAGCATTTAGCCCATTTGCATTTAAGGTTAATATTGTTATGTGTGAATTTGATCCTGTCATTATGATGTTAGCTGGTTATTTTGCTCGTTAGTTGATGCAGTTTCTTCCTAGTCTCGATGGTCTTTACAATTTGGCATGTTTTTGCAGTGGCTGGTACTGGTTGTTCCTTTCCATGTTTAGTGCTTCCTTCAGGAGCTCTTTTAGGGCAGTTGGTGACAAAATCACTCAGCATTTGCTTGTCTGTAAAGGATTTTATTTCTCCTTCACTTATGAAGCTTAGTTTGGCTGGATATGAAATTCTGGGTTGAAAATTCTTTTCTTTAAGAATGTTGAATATTGGCCCCCACTCTCTTCTGGCTTGTAGAGTTTCTGCCAAGAGATCCGCTGTTAGTCTGATGGGCTTCCCTTTGTGGGTAACCCACCCTTTCTCTCTGGCTGCTCTTAACATTTTTTCCTTCATTTCAACTTTGGTGAATCTGACAATTATGTGTCTTGGAGTTGCTCTTCTCCAGGAGTATCTTTGTGGCGTTCTCTGTATTTCCTGAATTTGAATGTTGGCCTGCCTTGCTAGATTGGGGAATTTCTCTTGGATAATATCCCGCAGAGTGTTTTCCAACTTCGTTCCATTCTCCATATCACTTTCAGGTACACCAATCAGACATAGATTTGGTCTTTTCACATAGTCCCATATTTCTTGGAGGCTTTGTTCATTTCTTTTTACTCTTTTGTCTCTAAACTTCTCTTCTTGCTTCATTTCATTCATTTGATCTTCCATCACTGATACCCTTTCTTCCAGTTGATCGAATTGACTACTGAGGCTTGTGCATTCGTCACGTAGTTCTCATGCCTTGGTTTTCAGCTCCATCAGGTCCTTTAAGGACTTCTCTGCATTGGTTATTCTAGTCAGCCATTCGTCTAATTTTTTTTCAAGGTTTTTAACTTCTTTGCCTTGGATTCGAACTTCCTCCTTTAGCTCAGAGTAGTTTGATCGTCTGAAGCCTTCTTCTCTCAACTCATCAAAGTCATTCTCCATCTAGCTTTGTTCCATTGCTGGTGAGGAGCTGCATTCCTTTGAGGAGGAGAGGCACTCTGATTTTTAGAGTTTCCAGTTTTTCTGCTCTGTTTCTTCCCCATCTTTGTGGTTTTATCTACCTTTGGTCTTTGATGATGGTGATGTACAGATGGGGTTTTGGTGTGGATGTCCTTTCTGTTTGTTAGTTTTCCTTCTAACAGTAAGGACCCTCATCTGCAGGTCTGTTGGAATTTGCTGGAGGTCTACTCCAGACCCTGCCTGGGTATCAGCAGCAGAGGCTGCAGAACAGCAGATATTGGTGAACAGCAAATGTTGCTGCCTGATCGTTCCTCTGGAAGTTTTGTCTCAGAGGAGTACCTGGCCGTGTGAGGTGTCAGTCTGCCCCTACTCGGGGGTGCCTCCCAGTTAGGCTACTCGGGGCTCAGGGACCCACTTGAGGAGGCAGTCTGTCTGTTCTCAGATCTCCAGCTGCATGCTGGGAGAACCACTACTCTCTTCGAAACTGTCAGACAGGGACATATAAGTCTGCAGAGGATTCTGCTGCCTTTTGTTTTGCAATGCCCTGCCCCCAGAGGTGGAGTCTACAGAGGCAGGCAGGCCTCCTTGAGCTGAGGTGGGCTCCACCCAGTTCGAGCTTCCCAGCTGCTTTGTTTACCTACTCAAGCCTGGGCAATGGTGGGCGCCCTTCCCCCAGCCTCGCTTCTGCCTTGCAGTTTGATCTCAGACTGCTGTGCTAGCAATGAGCGAGGCTCCATGGGCGTAGGACCCTCTGAGCCACGTGCGGGATATAATCTCCTGGTGTGCTATTTGCTGAGACCATTGGAAAAGCACAGTATTAGGGTGAGAGTGACCCGATTTTCCAGGTGCCGTCTGTCACCCCTTTCTTTGACTAGGAAAGGGAATTCCCTGACCCCTTGTGCTTCCCGGGTGAGGGGATACCTCACCCTGCTTTGGCTCACGCTCGGTGTGCTGCACCCACTGTCCTGCACCCACTTTCTGACACTCCCCAGTGAGCTGAACCCAGTATCTCAGTTGGAAATGCAGAAATCACCCGTCTTCTGCGTCGCTCATGCTGGGAGCTGCAGACTGGAGCTGTTCCTATTTGGCCATCTTGGCTCCACCCCCCGGGATTGTTTTTTCCTTACTGATTTGTTTGTGTTTATTGTAGATTCTAGATATTAGTCCTTTGTCAGATGTATAGATTGTGAAGATTTTATCCCACTCTGTGGGTTGTCTGTTTACTCTGCTGACTGTTCCTTTTGCCGTACAAAAGCTCTTTAGTTTAATTAAGTCCCAGTATCTATCTTTGTTTTTATTGCATTCGCTTTTGGGTTCTTGGTCATGAAATCCTTGTCTAAGTCAGTGTCTAGAAGGGGTTTTCCAATGTTATCTTCTAGAATTTTTATAGTATCAGGTCTTAAGTTTAAGTCCTTAATCCATCTTAAGTTGATTTTTGTATAAGGTGACAGATGAGGATCCAGTTTCATTCTCCTACATGTGGCTAGCCAATTATCCCAGCACCATTTGTTGAAAAGGATGTCCTTTCCTCATTTTATGTTTTTGTTTGCTTTGTCAAAGATCAGTTGGCTGTAAGTATTTGAATTTATTTCTGTGTTCTCTATTCTGTTCCATTGATCTATGTGCCTATTTTTATACTAGTACCACACTGTTTTGGTGACTGTAACCTTATACTATAGTTTGAAATCAGGTAGGGTGATTCCTCCACATTTGTTCTTTTTGCTTAGTCTTGCTTTGGCTATGCAGGTTCTTTTTTGGTTCCATATGAATTTTAGAATTGTTTTTTCTAATTCTGTGAAGAATGATGGTGGTATTTTGATGGAGATTGCTTTGAATTTGTAGATTGCTTTTGGCCATGTGGTCAACTTTCACAATATTGATTCTGTCCATCCATGAGCATGGGATGTGTTTTCATTGGTTTCTGTCACGTATGATTTCTTTCAGCGGTGTTTTGAAGTTTTTCTTGTAGAGGTCTTCTGACTCCTTGGTTAGGTATATTCCTAAGTGGTTTTGTTTTGTTTTTTGCAGCTATTTTAAAAGGGGTTGAGTTCTTGATTTGATTCTCCGCTTGGTCGCTGTTGGTGTATAGAAGAGCTACCGATTTGTGTACATTAATCTTTTATCCAGAAACTTTGCTGAATTCTTTCATCAGTTCTAGGAGCTTTCTGGAGAACTTTTCAGGGTTTTCAAGGTAAACACTCGTATTGTTAGCAAACAGTGACAGTTTGACTTCCTCTTTACCGATTTGGATGTCCTTTATTTCTTTCTCTTATCTGATTGCTCTGGCTGGAACTTCCAGTGTATGTTGAAGAGGAGTCATGAGAGTGGACATCCTTGTCTTGTTCCAGTTCTCTATGGGAATGCTTTCCACTTTTCTCCATTCAGTATTATGTTGGCTGTGGGTGTGTCATATATGGCTTTTATTACATTAAGGTATGTCCCTTGTATGCCAATTTTGCTGAGAGTTTTAATCATAAAGTTTTGCTGGATTTTGTCAAATGCTATTTCTGCATCTATTGAGATGATCATGTGATTTTTGTTTTTAATTCTGTTTATGTGGTGTATCACATTTATTGACTTGCATATGTTAAACCATCCCTGCATTCCTGGCATGAAACCCACGTGATCATGGTGGATTCTCTTTTTGATATGTTATTGGATTGGTTAGCTAGTATTTTGTTAAAGATTTTAGCATCTGTGTTCGTCAAGAATATTGGTCTGTAGTTTTCTTTTTTGGTTATGTCCTTTTCCTGGTTTTGGTATTGGGGTGATGCTGGCTTCATAGAATGAATTAGGGAGGGTTCCTTCTTTCTCTATCTTATGGAATAGTGTCAAAAGGATTGGTACAAATTCTTCTTTGAATGTCTGTTAGAATTCTGCTGTAAGTCTGTCTGGTCCTGGACTTTCTTTACTGGTAATTTTTTATTACCATTTCAATCCTGCTGCTTGTTATTGGTCTGTTCAGGGTATCTAATTCTTCCTGATTTAAGCTAGGAGGGTTGTATTTTTCCAGGAATTTTTCTGTCTCTTCTAGGTTTCCTAGTTTATGTGCATAAAGGTGTTCATAGTAGCCTTGAATGATCTTTTGTATTTCAGTGGTGTCAGTTGTAATGTCTCCTGTTTTGTTTCTTAGTGAGGTTATTTGGATTTTTTCTCTTCTTTTCTTGGTTAATCTTGCCAATGGTCTGTCAATTTTATTTATCTTTTCAAATGATCAGCTTTTTGTTTCATTTATTTTTTGTATTGTTTTCCTTTGTTTTGGTTTCATTTAGTTCTGCTCTAATCTTGGTTATTTCCTTTTTTCTGCTGGGGTTGGGTTTGATTTGTTCTTATTTCTCTAGTTCCTTGAGGTATGACCTTAGAATGTCAGTTTTTACTCTTTCAGTGTTTTTGAGGTAGGTGTTTAGGGCTATAAACTTTCCTCCTAGCACTGCCTTTGCTGTATTCCAGAGATTTTGGTTAAGTTGTGTCATTATTGTCGTTCAGTTCAAAGAATTTTTTAATTTCCATCTTGATTTTGTTTTTGACCCAATGTTCATTCGGGAACAGGTTATTTAATTTCCATGTATTTGCATGGTTTTGAAGGTTCCTTTTGGAGTTGATTTTCAGTTTTATTCCACTGTGGTCTGAGAGAGTGCTTGATATAATTTCTTTCTTAAATTTATTGAGGCTCGTTTTATGGCCTATCATATGGTCTATCTTAGAGAAAGTTCCATGCACTGTTGAATAGAATGTGTATTCTGCAGTTGTTGGATGAAATGTTCCGTATATATCTGATAAGTCCATTTGTTCCAAGGTATAGTTTAAATCCATGGTTTCTTTGGTAACTTTCTGTCGTGATGACCTGTCTAGTGCTGTCAGTGGAGTATTGAAGTTCCCTACTATTTTTATATTGCTGTCTATCTCATTTCTTAGGTCTATTAGTAATTGTTTTATAAATTTGGGAGCTCCAGTGTTAGATGCATGTATGTTTAGGATTGTGATATTTTCCTGTTGGACAAGGCCTTTTACCATTATATAATGTCCCTCTTTGTCTCTTTTAACTGCTGTTGCTTTAAAGTTTGTTTTGTCTCATGTAAGAATAGCTACCTCTGCTTGCTTTTGGCGTCCATTTGCATGAAACGCTGTTTTCTACCCCTTTACTTAAGTTTATATGAGTGCTTATGTGTTAGGTGGGTCTCCAGAAGGCAGCAGATAGTTGGTTGGTGAGTTCTTATCCATTCTGAGGTTCTGTATTTTTTAAGTGGAGCATTTAGGTCATTTACTTTCAATGTTAGTATTGAAATGTGTGGTACCATTGCATTCCTCCTGCTCTTTGTTGCTTGTGTACGTTGGTTTTTTTGTTTTTTGATTTTGCTTTTTAACTTGTATTTTTGTTTTTTAGGTCCTGTGTGATTTAAGCTTCAAAGAGGTTCTGTTTTGATGTGTTTCCAGGATTTGTTTCAAGATTTAGAGCTCCTTTTAGCAGTTCCTGTAGTGGTAGCTTGGTAATGGAGAATTCTGTCAGCATTTGTCTGAAAAAGACTGTATCTTTTATATGTGATGCTTAGTTTCACTGGATACAAAATTCTTGGCTGATAATTGTTTTGTTTGAGGAGACTGAAGATAGTGCCCCCTATCCCTTCTGGCTTGTAGGGTTTCTGCTGAGAAATCTGCTGTTAATCTGATAGGTTTTTCTTTATAGGTTACCTGGTGCTTCTGTCTTACAGCTCTTAAGATTCTTTCCTTCATCTTAACTTTGGATAACCTGAGGACAATGTGCCTAGGTGAAGAACTTTTTTGTGATGAATTTCCCAGGTGTTCTTTGTGCATCTTGTATTTGGATGTCTAGGTCTCTCACAAGGCTGGGTAAGTTTTCCTGGATTATTCCCCCAAATATGTTTTCCAAGCTTTTAGAATTCTCTTCTTCCTCAGGAACACCAATTATTCTCATGCTTGGTCATTTAACATAATCCCAGACTTCTTAGAGGCTTTGTTCATATTTTCTTATTCTTTTTTCTTTGTCTTTGTTGGATTGGGTTAATTAGAAGACCTTGTCTTTGAGCTCTGAATTTCTGTCTTCTACTTGTTCAATTCTATCGCTGAGACTTTCCAGAGCATTTCACATTTCTCAAAGTGTGTCCCAAAGTTTCCTGAATTTTCGATTGTCCTTTCTTTAAGCTGTCTATTTTCTGAATATTTCTCCCTTCACTTCTTATATCATTTTTTGGATTTGCTTGCATTGGACTTCGCCTTTCTCTGGTGCCTCCCTGATTAGCTTAATAACTAACCTCCTGAATTCTTTTTCAGGTAAATCAGGGACTTATCCTTGGTTTGGATCCATTGCTGGTGAACTAGTGTGATTTTTTGGGGGGGTGTTGACGAGCCTTGTTTTGTCATATTACCAGAGTTGGTTTTCTGGTTCCTTCCCATTTGGGTGGGCTCTGTCCAAGGGAAGGTCTAGGGCTTGAAGGCTGTCATTTAGATTCTTTTGTCCCACAGTGTGTTCCCTTGGTGTAGTACTCTCCCCCTTTTCTTATGGATGTGGTTTCCTGTAAGCCAAACTGCAGTGATTGTTGTCTCTCTGCTGGGTATAACCACCCAGCGAGTCTACCCCGTTCTGGGCTGGTACTAGGGTGTCTGTACAGAGTCCTGTGATGTGAGCTTCTGTTGGATTCTCAGCGTGGATACCAACGCCTGTTCCAGTGGAGGTGGCTGTGGTGTGCAGGGGACTCTGTCAGGGTTCTTAGTTTGGCGGTTTAATGCTTTATTTTTGTGCTGGTTGGCCTCCTGCCAGGCAGTGGCACTTTCCAGAGAACATCAGCTGTAGTAGTATCCAGAGGGACCAGCGGTGGGCAGGGCCCTAGAACGCCCAAGATTATATGTCCTTTGCCTTCAGCTACCAAGGTGGTTAGGGAAGGATCATCATATGGGGGCAGGGTTAGGCATGTCTGAGCTCAGACTCTCCTTGGACAAGTCTTGCTGTAGCTGCTGTGGGGTATGGGAGTGAGATTTCCAGGTCACTGGAGTTGTGTACCTAGAGGGATTATGGCTGCCTCTGCAGAGTCATGCAGGTTGTCAGGGAAGTGGGGGAAAGCCGGCAGTCACAGGCCTCGCCCAGCTCCCACACATACTGAAGGGCTGGTCTCACTCCCACCATGCCCCCCACAACAGCCCTGAGTCTGTGTCCAGGCGGAGGGCAAGACATGCTTGAAAACTTGCCCCAGGCTACTCGCCTCCCAGCTGCAAAAGTAAAAGGGCTTGGTTCTCGCTTGTGGAGTCTGCACACCGGATTTGCACCCTCCCCCGAGTTCTGGCCAGGAGGCTTCTCGCCCTTTTCAAATTGTTAGAAAGTTCAGCTAGAGATTTCCTTCTCCCTGTGGAATTTTATCCCCTGCTCCTCTGGCTGCCCTCCAGTTGGATCCCTGTGATGCCAGGCAGGAATGGCCTGCTAGGGGACCCAGCAAGCTCCCAGCGCGTTTCTGCTGCTTCCTCTACCCCTGTATTTCACTCGGCTCTCCAGATTGACCCAGCTCCAGGTAAGGTTGGAAACTTCTCCAGCAAATAGACCTTTAGTTTCTCCAGTGGGGCTGTGTGTTTGGGAGTGGAGGCTCTCCCTTTCCCGCTTCCGCAGTTGGGGCACTCAGTATTTGGGCTGTCTCCCAGGTCCTGCAGGAGCAGTCCGCTTATGTCTGCATCCTCTCAGGATTGCTGGTTTGTTCTTGCAGTCAATCTAGAGCTAGAATTCACAATGCAAGCCTCTGCATGCTGCTGTATCCAGAGCTGCAATCCAGTCCTGCCTCCCGTCAGCCATGATGATCTTACCTCCTCTAAAGACCAATTCTCACTCTATTTATAGTGTTTTCTACTTGTAAAATTGGCCAGTTAAGGACACTGTTATTCAGAGAATGGTGTAATCAGTTAATAGGATCTATATTTATTTTATAGTCTATATTTTAATTATTTATTATAAAGTGGCAACAGTAAATATCTGCCTCACTTATCTTGTATAAATATGAGGACAATTTGTGTATTTTCTGGAGGGACATTTTGAGTTCATCAGAAGGAAGACACTGAAAAATTCCACATGGTACTATATACTCCCATTAGGCATTTTAGAATTTAAGGCTATAATTTAAAACTATTATTGATTATTCTAATTCTATAGGACTGAAAAGGCATTTGCAGAAATACTCTCATTTTCCTGTTTCTATTTCTGTTTATACGGAACAAATAACTTATTTATTTAGGCTTTCCTATGTTCTCTGGGCCATTGATAAGGGTCACAAAATATTACACAGAAATCAGAGCCACAGAAAGATGATAGAAAATGTAGTGAAGAAATTAAAAGGAAAATTAATAGTTGAAGGAAAAATATTCATAGGACATAGAAATATGGAAGCAATAAAGCTGAAAGAGACATTGTGGTAGCAGTTAGATAAAATTAGAAATGATCTTCTGTGATGTGCTGCTCCCCCAAAATAGTCAATTTAATTTTTGACTGTGTATGAGGGGGCATTCTGTCAGGGTGAGAGGAAAGGAAAATATAAATGTTTGAAAACAGACAAGCGTATAGAGCACTGGTATCTTCTGACTTCTTACAAGTTGGCACAGCTTGCTTTGGCTGGTGCATGACTGACAGGTCACTCTTTGCTAGATTGGTTCTACCTGGGGCTGTGTTTGGAGAAGTGCTGCTGCTAAGGCTTATGTACTTTCAGCCCCCTCCAAATGTGCTCCCTAAGTGCCTTTAAGTATGCCCATTCAGTCTTCATGCATTAATTCAGTGAGTTGTCATTGTGTACAGGACATTGCTGTGGGTACCAGGGACACAGCAGTGAACTGCAATAGATGAAGGTCCCACACAGAGCTTACATTCTAGTAAGGGAGACTAACAGTAATCAAGATAAGTAAGAAAAGTATATAGGATGTCAGAAGTTTATTGTCTGTCTCTCCTACTAGAATGTGAGCTCCATGTAGGAGAAAATATAAAGCAGGAAGGGAAGACTAGAAGAGAGGTTATGAATTTTGAGACTTGTTTTACCAGTCCTTTAAGATTTACAGTAACCATAAAGCAGAGTTACTGGCAAATTATTATTATTCCACTATTCCTAAAGTGGCTATAGGAAAGTATACTATTTGTACAGTGCTCTAGGCATCACAGACAAGGTTACTTATATCCAGCGGTAGATGAACAGAGTTTTGCTACCCTACATCCCTCCTGTCTGACCTGAATTGTGAGGGGATCTTGACATGCCTTTGGCCACTTTGTACCAGGCACACAGGATGGAAGGCTCTACCTTAAAGTGTCATTTTTCTGCATGCTATTGAGGAAAGACCTGAACCTAGATTCACTAAAATTATGTTGTCTAAACGCCTGATACCTGTCAGCATATTTTCTCCCAGAACTTACAACCATCACATTATTCCTTGCCCCTACTATAGCTTAGACAGGCATTTCTGTTATTTCAGCTTCCCTAGAACACTTGATATAAATCTAGGCACTTCAAAATTAGAAAGATAACAGAATACAGTAAATGTATTTTAAAAAGAAGAAAGGAAAAGGAAAACAACCAAGCATAGTAGATGTCTTCTGGGTTAAGAATTAAACTTGAGAAGTTCCTCTATTTAGATGGGCCTTTCTTGGATTTGGAAGTAAAGAAGGGGACCATTGATCATATGTACCTAACTACTAAGCCCCGTTTTCTCATCAGAACATGAAATGGAAAGTTAGCAATTATGAGGTGAATTTGAATTGTAGACAACCTGCTAATGTAACCCTAATTTTTATTTGCTTAAATAGTCCAGGTTGACTGTTTACACTGACTGAACTTACTGAATATTTGCTAAATAGTCACTTCACTTTATTGCTGAAAATACCTCTTGAGGAAATGACATTAAGGAGTTATATCTCTTCTTTGTTAGTGAATAATCACTTCCTTCTAAAGATAGCAATGAAAAATCAACAGTAATTGCCTCTAGAATGTGGTGTCACTCAGAATGTGTAGACAAGTTGAGTTGTCTAATATGTTTTTAGACATAGCTCAAATTAATCAGGTAATTGAAAATCTATACTTTGCCTTGTAAACATATCTTGAAATTCAAGGCATATTAGCATATATGATACTGTACTACTTTTGAGTATGTGTACTAGTCAAGAAGTATAGCATTCCTCTTTGCAGTCAGAAGATATTCTGATCCTTTAAGTGATGTTTTCATGAACTAAATAACACTTTTACACTTTTCAGACAGTTTTTATTACTGTAGAGTTAACCTTGTAGCTTTTAGTTATCAGTTCCTCTATTCATTGTTGTATGCTACCTTATAATTATTAGTTAACGTAAGGGATAAGTATTGTAAAAGTTGACCACCAGGAACTCTGTGTTTTCAGTTTATCATTCATAATAAATAGTTGAAATCAGGAACTCTCAGAAAGTTATTAATTAAAGAATCATTTAAGATAACTTATCTAAATATAAAATCTTCATTTATATAGATCACTAGTATATATAATCATTTGCCCTGAGTATATATATTTCATCAGGTCGAATATTATCCTGTGATTTTGACTTTTTCAGTTTTCCAGTAATTCCAATGAATATAAGTAGTCTCACTCCAAAAATCTCACTTAAAAAAAATTAAAAATAGCCACCATGTTTTTTACAGTTTTCTGAACCAATTTGTGAAAACTCCTTCGAAGAATTTGGCAGTAAAGGTGGCAACTCTCCTTTCCTGAGCTAACTCTTTTCTTTAAAGATAAAAAATTTTTTTAACTAATTATTTTTGGAATGCTTTTAGATAAATAACTGAATAATAAGAATTTGTATTTGTACTTAAAATTATAAGTTTTGAGTTAATATGGAAACACTATTCCTTTTACTGCCCCCATAGGAATAGCTTCATGGCTTTTAATGCTCTGTCTGTAATTGTTGGAAAAAATAAGTCAGGGACCAGTGGTACCTAAGACACACATTTTCATCCCTTTTATCATATGTTAAGTCTTGATCTCCCTTCCTATGGCTGTCTTTACTTCGCTTGCCCTCTGTTAGCTCTATCTGGTTCACTGCCCTTGGTGGGTCTCTCTATGTCTGTTTATTGACTCTGGGTCTCTTTCTCATCTGGCTTAGCCTCTATGCCATGTCTTTATGGCTTCCAGTTTCCCCGACCTGAAGACTCTGTCCTTCCAGCCATGGAATCACATCCCCCCAGCCCAAATGTTTCTGTCTTCTCCTGCCTGACTGTGGTGTGCCTGGGCTCACTTGCCCTTCACTTCCCTTTGATGTGGGCTTTGTGTCTCTCTCAAGCCACAAGCTCACTGTCTGCTCTCCCCTACACATTCTGTGTGCCCCCATGTAAACCCTCTCAGCCTGCTCTGTCTTGTCATAAACAGACTGACAGCAAGTCACCAGTAATAAATCTGTCTGCTGGCCAAAATATTCCCAAAACATACGTCTTCAAAGAAAACTGCATTGCTTTCTAGAGGTGATTTAGAACATCTAAAATGCATATTCTTTGGTACTAAAATGAACTTTCAAAGTGAACATTAGGCACTACACATAAGCCAAATATTATTTATTTATAAAATCTCAAGATGTTCAGAGTTGATTATCAGCACTTTAAAAGCAGGAGTGTAATTTTTTTAAAGTTTTTACTTTTTCGTGTTTCTTAAAATATAGTCTTTTTCCAAAGGAAAATATTTCTATTTAATGATAAATTTTAAGAGATAATTTGTTTGGATTAATGACTTCAGTTTGTAGGTGCAAAAATTAATTTAACTGATATTTGATGTCTAAGTATTCTTTGAGACCTTGTGCTATCATTTCTGTCCATAGTGTCTGTTTAATATCCCCTTCAGCCATACATATCTGACCGTAACTATTCAATATATTGTACCAATAAATGAAAACATCTTATACCAGCTAGTTTATAGATGTTTTGCATAACTGCCTGCCACAATCCTTGACAGAATTCAGTTGTATTATATAATTTCTTAAATTCTAAAGTGCTATAGAAGTGACTTGTTAAAAAAGTTGGGGCAAAAAAAAAAAGTTGGGGCAAAAAAACATACACCCTACCTTAAGCTTTTTGTAGCAATGATTTCTATAAATGAGACTTTTTAAGGAGACCCTAAGTTAAAAGTTATTGATAATCTAAAATCAAAATTGGCATGAAGATTCTTTTGTTCTTAGCTAATATTTCAGAAGTTTTAAGAAAGTAATGTAAACATTTTCAGATTTTTTACTTTTATTTACTTTTTAAAAATTCTCTTCAAGGAAATTTAGTCTTCTGTCAATATTAATATATATGAAATACTAGCTAAACTTCTCCTTCTCAGTTTCCAGATAGAAGGTGATTAAATTTAAAATAAGACATTGTTGGCTGTGTATGATGGCTCATGCCTGTTATCATAGCACTTCGGGAGGCAAAGGTGGGGATAGCTTGAGGCCAGGAATTTGAGACCAGCGTGGGCAACATAGTGAGACCCGTCTCTACAAAAAAATAAAAATAAAAATAAATTAGCTGGGCCTGATGGAGCATGCCTGTCTCAGCTACTTGGGAGGCTCAGATGGGCAGGTCACTTGAGCCTGGGAGGTTGAGGCTGCAGTCACCCATGAGTGTGCTGCTGCACTCCAATCTGGGCAACAGAATGAGACCCCATCTCAAAAATAAAATAAGACATTGTTAATTTAAGGCCACAAATATAAGTGATTAAATATAACCAATATGTAGGAAAGCTGCTGTATGTTAAATTAGAGGTACTCAGTTTGAATATTACAGTGACAAGTATAGTCTTCCATAATCACTGTAGTTTAGATTTTTGCCATATTTTTCTTATGAAGGAGTAATCACTCAGTTATTTATTTTTGCTTTTCTTCAAAAACAATATCAAGCACATACAAATCAGCATAAGTAGCAAGGCTTGAATTTTTAGATAATCCAAATTTAATTATTTTACCAATTAGTTAATCATCTTCAATTCATCCCCCAAAATTAGAGCCTAATTTCATGTCTTACCCCTAATTTGCATTATTCTTGATTCTCTTGAGGCAAGAAACAACTGTAAATATTTATTCTTGAATTACACAAAGATGTATTGAACACCTAATGTATTAGGCACCAATCTAGGCTCCAAGGGTATAAAGAGTATTAGGCATGACTTCTGCCCTCAAAGAGCTCACAGTCTCCTAGAAAGAAGTCTTGTGTTTACTGCAAAGATTCTCTGCTCCTAGTGAGAGAATGATCATTGAAATGGGTGGTGGGGTTGGGAGTAGAGGAAATAAAGGGCTTCTGAGCTCTTTTGGAATCCAAGAGTAACTTTTAGTTCACCAACACCCTTTTTTTTAAATGACACTCTAATGTTATTGAAGAGTTAGTGCATCTTCTGAAAGTATCCACCTTCCTTCCATACTTCATGAAAATCTGACTTTTTACTCTAGATATTACAAACAAGTATATGTTACTTGTCATTTCAAACTCTTTAATAGTTGTATGTCAGCATTTACCAGGAAGATCTTGGGATTTATCATTACTATGGGAAATTTGTATTCTCCCAAATATGTGGACAGTTAATGGCCAGATAAATATTCACAATCACACTGTCTGTAAAATGGGGTAAGACTAGTATCATCTCATTGGGTTATATTGAGAATTAAGTGAAATAATTTATATTCTTAAAACAGTACCTGGCATATAGTAAGAACTTCATAATTCTTCACTTTGCATAGTTTTGATATACACAAATTTTTGCTACCATGGTTTAGTTGAATAACATCAATTCCCCAGACAACAAGATTCAAAGTTCAGTTACCACAATGTATTACCTGTAAATGCATTAAGAACAAACTTTGCCACTAGCCCTTCAGTCCACAGATCTCTGTGTGAATAACAGATGCACATCATGATCAATGGCCAATCACATCACTTTTTTCAAACTCTGTCACTGATTGGTCACTTCATATCTGCTTTCAGTTCATGTACAGATGGCATTGTCTCCCATTTTACAAGAATGGATGATCAAAAGAGAGACTTGACCAACACACATGACAGTGCAGTAAAGAAATGAAGCACTGGAAATGAAATCGAAAGTGTTTATGACAAAAAAGATGAAGATATCCCAGAGAAAGTGACACTGGCAAACAAAAAAGCAAGACAAAAAAAAAAAACTCTCATGTTAAATGAACTCTCAGAGCTGTTTCACAACATTGAAAGTGCAAAGGATAAAATGTTGAAAGCTGATTGAAACTTAAGATTATGACATTTTGCCCAGGCATAGAAAAGATATGGTTAAACCATACCATAAGTGATATGATGAAAAGAAGGCAAGTACTGATCAATCTACTTTAAATAAGTTTTTTTACATAGAAATAAAGCACTTTAATTCTCAGTGTTTCTAATATTTAAATTACAGTGTACTAAATAAAATTAGTTTTATTATTTTTTCTTTTTTATTTTTAGCTGGCAATAGAGGCTTTTTAATATTTTAACAAAATTTTAAAGGTCATAGAAAAATCACAATTTATCCTTTTGATTATTATGATCACTTTGCATGGTTTCAGCTTGTATGGTCATTTTTATAGTCCCTCATCATCCAAAGCAAGGACTTCCTGTAGTTGTTATTAATAATTATTTTGTCCAGCAAGTCAAGTATTATAGTTTTAGGGAAACTGTTCATTGCTTTTCAATATTTGAGAATTTAAAAACTTTGTCATTTCTTTCCTGCCTCTGTCTTTTTATTTTCAAAGTATCTAAGTTCTAATTCTAGTCATATCTTATCATAGGGTTACCCTCAGAGCCTCCTGAGATATTATACAGCAGTACAGTATTTAAACTCCTTATTTTACTATTCTTCAATATTCTACCCTATTTCTTCATTCTCCTAAGTCTTCTACTTAAGTTTCATGCTAACCTTTTCCTTTTATTCTTCTTCCTGCTAATATTATATTCTTCTATACTCTCCTTCAACCCCTGAAAGCCTATCAGTTCTTTAATATATTGTCTTCCTTTCAAAATGACACCTGCCGTAGAACATATCCTTAAGAGAAACTTATTTAAATTCCTTGGCTTCTTCCTTATGTTTCATCTACATGTCTGTCAATCAGAAAAGACCAATGTCTTGCTTGAATTTAAATTATTACAGAAAATTCTATGTAAGCAAAATGTAAAATTCTAACTGGACATTAACTAGATTAGCACTTGCCAACAATGCCATGATTGGCAACAAAATAAGAATTAAGAATAAATACTGTGCATTTTCACTGTATACACTTTTGTACCTCTTGAGCCATGTGATTGTATAGGTGAATATTCAAAAAATAATGAAATTTACATTAAGTAAATCATCATAATAGAAATCTTGCTTTCAGTTTTCCACTCACAGTTGGTTTGATATAATTACTGCCAAGAGTTCTGAGGCTTTCAGAAGATGAAACCTTCATCTGCCTGATGTTTTCTGCACACACATAGAATGATGAGCAGGCTGCTGGGAGCTTGAGGAATGGACTAGAAGCAGATAAATTTTGATTTGGGCATGAGTATTTTGCTCAAAAGAGAGGCTGACAACCTAGTTTGTTCTCTTTAAGACCTTTGGGATTATAGTGAGGTGACTGGAAGAGGATTCAGTTTGATAAGCTGACTGAATGCTGTCTGATTATTTGTCAGGTTTAAAATGCTGAAAGAAGTTTTTAATCTATATATTTAGGTAAATTTTGCTTAGAATTTTTTGTCTGGTACTACCTCTTGAATTTTCCATGGTCATTGCTGCATTTAATGCTAGTTAAAATAAGAGTTCATTTTTCAGAAAAAAAACATCAGTGTGACTCTGTTTGGCTTGTTTCAGTTCATAGTTTCCTAAAGAGATTCCAAGGAAATTCTCAGAGGCCTCAAACTTGTGATGGTAATAGCATCAAAGTCAATTAATTTGGAATCTCTTTAAAAAAATAATAATAATTCTCACAACACTTAAAAGAGTTATCTGCTGTAAACAGAAATTCTTTTCTACTTCTCATGTACTTCTCTGAGTCCATATCACATTATGATTACTAGTTTCCTTGGTCATAAGCTGTCATTTTTGTTAGTATATTTTATTGTGCAGTGCAATGAAAAATTTTTCGTTAAACCAGTTGTGCATCTCCTGCTCTAAAATGGAAGCAGAGTGATAATTTGAATGTAGAACATAGTGACTGCACCCTGACTAGAGTAATCAATGCAAGAACATCCTTAAAGCTTTTCTTCTGTAACAAGGGCAAACTCAGCTAAAAAGTTTGTTTAAATCATGCTTGGCATAACAAGAGCCTTTAAACTTTGTCTATCTCTGACTATCTATGAATATACCTGACTCATCATCATAGTGCCTTTCAACTCAGCCCCACTCAGCTCAACTGCTCTTCCTGCCTTTACAGATATTTAAAATTCCTTAAGGCTTCTGGTGCAGGCTGCAGGGTTTTTATACTTAATATCATTTTATTTTATAGCATAGGAAGTTCATAGCTCATGAATATCTCAGATTTGCAAAATAAAATGGAGGGCCTTTTCTCTGTGTACTCTGTCTCTTTTTGTTCTCTGACTGTGTGGTGGTTGTGTCATATTTGTGTCATGAGCATTTGTTTCAAAGCAGCAATTACATCATTACAGCATTACAAAGCAGCCATTTTTAATATACTAAAAAGAACAGCAGCAAAAAGAAGTAATGTTTTTAAAAAGTCCTCATAATCTTAATCTGAAATTAAAGAAATCAAAGAAATTATTTTAGCAACACTACTACATTATAGCATTTCTCCACATACAAGAGTAAAAGCATCTTGTATTACTGTTATTTACAAATGGCTCTTCTTTCACCCATGTTCTTGTCCTCTGTTATCTCCTATAAAAAATAGTGCTATTATCTATTATGAAAATTATCTTGAAAAGCAATAAATTATCCTATTTAGTAACTACCTTGATTTGATTAGCTCTTTTTCTATGTTATTACAACATAAATGTTCTTATTGTATGTACTTTATTAGTTTTTCTTAATTGCCTAACTTATCTTTGAT